>NC_000006.12:26120606-26423636 GCF_000001405.40 Homo sapiens
CCCTCAGGTGGCACCACTGCTGAGAATATGAATAATTCTGATTCTCAGTTTAGAAGAAAATTCTAGTTTCCTAGTTTCCAGCATCACATCCCTTACAATAAACTCGTTAAGGTTTAGAAAATATTAAATCTTTGTTTTATTCAGATATTGAAAGCACTCTTTTTTTTCCCTGACTCAATAGTCCAATTTGTAACAACATTATGTTTCTTCTGTCCTCTAACCTTACTTAAAGAACGTGAAGGGGCAATAATGTGAAATTACTAAAATTAATAATAAGCTGTAGAGCCTCTGCCATAGCAGTTATTGAGACCAGACATTCGGTTTCCTTGATTTCCTTTTTGTCTCCTGTTAGTCCTAACACTTTCTTAAAGTCAAAAGTTATAACAGGGCAGCCATTTTATATTCATATCATCTTAACACAGGAATACTGGTTTTGCAGATATCGACAACTATTTGGACTCAAAAAAGACAAGTTTTGGAAGGTGGAAAGAGGCATACAAGCACAAAACATCAAATCCCATGTAAAGTCAGAAAGAAAAACACCAACTCTAACCCTGTGTCCTCACAGAGAATATCAACATCTTCAAACAAAAACACCCCAAAAAAAGGTTAATAAATAAACCAGATTTCCTGTCCTCTCCACTGACTAATCACTTAATGATGTGACCAGAAAACCAGAATTCAAATTCTACTACTGCCACCAATATGCAACCAATCAGCCAAGTCCAATTAGAATAACCAAAACAAACAAACGCGGACGATAAACTTTTAGCATGCAAAAGCCAAAGGAAAGTGAACAGAAAACTCAAAGGGTCCAGGGATAGACAACCTGTTTCCAAGACACACATTTCTGTTGGTTCTTATTGTATGACTCACATAAACACTGTCTTGGTGGAAAATTCAGAAATAAATGACCAAGAAGTTAATAATTTGCTTACTGGGTACTTGTACAGAAGAGAGAACAAGCAATAGAATTATTTCATCTAACACAGGCAAAAACATAATCTATGTAAGAGAAAGGGGAAAAGGCGGGGAAAGAATACTGAATTTTGTTTGCAGATTTTGGTTACACTGATTAGTTAGTTGGCAGGTAGGAGAGCGGTCAGTCTGAATGGGAATAAGTGACCAGGTCCATTAGAGGCATAGAAAAAAAAAAAACCATTTAGGCCCGGCGCGGTGGCTCAAGCCTGTAATCCAGGACTTTGGGAGGCCAAGGCGGGCAGATCACCTGATGTCCGGAGTTCGAGACCAGCCTGACCGACATGGAGAAACCTCGTCTCTACTAAAAATACAAAATTAGCCAGGGTGTCGTGGCGCATGCCTGTAATCCCAGCTACTCCGGAGGCTGAGGCAGGAGAATGGCTTGAACCCGGGAGGCGGAGGTTGCTGTGAGCCAAGATCGCGCCATTGCACTCCAGCCTGGGAAACAAGAGAGAAACTTCGTCTCAAAAAAAAAAAAAAAAAAGAAAAAAAAATTTACTTGTGAGGGACTCTGGAAATTTCATTTCTCATCAGAATTTCTCAGATAAGTTATCTAGGCAAGGCAGCCTGTGATTGCACAGCAGTGTTCAAGTATAAGGCCTTGTCTGGCACCAAAGACAGGCCTTAGTTTATTTCCCAGGTGTGAAAGAAATTGCAGATTTAAGATCACACAGTCCTTATGTTAAATAACTGTAACCTAAATTACATGGTATTTAAGTTTGTAAAAATCTGCTTTAACACTAATTTTATTTATTGTATATTCCCGGTTTTTAATGGAGAAAGCAAACTTCTAGGTGCTAAAAACGTGTTCTAGACTTGAATAAAAAGATAGGTAGACTACGTCTAACCCTTCATCTTAAAATCTTTACCTGGAAAAGACCATGAGTAAAATACTTAAGGGAATGTGGAATTTCCCAGGCCACAAAGCGGCCTGCAGTTGTCTAGGAAGGGAGAGTCCTCTAGGAGATACAGTGTATGTGCTAAGTTTAATGACGTCTCCTCTTCATTCTCCCCCACCCAGCGCCTAGTCCTTACTGGCCTTCAGTTCAGTGTTCGAAGGCTTGTCAATTTACCCAGCAGTTAAGAGTTGGCTTCTCCTAAAGCAACTTTCAAACTTGTCTGCATGTTACAAGCCCCCTACGGAGATTTTAAGTTTCAATCAGGCAACACACCATTTATGGCTGACTGAGCACTGGGATTCAAGCAAAATTTGATTTGATTTGAATCTTGAATAAACCAGTTGAATAGAATAAGATGTATGAAGCAACATCTGGCGCAGTGCTTACATCTTTAGTTCTGTACTGCCTTAGTGTTGTTATCAAAACTGACGCATATTAGGTTAAAAGACTATTACCGGGGCAGTTGGAAACCCAGGAGACACACCCTTCAGTATACTACGAAGGTGTGCGCCACGAAAACAGAGGGGGAGTCCTTCCTTAGGCAGTTACTGCCCAGGTTCCCACTCCGGTCCGCTATGTAAATCAGAGTCTCAAAACAGCTTTCCCTCGATTGGTTAATATTTAAAATGACAGGACAGCCTATTGGCTAGAAGCTGGTGGCGAAATTATGACATTACGGCAACCGTTGATCCTGGCGACGTAGACAGGGACAGACAGCTGGGTCTGAAACCTAAGCGAGCCTGCGGTTTCTTCCGGGAACGCCGAGTTAGCAAAATGGCCGCTTGTCTCCATTTTAAATTTAAGCACAACGAATTGACCCCAAAGCCATTTTTAATGGCTGGCTTCTTTCGGGTTCAGGACCCTTTGTCCCTCTCTAAGCTGCAACACTTGTCCCCACCCCTCTCCAGTTCCTATATTCTAATACCCCTCCGCCGCCAAATAAAATTTGGCGTCTGGCCACAGCTCTTTTAGTGGGTATCTGGGTGGCTCTTAAAAGAGCCTTTGGGGTTAGGTGTTAAGACGCTTACTTGGAATGTTTACTTGGAGCTGGTGTACTTGGTGACGGCCTTGGTGCCCTCCGACACGGCGTGCTTGGCCAGCTCTCCGGGAAGCAGCAGGCGCACGGCCGTCTGGATCTCCCTGGAGGTGATGGTCGAGCGCTTGTTGTAATGCGCCAGGCGGGAAGCCTCGCCCGCGATGCGCTCAAATATGTCGTTAACGAAAGAATTCATGATGCCCATGGCCTTGGAAGAGATGCCAGTGTCGGGATGGACCTGTTTCAGCACCTTGTACACGTACACAGAGTAACTCTCCTTGCGGCTGCGCTTGCGCTTCTTGCCATCTTTCTTCTGCGCTTTGGTCACTGCCTTCTTGGAGCCCTTCTTCGGGGCGGGAGCAGACTTGGCTGGCTCAGGCATCTTAAAACACCAGAAATGTGTCGAAAGTAAAGAGCGGATTTCTGCTACTTATAGGGCTTTTATGCTAATGAGGGATGGAGAGTACCTCTTAGTTAATTGGAAGACAAACTGCACAGTTGTCATCCGTGGGCAGAGCTATGCAAATGAGGTATGAAAGTACAGCTTTTCTATTGGCTATCTGACTAGCATTTGCTACCGACCAATCAAAAAGTCGGATTTACTCCCCAGGAACTACCTATAAAAGCGGCCATGTTTTACATATTTCTTGATTTTGTTTGTTTTCTCGTGAGCTTAGGCCGCTGGTTTTGGTGATTTTTGTCTGATTGCAATGTCTGGACGTGGTAAGCAAGGAGGCAAAGCTCGCGCCAAAGCGAAATCCCGCTCTTCTCGCGCTGGTCTCCAGTTCCCGGTGGGCCGAGTGCACCGCCTGCTCCGTAAAGGCAACTACGCAGAGCGGGTTGGGGCAGGCGCGCCGGTGTACCTGGCGGCGGTGTTAGAGTACCTGACCGCCGAGATCCTGGAGCTGGCCGGCAACGCGGCTCGCGACAACAAGAAGACTCGCATCATCCCGCGCCACTTGCAGCTGGCCATCCGCAACGACGAGGAGCTCAACAAACTGCTAGGCCGGGTGACCATTGCTCAGGGCGGCGTCCTTCCTAACATCCAGGCCGTGCTTCTGCCTAAGAAGACCGAGAGTCACCACAAGGCCAAGGGCAAGTGATTTGACAGGTATCTGAGCTCCCGGAAACGCTATCAAACCCAAAGGCTCTTTTCAGAGCCCCCCTACCGTTTCAAAGGAAGAGCTAACCTCACTGCTTGTAGGTAGAAGGAAAAAAGGCACTAAGGTAAGTTAATTTTATGCCAACCTTGAGCAAAGCGTATTACTGCTTTTCGGTTTTTGGGGAGCGCTGTTACTAAAGGTTGGTCTGTTTGTATGTAATAGTAGGTCAGTTACGTACTATCATACTCTAAAGAAATATTCTAGTTAATGCTTTGTAAGATCGACCATAGTTAGTGCCTAACAGTTTACATGCAGGGATGCCTCGTGATCTAAACACTTCGTTGTGATTACTTTAAAAATGTAAATTGAAGGCAAAACTCTAACGTGTTGGTAACCTTGTTTGGTCCTCCGACTAGTCCCCCGTCTATTTTTTTCTCAATTTAGGCTGTAGGCAGCCTCACTTTCCTAATTCTGTGAGAGTTATAGGTCCCATTCCTGCTAAAGTGCAGAGTATATTACCTAAAAGTTAACCAGGGAGTTGAAAGGTGTCTGTAAAACAGACTAATGTCCCTAATGTAGAACGGTGCCTGACATGCAACTTACTCTTGTATTTTAAGAAGCTCAAGCGTCTAGGTTGCCATTACAGGCAGAAAAGGAAATAGAGTGGGGCCTGTGGCCACTCAAAAACCTTTGCTTTCTGCTCACCCCTCTAATCCTACCACTTTGGGAGGCCGAGGGGGCTGATCACCTGAGGTCACGACTTCGACACTAACCTGGCCAACATGGTGAAACACCTCTCTACTAAATAAAAATAATAAATAAAAAAATAAGTTGGGCGTGGTGGCACATACCTTGTAATCCCAGCTACTCTTGAAGCTGACGCAGGAGAGTCGCTTGAGCCTGGGAGGCGGAGGTTGTAGTAAGCCGAGATCGTGCCACTGCCCTCCAGCCTGGGCAACAGTGAGACACGGTCCCCCAAAAAAACCTTTGCTTCTAGGGATCTGGTAACAGCTGCCCCACCCACAAGAAATGGAGATCTGGGACCATGGACAAATTTCTAGAGACCTATTTTCCTGGATTCTGTGAATCTCGCCGAGGTTTTCTTCCGGATCTCGGTTTCTGCATTTTTTTGTTTGTTTGCTTGCTTTTTTGAAACGGAGTTTTGCTCCTGTTGCCCAAGCTGGAATGCAGTGGCGCGATCTCGGCTCACTGCATACAAACTCCGCCTCCCGGGTTCAGACGACTCTCCGGCCTCAGCCTCCCTAGTAGATGGGATTACAAGCGCCCGCCACCAGTAGAAACGGAGTTTCACCAGGTTAGCCGGGCTGGTCTCGAACTCCTGACCTCAGGTGATCCGCCAGCCTCTGCCTACCAAAGTGCTGGGATTACAGGCGTGAGCCACCGCGCCCGGCCGGTTTCTGCTTTGATCGGAATTAAGTGGGCAGAAAAGTCTAGGCGGGCTAAGTCTTGCCTATGCATCTGCGCCCAGCTGCTCAGACTGGCCAAACAGACCCAGTCGTTTAGTCTAACGCTTCTGGAACTCCACTGAAGCGTTTTGCATTGTTTCGTTTGGAGCCTTCAAATCCGAGTGTGTGGCAGGAGATAATAATCCTAGCAGAAGCTGTTTACTGCTGACGCGCCTCCCACTTCCCAGATACTGACACCGGCTCAGGGCGGATCCAGCCTTTTCCGCTCTTCCCTCCCTCCACCCCCTCCTTTCCCTACAACTACTCTCAAAGGAAAAGGGTTGGATGTCCCATTTGGGTGAAAACAAAGTGGCATAAAAGCAAATGATCACCTTTGATAGCCACATATTAGAATTTTCCGAGGGTATTTTTAAATTACAACGATTCTAATGGGCAGCTGGGCTGAGAATCATCAGATTTGAAGGTCTGGTTTCACATGGCTCTTGGGCTGAGAAGACCGGATTTTCCCCCCCCAGCATTTCCTGTATGTCCGAGAATTTCGATCCTAAGGTTAGAATTGCCTTATGGGCCTTGGAATCCTTTTTATTCACTGACCAAATTGCCTTTGATTCCAGCTCCCAATCGGTGTGTGACCTTGGCCTAGGGCTTAATCTCTTCCTACCTCCATCTCTTCCTTGTATGCTTTTGCTCACCTTGAAATGAAAAGAACCTGGCTCAGCAAGTGTAGATTCTGAAATCAGAAAACAGGCTGAATAAGAGAGATGGTTTATTAGGCACTACTGTGTGCCAGGCACATTTCATGAGCTTCCAGTATGTTAATTCATTTAATCCAACAATCTAAGAGATAGGTTTTATCCTTATTCCGAATTTTGAGATGAGCAAACTAAGAAACAGCTTAAAGAACTTAAGTTGTAAGGCCAGGAAAACAGTACTTATAACAGCTGACTATTCTATAACCACACCTCCTTAAGAGATTATTGTCAGAAAAATAGAAAGAGTAAAACATCCATACATAATGGGTAAACTTTGTCCACATACCAGAATGTTACTAATGGCTTTCTAACCTCTGAAGAATTTAAGGGAAGGAGGAAAGGTAATTTTCCCCAGGGAATCTACACGAAGAGGTAAATCTTGACAATGTATTAATACTGTAAACCCAGGGAAAAAAAGCCAGTACAATTTTTATTTAGGGTGTGGCAAATAAAACAAAGGGACACGTGAAAACATGGCTCAGTAAAGAGCTACAAGACTTGGTGCAACTGACTTATTGTGGTGAGTGAGAAAAGGAGAGAGAGAAAACTTGAATTTCAATTCTTCTCTCTGGGCTCCAATAACAAGATTTTGTATTCGGTCTATTTAGTAGTGAATGATACATTGTGTTAAGTTTGTTAACCTAGAGGCTTTCATCTTAAGCAGTACTTAAGATGTAGACCCCCTCTTATTCAAATACTGATAATCAGCATAGAACTTGGCATACAAGAGACACTTGGCTGTTGGGCATTGAGAAAATGTTGAACTGAATGAATCAATGACTTAGGCAGCCAGGAAGCACTTTGTTGTAGAGAGTTGGTTTATTACTAAGGAAGACATTAAGTATTAAATATTAGACTAATAGGTTGCTAATAGTGTTTTCTCTTTCCAATAGAAAATGTCTTCTGAGGCTGATCTGGTGTCTCACATCTGTAATCCCAGCACTTGGGGAGGCTGAGGTGGGTAGATCACCTGAGGTCAGGAGTTTGAGACCAGCCTGGCCAACATGGCGAAACCCCATCTCTAATAAAACTACACAAATTAGTCAGGTGTGGCGGTGTTCACCTGTAGGCGCCTGTAGTCCCAGCTACTCAGGAGACTGAGGCAGAAGAATCACTTGAACCCCGGGAGGTGGAGGTTGTAGTGAGCCAAGATCGTGCCACTGCACTCCAGCCTGGGCGACAAAGTGAAACTCCGTCTCAAAAAAAAACCAACCCCATCTCTACTAAAAAATACAAAAATTAGCTGGGCATGCTAGTGCACGCCTGTAGTCCCAGCTACTCGGGAGGCTGAGGCAAGAGAATCACTTGAATATAGGAGGGGGAGGTTGCAGTGAGAGTGAGACTCTCAAAAAAAAACAACAAAACAAAAAGTAACAAGAAAAAAGAAACTATATTCCAAAAATCCAAATTTCACTGGCAGTTTGTTCTGGGAGCTTCAGACACATAGAAGGTGTCAGTTAACCAGTTCTTACCTAAGAGGTACTGCTAAGAGCCTAGTCCCTAAGCAAAGGGAGCTTCAGAGAAACACAGAAGGTGCCAGTTAACCAGTTCTTACCTAAGAGGTACTGCTAAGAGCCTAGTCCCTAAGCAAAGGACATTCCTCGTAGCTCTGTCCTGTCTCCTCATCTCCAAAATACTTTACCTTCTACTTTGAAATGCCCACTATTATATTCAAAAGCCCTAGTTACTTCCAGGGAAAATTATCTATTGAGCAATGAATTTCGGTAGCTTCAGTTGGATTCCAACTCTTGAGCAAGTTTTCATCTCCCTTGCCTGAATGGCCCTGGGGAGGACTATTTAAATTGGGGCGAGTGGATGAGGATGCTAAACCTAGAGGTCTCCCAATTACCAAAGGCACCTGGGCACCAGGGACTAAAGTTTGTCTCAGGAATTTACTGAGATATGAGGCTGAGATAAAATCATTTTTTGGTACATAAGGTATCTTGAACAAAGCAGATCAGTTTAACACAAAATCAACAATCGTAATTTCCCTTTTTAAATTTCCAAATCTATGTAGCAATATCCTTTCCTTTAATTCATTCATCATCTCTATTCACTTTTTGTATTCTGTAAATCATTTGAACTTTTATAAGAATTATATTTTCCCCTTGAGGTCACAAAAAAGAAAGTATTAGAAATTTTATAACCAATTTTTAAAAAATTATATTTTAAGGTTAAATACAAACCTTCTAAAGGTTTGTCATCTGTTGATCCTAAATTATAATTATAAATTTATATATTCCTGTTGAATATAATGCATGTGTGTTACAAGATTATTAGCAATTTGAGAATTTCCCGTGCATATTGGAGATGAGCAAATGGAATAAGTGCTCATGTGTAGCGACAGGATTCTCTATTTTATTTCAATACTTAATATTGTACCAAACCAAGTAAGAGGAGCATCATGAGAAAATGTACTAAAGGACAGTCATTACCTATATTTACACCTAGAAAAGAAAACTATATTATTGATAAACTGATAAATCTATTTTATGTATTTATTTATTATTTTGCTCTGTCATCCAGGCTGGAGTGTACTGGTGCGATTTCCACTCATTGCAACCTCCTGCTCCCAGGTTCAAGCAATTCTACCTCAGCCTCCCTAGTAACTGGGACTACAGGCATGCACCACCACACCCAGCTAATTTTTATATTTATAGTAGAGACAGGGTTTCACCATGTTGGCCAGCCTGGTCTCAAACTCCTGACCTCAGGTGATATGCCCACCTCAGCCTCTCAAATGCTAGGATTACAGGTATGAGCCACCGCGCCCAGTCTGATAAATCTATATTAAAAAGAATAAATATAACCATTGCATCTTCAACAGAAATTGGAATATGGCATGTAGATTTCAAAATAAAATGAATTCTCTGGCATTGAATTACTGTACTCATGTTGAAGAAATGTCAGAACTTCATTGGATGTTATTATATTACAGTTGTTTGTTTGAGTTGTAGTTTGGGCAGAGTAAAGGAGCCAACATGTCTTAGGATTTAGAACTTGTGCACATTGCCTACAGTTGAAAGAAGAAAGCATGCTAAATTCCAGCCTCTTTGGTATGTGGTTGGGACGTAAAGTTTTACCACATCCTTCATTGTCTTAGCCTACTCAGGCTGCCATAACAAAATACCAGAGACTGGATGGCTTAAACAACAGAATCTTTTTTTCCATATCTAAGAGGCTTGGAACAGAAATTCATTTTCTCACAGTTTTGGAGCCTGGAAGTTTAAGATCAAGGTGCCAACATAGTTTATGGTGAGAATCTGTTCCTGGCTAACAGATGGCTGCCATCTCACTGTGTGTTTGTATGGTGTTTCCTTGGTGCCTGCGTGGAGAGAGAGCTCTAAGTGTCTCATCTTCTGTAAGGACACCAGCCCCAATGGGATTAGGGCCCTATCCTGTGATCTTTAGTTTTATGTACCCCCTAAAGGCTCTATGTCCAAATGCAGTCACACTGGGGTTTAGGGTTTTAATAAATGAATTTTGGGGGACACAGTTTAGTCCATAACATTCTGTCCTTGACCTGCCAAAATGTATGTCCTTCTCCCATACAAGATAAATTTATTCCATCCCAGCCGGGCATGGTGGCTCACACGTGTAATCCCAGCACTTTGGGAAGCCAAGGCAGGCGGATCAGAAGGTCAAGAGATCGAGACCATTCTGGCTAACACGGTGAAACCCCATCTCTACTAAAATAAAAAAAAAATTAGCCAGGCGTGGTGGCGGGCGCCTGTAGTCCCAGCTACTCTGGAGGCTGAGACATGAGAATGGCATAAACCCGGGAGGCAGAGCTTGCAGTGAGCCAAGATGGTGCCACTGCACTCCAGCCTGGGCGACAGAGCTAGACTCCGTCTCAAAAAAAAAAAAAAAATTATTCCATCCCAACAGCCCCCTGAAAGTCTTAACTCATTCTAGCATCAATTCTAAAGTTCAAAGTGTCATCTAAAAAATCATCTAAATCAGGTTACGGGTGAGGCTCAATGTGTGATTCATCCAGAGACAAAATTCCTTTCCAGCTTTGAACGTGTGAAACCAGAAATGTTACATGCTTCTAAGGTACAATGGTGAAACAGGCATAATAGACATTCCCATTAGAAAATGGAGAAATAGGAAAGAAGGAAGGTGTAATGTGTCCTAATCAAGTCCAAAACCTGGCAAGGCAAATTCTGTTAGGTCTTAAGAAAAACCCTCTTTGGCTTGATGCCCTGATTTCCAGGCCCAGTGGTGTCTCAGTGTCACCTCTGGCTCTGTAGTTGGCCTACTCCATCTGCCCTGCCTGAAGTCTCGGTCTTTCAGTTTGGTGGGGTCCCACCCAGGCAGCCATCTGTGAGAGACTCCCACACAGTTCTGCAGGGCATCTTTGAAACAGGTAGAGTCAGCCTTGACTACATGTTCCCACCCCCACCCTATCCCATCTGTACTCTCTGAGTCTGACATCAAAGTGGCAGCCCTGGCGGCTCCTGCCTGTAATCCCAGCACTTTGGGAGGCCAATGAGAATGGATCACTGGAGGTCAGGAGTTCCAAACTAGCCTGGCCAACATAGTGAAACCCCATCTCTACTAAAAATACAAAAATTAGCTGGGCAAGTGGTGGCAGGAGCGCTACTCGGGAGGGTACAGATTTAGAGCCTGTAATCCCAGCTACTTGGGAGTCTAAGGCAAGAGAATCCCTTGAACCTGGGAGGTGGAGATTGCAGTGAGCTGAGATCACACCATTGCCCTACAGCCTGGGTGACAGTGAGACTGCCTCAAGAAAAAACAAAAGAGTCAGCCCTAGTGATCTTGTAAGTTGCCTTTGGTGGGTCAGTCTTTCCTTTTCTTAAAGAATAGTACACATTGACAGCCAGGTAGCTCTATGATCCTGTTCTATAGAATTCAAAAAGTCGACAACCTTCCTTTGTTCCTTTCTGTTTTCTCTGCCTACGTTAGTTTAAATTGGCAGTGTCTCTGCTGGAATAATCCCATCTCTCTTCCTGGCTTCTGCTGAGATGGCTGATTAAATCCTTGGGTCACACCCATTATCTCTTTATCAAATGGTTGTTCAGGCTAGGCTCAGTGTTTCACGCCTGTAATCCCAACACTTTGGGAGACTGAGGAGGGCAGATCACTTGAGCTCAGGAGTTAGAGACCAGCCTAGGCAACATGTCAAAACCCCATCTCTATAAACAACAACAAAAAATTAGCCAGGGTGTGGTGGTGCATACATGTAGTCCCAGCTACTTAGGAGGCTGAGGTGGGAGGATTGCTTGAGCCTGAAGGCAAAGGTTGCACTGAACTGAGATTGTGCCACTGCACTCCAGCCTGGATGACATAGCCAGACCCTGTCTCAAAAAACATAAAAATAAAAATAAAACCAAGAAAAAAAAAGAAAAAGAAAACATTGTTCAACCATACCTCTTCAAGAAAAACTTTCTCAATTTTTACAATATAGATTGAGAAATCTATCCCAAATCTCCAAGTTCTGATTGTGTTTTGCTTAAAAATTCCTTCTTTATTTCGGCTCTTTCCTCTCACATTTCACTTTAAGCAGTAAGGAGGACCTAAATCACACCTTCAATACTTTGCTTAGACATCTCTTCTGGTAAATATCCAGTTTTACTGCTTATAAGTTCTTTCCAGTAAACACTACAGCGTAATTCAGCCAAGTTCTTGACACATTGTAACAAGAACAGTGATTTCTACAGTTTCCAATAACCTGTCCCTCATTTTCATCTGAGACCTCACAAGAGTTGACTTTAATGTCCATATATATATATTTTTTGTGTGTGTGTGGCGGGGGGAGTGGAGTCCTGCTCTGTATCCCAGGCTGGAGTGCAGTGGTGTGATCTTGGGTCACTGCAACCTCCACCCCCCGGGTTTAAGCGATTCTTCAGCCTCAGCCTCCCGAGTAGCTGGGACCACAGAAGCACATCACCATGCCCAGCTAATTTTTGTATTTTTAGTAGAGACAGGGTTTCGCCATATTGGCCAGGCTGGTCTCAAACTCCCGACCTCGTGATCTGTGCCCTCAGCCTCCCAAAGTGCTGAGATTACAGGCGTGAGCCACCACGCCTGGCCTAAAGTCCATATTTTAACCAGCATATTTAATATTCTATCCATGATCGTTATAAATCTAAGTTTCTATGAAAATGGAAGCTTTCTGTCCAGCTCTCTTCCTTTCTGAGCCTTTGCCAGAATTGCCTTTAATGTCCATATTTCTTTCAATAGTCCCTTCACAATTGGCTTTTTCTAGTATGAACCTCAAACTCTTCCAGCCTTTACCCATCACCAATTTCCAAAGCCACTTCCCCATGTTTAGGTATTTGTTGTTGCAGCATCCCACGCCTGGGTACCAAAACTTAGTCAGCTTGGACTGCCATAACAAAATACTACAGACTGGTGGCTTAAACGATAGACATTTATTTTCTAACAATTCTGCAGGCTGGAAATCTAAGATCCAAGTTGCCAGCATAGTCAGTTTCTGGTGAGGATCTCTTCCTGGCTTAAATTATTTCACAGACACCAGGCAGATAACCATATCCATTCTTTCCTGTATTCGTTAATAGTCAGAGCTAAAAGTGTAGGGCTCTAAATTTACACTTCAACAAATTGTTCTGTTATTAAGTATTCACCTCAAAATGACCAGACTATACTATCCTCTAAATTTTAGAAACTTGGAGCTTGGCTCTGGTCCCTAGTCTTTGTTCTGTCTCATTAATGGCTTCATCAATACTACGGTTCCAAAGACTATCTATATGCAGTAAACTTCCAATTTTACATCTCCAGCCTGACCTTTTTTCTGAAATGCAAATGTGTGTAGCCACATTTTCACTTGACATCTCCATTTAGAACTCTAATAGGTCTTTCACCCTAAACACTTCCAAGACACAGGAATAAACGTGCTCCTTAAGCCTGTTATCCCTTCCAGTTCTCCCCAGTTCAATAACTGACACTACCATTTACTCAAATCAACATTCTAAGAGTGTCACTTGCTACATTTCCTTCATCTCTACAAATCCAAAGTATCTGTGAGTCACGTCACCTACATATTCAATACATGCAATAATTCATTCTCCATACTCCTTACCATGACTTAAGGGCCCACTCAGTGACCATCTCTGGCCTCTGTTCACCTCTTCTGCTGTTCTCCTTTGCTGTTCCAGCCACGCTGGTCTCTTTTCACATCAAGCAGCTAAGCTCTGCCCATTTAAGACATTTAACTTCTTGGCCTCAATCTCTGAAATGCCTGTTTGATTTTTCTTCTGGTGAGCTCATTTTCACTCATCAGGTCCCAGCTCTGTTTCAGACAAGGCTATCTAAAATAGACCTACCTAAATGGATTAAAAATCTGAGAATATGAAATAACAAATATCAGATGACATTTTAGGAGACCCTTTATATACCTCATTTGTGTGTGTGTGTGTGTGTGTGTGTGTGTGTGTGTGTTTGGAAATGGTGATGGAGGGTGTCATTGCTAAGTGAGGAGGAAACACAAAAGCCATCTAGGAAAGGACACAGACTAGATAGGTCCAAAAGTGGTTTAAGACAGAATATATGTAAAGAGAGTTATAGAAAGAGCAATAAGTTGGGATAAAGGATTTCCAAAACATATACGGGGTTAGTAACCTCAATTTACAGGGACAAACTGCAAAACGTTAGTGAAAAGGCAAACAACATAATATAAAAGATGATTAAACGGTATTTTATATCATGTATTAAATTCATATGGCCAATACATATGAAAAACAAGAAACAAAAAACCTTCCTAGTAATTCAAAATTATGCATATTAATACAACAAAGGGATACCACTTCTTTTTTTTTTTTTTTTTTGAGACAGAGTCTTGCTCAGGTACCCAGGCTGGAGTGTAGTGGCATGATCTCAACTCACTGCAACTTCCACCCCCTGGGTTCAAGCGATTCTCCTGCCTCAGCCTCCCGAGTAGCTGGGACTACAGGCGCCTGCTACCACGCTCAGCTAACTTTTGTATTTTTATTAGAGATGGGGTTTTACCATGTTGGTTGGCCAGGATGGTCTCGGTCTCTTGACCTCGTGATCTGACGGCCTCAGCCTCCCAAAGTGCTGTGATTACAGGCGTGAACCACTGCACCTGGCCTAATTTTTGTATTATTAGTAGAGATGGGGTTTCACCATATTGGCCAGGCTGGTGTCGAACTCCTCCTGACCTCAGATGATCCACCCACTTCAGGCTCCCAAAGTGCTGGGATTACAGGCATGAGCCACTGTGCCCAGCCTGGGATACCATTTCTTACCTATGAATAGACAACCACTAAAGCCAGTATACTCAGGACTGCAAAGGATGAGGAAGAATTGCCATTGTCATATAGTTTTTCATAACTTTTCCTGACAATGTCTATTAAATTGTATTAATAGACATTTGGAAAGGGAGAGTGTCAACAATCTAGAATAAAGGCCCCACTAGGTAAGGTTACATATGTAAGGACTCTTTCAAAACTGTCACAAGAATTCAGGTACGGTGGCTCATGCCTGTAATCCTAGCATTTTGGGAGGCTGAGGCGGGTGGATCACTTGAGGTCAGGGGTTTGAGACCCGCCTGGCCAACATGGTTAAAACCTATCTCTACTAAAAATACAACGATTAGCCATGCATGGTGGCACATGCCTGTAATCCCAGCTACTCGGTAGCCTGAGGCAGGAGAATAGCTTGAACCCAAGAGGCAGAGGTTACAGTGAGCCGAGATCGCACCACTCCAGCCTGGGCAACAGAGTGAGACTCCATCTCAAAACAAAACAAAAAAACTACTCAAAACTGTAATAAGAAAAAAAAAAACCTAATTATACATGTAAAACATTTAAATAACTAAAATAAGAATACTGTTGACATAGTGAGACATCCATTTATACTATGGAATGTTATGCAGCTACCTGAAACAATAATCCGGTGAAACAAAATCACACACACAACTGATGAGAGTAAATAGAGAACCGTATGGAAGAAAACATACCACAGTAATTATCTCAGATAGCTGAAACTAAGTTGGTGCAAAAGTAATTGTGGTTCTTACCATTACTTTCACTGGCAAAAGCTGCAATTACTTTTGTACCAACCTAATAGAATGGGGTGAGGAGAGGTAAACCTTTATAAACATCTCTGTGTGAACTGTTAAAATGAGCAAGTATATTTTTTTTAAAGTATAAAGAGAGAAAAAAGTAAACTTTCTCCATTTCCCACCTCAAATTATGTTCTGTCACTCATCCTGTTTAGATTCTTTCAAATGCAGTTTGAAGTTTTATTTATGAGATTCCTTGTTGTTTGCCTCTTTCCATTAAACCTAGCTCCACAAAGTAGGGACCTGATGTATTCATTCACTGTTATATCCCAGCATCTAGCAGAGGGCCTGACACTTAGTGGGAACGCAAGTATCTGGTATATAAACCAGAGAATAGATATTTTTTTAGCCCAGAAAGCTGTTTCACTGCACAGAGTGTAATTATCTGAATTTCTATAAAAATGTCTATCTATAAATCATTGTCAATACATTACCTACTCACCTTACCCAGCTACCAGGAACACTATGAAGTTTTGAATTACACCCCATTTGTTTTCCACACTCTTACCATTTTCCCAGTTTCTGCACTGACCTCTCCAGACATCATGTGTACTGATAATTCTAAGTTGTCTAGATTGTTAATTCTTTTAAGGGCCTGTTCTCTGCTAGCTGGCATCATGCATAAAATAATTCTCTTTAATATGCTCTGGGTCTAGGGTTAATAGATGTTTGCTTAAAATCATGGAAAGAAAATGGTCACACAGCTGGTATGTGTGATCAAATTTGTGCTGTTTCATCCACTTAATGTTTACTTTGTGGTAATGGAACCTCCCAGCTTTTATTTTCCTTCCTTCCTTCCTTCCTTCCTTCCTTCCTTCCTTCCTTCCTTCCTCCCTCCCTCCCTCCCTCCCTCCCTTCCTTTCTTTCTTCACAGAGTCTAGCTCTGTTGCCCAGGCTGGAATGCAGTGGTGCGATCTCAGCTCACTGCAACCTCTGCCTCCCGGGTTCAAGCGATTCTCCTGCCTCAGCCTCCCAAGTATCTAGGATTACAGGTGCATGCTGCCACACCTGGCTAGTTTTTGTATTTTTAGTAAAGATGGAGTTTCAGATGTTGGCCAGGCTGGTCTCCAACACCAGGCCTCAAGTGATCCGCCTGCCTTGGCCTCCCAAATTGCTGGGATTAACAGGCCTCAGCCACTGTGCCCGACCCCAGCTTTTATATTCTAATGCTGAGATTATTCAGTTAACACTCTTACCTGCTAGGATAAGTTTGTTGGAGAATTTTACCTTACCTTGTACCCTTTACCTTCACATCTACCTGTACCCTGGCCCTTCACATCCTTTCCATATAATATATCTTCAGTAAATACAGGGAAAAAAACCCAGAATGATTATGTTGACAGCAAAACATGTTTGTGCAGAAACGGAGTAGTCACTATCTAAGCCACAGAGACTTAGGAGTGTATTCCTGAGTTATGTATCATTTTAACCATCACTGGATCTTAAATCCCAGTTGCTAAATTGAAGGGAGATACATGACTCTTTTTAGGGCTTTGCTCTCTGATACAGTAGCCATTAGCCACATGTGATATTTTAAATTTAAATAATTAAGTCAAAAATTCAGTTTCCTCAGTCTCACCACATTTCAGGTTGCTGGTGTCTACTGTATTGGATACACAGACATAGAACATGTCTATCATCACAGAAAATTCTATTGCATTGCACTGGGATAGGTACTTTTTGTGCCCTTGGGCTGATAAGTTCAAGTGCACTTAACTAGCTTCCTCCAAGTGGAATCAGAGGATAAATTTACCATACAAAATACAGGATACCCAATTATATTTGAATTTCAAACAGGCAACAAATAATTGCTTAAGTATGCCCCTCACTGCACACCCAAATATTACATGAGACATTCTATACATATATATATATATATATATATATATATATATATATATATATATATATATATATTTGAAATTCAGATTTAACTGGACATTTGGTATTTTTAATGTGCCAAATCTAGCAACCCTATCTGAAGAGCAAAACTGGAGTGTCTAGTCTGGATAGGTCCTTTTACACCACAGGGAGTTATTTGAGGAATTGAGAAGGGCTGTGGTACCTGTAAAGAACTAACTCATTATGAAGAAAAGGATCTGTAAGTTTTTCTGTATGTGTAAGGAAGGCCAAGAAGGTGGTTTCCAGATATATTTACTTTTTCTTCTCTCTCTCTTAGGTTGCAAAAGCTTCTCATTTCAGAGAGATGCCAGGATCCTAAGTGCCTGCCAAACTTACCAATTCTAAGGAATAAGTGGATGGATGGCATTACTGATTCCTACATTACTGATTGATTCTGCATCCGCAAATTGTTTTATTAAAAACATTCTACATCATGTGTGGGGAGATAAGGAGGATAAAATGAAGAGAAAGAATATTATTGAGGGGAAGTTCTTCTGAATACAAAATGTGTTTAATTTTTTAAATAAGTATTACATTCACAGGGTTCAAACTATTTGAAGTAAAGAGATTATATATAAAGAATCCATCCCTCAACTTACCCAGGTGGTCACTTTTCTTTTTCTTGTGTATCTGCCCAGTATTCATTCCTGCTGATATCAGTCAATAATGAATGATACGTGTTTTCTTCACTTTTTTCATTCTTGTCAGGTAGCAGACTGTGTAGACTTTTCTGCACTTGCCCTTTTCATAACAATCTATCTTGGAGAACTTTCCCTATGAGAACATACAGAGCTTCCTGTACACAGTTGCATGTACTGCATTATGCAAATGCATTATATTTTATGTAACCTGTCCACTGTTGGTAGGCACTTGAGTTGTTTTAGTCTTTTGCTATCAAACAGTTCTGGGATGATTAACCCTGATTTACTGCAAAATTGAAATTGCTCTGCTATTCTGCTGGAATGGTGGTAAGTGAACTGAAAATTCCAGTCACTCTTGGGCTAGACTCAACGTTCTTAAAAACTATGTGGCCATCACCAAATTAGTTATTTTGAACCTTAATTTCTTCACCTCTAAAATGGAGGTAATACTTACCTTAAGTGGCTATGAGAATGAAGATCATGTGTATGAATTGTTGGTGCTCTAAAGAACAGCACAAATAAAATTATTTTCAAATTTAATTTTAATTGAACTATGTGTAATTTCTTAATTTTGAAATAATTTTATTTGTAATGTGCATAATCTTATTTAATGTATAATGTATACATTGTAATAGAAACAGATTTCCCAAATTCCAGCCTGGCATGAGGTAATAAAAGGTAATGCAAAGGGAGAGGAAAGCATGTGTCATTAATTTTCTGCCTAGGACACCTCCCTGGTTAAATTGCCATTTCCTTTCTTCCTTGCATAATGATTAGGAAACACATCCTCCTGACCTGCCTGCCCTCTTTTGCCTACTTTTTCATCTGCAGTCAAGGTCTGGTTTTAAGACTGACTGTTACTTTTACAAATCTGTGTGTATTGGTGGCTAAGGGCCTGTATGGTCCACTGCTGTATTCCCAGGTCCCAGCATGGTGCCTGACGCTGCCTGGCAAATAGTAGTCACCCGAGAAATGGCTGATGAATTCATGAGGCCTACTCTGTATGGAAATTTCAATTCTGGCCCCGAATTTTCAGGAGCTGGCAAGAGAGCCACCTTAATATCATAGGCTGAGTTGGAAGAAGGGAACACCCAATTTATTCTTAAGAAGTACTTTGCCCAGGTACTGTGGCTTAGGCCAGTAATCCTAGCATTTGGGGAAGCCAAGTTGGGCAGATGGCTTGAACCCAGGATTTCGAGATCAGCCTGGACAACATGGAGAAACCCCATCTCTACAAAATATGTAAAATTTAACTGCTTGGTGGGCCTGCACTTCTGGTCCCAGCTACTCCAGGGCTAGGGTGGGAGGATTGTTTGATCCCTGGAGGTCAAGGCTGCAGTGAGCCATGATCACAGCAATGCGCTCCAGCTCTGGGCAACAGAGCGAGACCCTGTCTCAAAAAAAACAAAAATGCCTATACAATAAATCTATAAAAAGTGGGTTTTGTGTGTCTATACACACACACACACACACACACCTGCATAGACACTCAGGTGTTCTGGAAAGACACAGGAATCTGAAGCCAAAATACTTGTGATTTTTTTTCAGCTCTGCCACTCACCAAATGTCTGATGGGATTAGTTACCTGCCATCTCAGAATTTCTCTTCTGTAAAATAAGGTAATAGTACCTCCCAGAGTTATGAAAAACTATCAAATGAGATGGCAGATGAGAAAACACTATATTCCTTGTAAAACCTGACAAATATGTGCAAGATTATATAAAGACTGTCTTCTGTCCATTTTCAAATGTGGAAAAGTGAAAGCAGGACAGGATGTTGGGATTTCTGTCAGAGATTTGCTGGCTTCCACCTGCAGAAATTGAAGTAATTGGGGTTCTTACACCTAAGTACTAACTGAGTCTGGTTGCAGTTTGCCCCCATGGCTACATGAAGCTTTTAGAAGAGTCAGCATGGTAGACATGGAATGTTGAATGGTGGTGGAGTGTACCCACACACCTCCCACCAAGTCAGCTCCAGGTTCAGAAGCAGCAGCCCCAGTGGAAGGCATGCGTGTTTGTAACTCAGCTGAGCCACCTTTCAAGAAGCAGAGGCTTTCCAAACAGGGATGCCCCCTGCTTTTGGTTCAACTTGACTTCCTACCTTCAGTGAGGACATGGAGAATTCATCTAGACTGGGTACCTGAGCAAACTTGGCAGAGCAAAGAGAAATGTGGAAGGCCCTAGGTAGACAGGCCCTGTGGAAGGAAAGAATGAAAGAGGACAGAAAGAAACTCCCATTTTCTTTAGCACAGTCCCTTCAGATTAAGGATGAAGAGGCTGGGGTTCTGAATTGGTTGGCCTTAGGTAATGGTCACAAAAACAAGTCAATGGCTTTTCCACATCCGTACATTGAGATATATTTCTGCCCTTGGTATTCATTTTCTCTGACCTCCAATTAAAGATCTATGCGTCATTTTAAAGCCTTCCTTCCTTTCTACTCTGTGGTCAGCGTAACATTGGTGGTTTGAAACTGGCCATAATAGCAGCATTTACATCATGGGAACTAGCATATGTTACATCAGGGTTTTTTTGTTTTGTTTCTGGAGAGCCAGTAAACATACATCGTCACACCACTTAAATATTCTCTGCTTAAATATTCTCTGCTCCTTCCTGGTAAAGATAGCCTCATCTCTCTCTCCCCACTCCCCAACTCCATCCAGCACGTGCACATTGGATCACTCTATTGTGCTGTTTTCCTACCCAGAAGGGCCCTGTCTCAAATGACCCCTACGCTTCTGGTCTGATTTAAGTTCCATACTCTTTCCTATGAGGTGTACCCACTGCATATATTTCTATGTTGTTTCTCACCTTCCCTGTTTTCATGTCTGCTCTCCAAATTTTATGAGGAAGCCTAGAACACTCTTTTTGGAGATACTCATTCGCTTAAATATCACTTCAGTGAGGCCCTCCATTGACCATTTTCCCACTCCCAGAGGGGCAGGGAGGCCTTCTGAGAAAGTGAACATGGTCTGGTGGATAGTGATGCTGGGAACGTGAACTGTCAGCAACAGCATAGCTAGGAATGCAGTGAGCAAAGGCACTGTGAAGACACAAGCAGAGCTCTTCAACCAATGACCCCAGGGACTTTCTCTGGGTTGCCTGGCAATGAACTGGGAACAATGGCTGCTTCTTTCCCTGTGGGAGGATCAGCCAATGTTCCCAGGTGCTGGAAGGCTGGCTTTCTCAGCTGACACCCACACAGAAAATGTTTATTCTCTTTATCAAGTCTGCTCTCATGCTTTCTCTATGAAAAGGAACAGCCCGGGCTGTGTGTGGGTCCCTTTCTGGAGCACAGCCTCTCTGTGCATCAGGCTACCCCCTTCCTGGGCTCAGGGCTCTGTAGGCTGCAGGAGAACAGGCACTGTGTATCTGCAACCCTCTGCCCACTAGTTCCAGCTGGCACAAGCAACACTGTGCCTGCTGACAAGACAGGCAGAAGCCACGAGAGGAATTAAATTACCTCCGAAGGTGGTAGACAGTGAAAATGAGTGGATATAGGCTTTCATTAAAGGGCTAGGATTTAACTTCTTAATCATTATTCCAGTCACCTTGTATCTCATCTTCTCAAATGCTCTTAATGAAAGTCACAAACCAATAGCTCTCTCTGTAATTTTCCATTTATGCCCCCCTTTCTGTTGTCCATTATTTGTCCACTATCTCTCTTTCCTCTCCATTTAACATTAGCTATTTTTAAAGCAGCACTTCAGAAAAGTTTCTTTTCTGTTTTGCACTGGGTAGTGTTGAAATATGTGGAGGCCCTACTGCCACATGCCACAGATGCCCCAGTGGCAGTCAGTCATGTAGGACCTAAGAGTTGAGCTCCTGGTTTCTGGTGGGCCCACATTTGTGTCATGGTGCAGCATATGTGGACTGGTCGTCTGGCTCTGTGATCAGGAATCTAACTTTTAGCTTGGATCTAACCTTTAGTTCAGAAGCTGAGCCTCAGGTTGAGATCGATATTCCTTGTTGCCCAAATGTACTGTAGTTTGCTATGCTATCCAAACTACATGTAATTGATCCATTTCTAAGCTCATTCACGTGATTCAGTGAATACAATTCTTTCCAGGGCTGTTAGGCCAAAGGCCTCAAATCCCTATGTGGGCCTCTCCACAGGAGAGTGCACCACATGGCAGCTGACTTTCTTCCAAAACAATGAGCAAGTGAGAGGGCCCAAGAAAGAAGCCATAACCATGTGTAACCTAATGTCAAAAGTGACACAGCATCATTTTTGACATATTCTATTTGTGAGAAGCAAGTCCCTAGGTGCAGCCCACAGGAAAGGAGATAATACCAGAGGATGAATCCTCAGAGGCAGGGATCATCCTGGAGAATACCTGCCACACTGGGTAAATCGCAACCTGTGTAAAACAAGGCAAAACTGTCTTCTTGATCTGACATCCTTATAAATGGAAGTGCACCTCTGTGTTTTCTAGGGCACTTTGCTAAGTGCAAGTACAGGGTCACATGCAGGTACAGGGTCACAATCTAAAACTGCAGAAATATTTGTGGTGTTTGAGTTTCTGTTTGTTTCTATCACTTGCCCATTAACTCTCTGATGCTGCTGTATCTCACTGGAAACTACATCTGCCAGGTTTCCTTGCTCTCTAGTTTCCAGTAGATTTGTCCAATGGGTGTCACTGATGGACGATCATGATGGGGCCAGAGTATTTCTCTTCTATTTTGTTTCCTGGGGCTTCTCCAGCCTCCTTGGTACTTTGACTTTAGTCCTACCACAGAGCCTTTCTCCTGGTGGTCTCAATTCTTGCCTTACCAGCCTGCGCTCTCCCTGCTTGACTCCAGCATCACCTCTTCCCTTTGTTCCTAGAGGACAGAGGTGGCAACTTTCTGCTGCAGCTTATCTGTGGGTTGCCCTCACCCCCTCTCTTGGGTTTCTCAACTCTTTCATCACCTGTTTATCTAATTACCTCTATTTAATTCCTTCTATATGAAATCCCTAGAGTGGACTGTACTTGTACACTGACAAACAGTAGGATTGAATGAACATTGGCCTTTCCTGAGCAACTCATGTACAGAGAGCACGGTTTGGAGTGTTTGCTAGTCCTAAATGTCAGACTTGGTCCTCATGCTGCTGGAAATTTAGAGGATGGTCACTTCTTCAGGATGTACCTTCACCACTCTGGGCTTAAGTTTCTTGTTTTGTAAAGTGGGAGGATTTGTGATATCTGTGGTCCCTTAAATCTCTGAATATTAGGGACTCTAGAATTTTTCCATAAGGAAGGTTTAGGAACTGCATGCTGATTGAGAAGTGGTGGAAGCATTTTATATGAGACTAGCGTGGGACGGTGAGGAGAATAGTAAAAAATAAGAAGGAAAGGAACAGAAAACCCAAAACCCTAAATTGTCCATATTCCAGAAGGTAAGTGCCACTGGTGGACACTATGAAGAAAGCTAACATGAATCATGCCATGACTTCATAAAATAAGTACATTATCTCACAAATCGCTTCCTGTTTTATATTCCACTCCCTGCTTTCTACCTCACCCCCAAATCAAGGAAGGGTGCTTAGGAATAAAGTTCTAGCCTGGGCAACATGGCAAAACTCTGCCTCTACAAAAAATACAAAACTTAACAGGGCATGGTGGCATTCACTTGTGATCCCAGTTTCTCTGGAGGCTAAAGTGAGAGGATTACTTGAGCCCAAGGGGCGGAGGCTGAAATGAGCCGAGATCATTCCACTACGATCCAGCCTGGGCAATGGGAGTGAGACTCTGTCTCGGGGGGAAAAATAGAATAAAGTTAACAAACAGGAAAATAACATCTTGTTGGACTTGGGATAACAATAATTTACAAAGAATGGTAGAATTCGTTACTAGAAAAGTCTCATGAAGAGAGGCAGCTATCTTAGCTGTAAGACCATGGGCAATTGACATCTTTGGGCATGATTTTGTTTTCTGAAAAATGGTTTTAAGAGTATAAGGGTTATTATAAGGACTGAGTATTTGTCAAGTGCTTAGAACAGTATCTAGCACATAGTATCTACTCTATAGTAAATTTCATGAATATATTGCAATAGTCTAAATTGTCATCCACTACACTTATATTGTAACTGACATAATTTTTTTTTTTGAACATGGAGTCTTGGTCTGTCACCCAGGCTGGAGTACAGTGGCACAATCTTTGTTCACTGTAACCTCTTCCTCCTAGGTTCAAGCAATTCTTCTGCCTCAGCCTCCCTAGTAGCTGGAATTATAGGCGTGCACCACCACACCCAGCTAATTGTTTTTGTATTTTTAGTAGAGACCGGGTTTCATCATGTTGGCCAGGCTGGTCTCAAACTCCTTACCTTAGATGATCTGCCCACCTCGGTCTCCCAAAGTTCTGGGATTACAGGCATAAGCCACCGTGCCTGGCCATAACTGACAAAAATTAAACAGGTATATTATACTGAAAACATGTTCCTCCATTAGTAGTTCTAAGCAAACGTGCCTCCAAAGGCCAAGGAAACTGAGAGGCATAAGAAGGATGATGAAAAATCAAGAAAGAAAATTTTAATAGGGACTTATAAACAGAAGCCATGTCTTCCATGGCATGTAGACAACTTGGTGAATTTGCCTACCTGCCATTACCCCACCCCAAACCCCAGGGCTTATAGATCACAGGGAATTTGCCTAAGGGCAGGATTTATAGTAAGTATGTGTTTACAATAATATCAAGATTGTTTTGACTTAAGGGCAGGATTTATGGTAAGTACAGGGAAGTAGAAATCTTAGAGGCATTCCCAGAACTGGGATTATTTAGAAGTCAATACAGCAGATTAGCATCTAAGATTGAGTTACTTTAGTCTCCACACTAGAAATTCAGAGACTTCATGTAACAGCAACTATGATTAAAAAAAAAAAAAAAAAAAAGGCTGGTGATCACCTAGAAAATAGAATGATGAATTGTTCACTGTATCTTTTCCACAGAGCAGAACGCAGTACACAAGTGTCCCTGGGATAGAGGAGCCGATTGGTCAGGAGACCACTGCTTGATGAAAATGTCTTTTATTACAACTCTATGCACAGAAATTATCTTCTAATTTGTATCTTTGCCTCCAGACCAGAATGTAATGCAATAAACACATCTCTAATACATATATTTTTTTTTTTGAGACGGAGTCTTGCTCTGTCGCCCAGGCTGGAGTGCAGTGGCGCGATCTCAGCTCACCGGAAACTCTGCCTCCTGGGTTCACGCCATTCTCCTGCCTCAGCCTCCTGAGTAGCTGGGACTACAGGCTCCCGCCACCACGCCCGGCTAATTTTTTGTATTTTTAGTAGAGACGGTGTTTCACCTGGTTAGCCAGGATGGTCTCGATCTCCTGACCTCGTGATCCGCCCGCCTCAGCCTCCCAAAGTGCTAGGATTATAGGCGTCAGCCACCGCGCCCGGCTCTGATACAAATTTTTTAAAATTTTTATTTTTATTTATTTATTTATTTATTTATTTATTTATTTATTTATTTATTTATTATTTTTGAGACGGAGTCTCGCTCTGTCGCCCGGGCTGCAGTGCAGTGGCGCGATCTCGGCTCACTACAAGCTCCGCCTCCCAGGTTCACGCCATTCTCCTGCCTCAGCCTCCTGAGTAGCTGGGACTACAGGCGCCCACCACCGCGCCCAGCTAATTTTTTGTATTTTTAGTAGAGACGGGGTTTCACCGTGTTAGCCAGGATGGTCTCGATCTCCTGACCTTGTGATCCGCCCGCCTCGGCCTCCCAAAGTGCTGGGATTACAGGCGTGAGCCACCGCGCCCGGCCTTCTGATACAAATTTTTAATATGAAGTGTATCTTTCATTATAAATTGATAAAGTAATGGTATGGCTTATAAACCTATCTCATGTGAATTTAGGTTTGAATAATCATAGTAATAGATATTCTTACTATGTGCAAGACATTGTTATAAGCACTTCAAAAATATTGTCTACTCCTACCAACAATCCTACTAAAGTAGGTAATAGTTGTAACCGTTAAGTTTTTGCCAAGCTATATAAAAACTCCCCACATCTTGGTGGATAATAACAAGAAGGGTTATTTCAGGCCCAAATTCTATTTCTGTATGGATCAGCAATGGCTCTGCTCCATATTTTCTTCATAGACAGACCCAGGCTGAGAGAAACTGACATAAAGGGATCTCAATGCTCTTAAAGATTCTGCAGGAAAGTAGACACATGGTACTTCTACTCATATTTTATTGACCAAAGCAACTCACTTACAAAGACTTATGTGTAGTAGGAAAGAGTGTTCCTTACATGGAGAGGAATATAGTAAACCCATATCAATGGGCAAGGATATATAATACTCCCAAAAAGGGCAGTAAAATCATGGGAGCAATAGTACAATTTACTACATATTCTTATCTAAATTTTAGGCATGAGAAAATTGAGAAATAGAGTTTAGGAAGTTTCTTAAAGTCACCTAGTAAACAATACAGGATTGAGATTGAAATGGAGTGGTCTGTCTCCATAACTCTGATACCCAGACTCCAAGATGGCTCAGTAAATTCTCACCTTCTAGTATTCACAGACTTGTATATCTTGTGTATCTCACTCCCAAATTGGATAGCTCTGACCTATGAAACTAATAAATATTGTGACTCCCAAGAGGTTAAGTCATAAATGATATCATGACTTCTGTTTTGCTGTCTCTTGAATCACTCTGGAGGAAGCCAGCTGCCATATATTGAACCCTTGTGTAGCCCTACAAAAGATGTCATGTGCCAAGGAACGGAAGTCTTCTGCTAATAGCCAACATCAGCTTTCTAGCCAGGTAAGCCATCTGGGAATTTTCCAGTCCCATTCTTCAGCTTAAGTCTGCAGATGACTAAAGTCCCAGCAAATAGCTTGCCTCCAATCTCATGACAGATCCCGTGTTGAAACTACAGTTCACTCACCCTCAAATTCCTGAATCATGGAAACCATGTGACATAATGAATTTTTCCTATTATTTTAAGCCACTAAATTTTGGGACAACTTGTTATGTAGCAATAGAGTCTATACCAGAGTCAATCTGTTTAAACACTATGCCAAGCTGCCACTCCATATAAATTAGTGATCATGTGTAAACAGATAATCCTTACATTTACAAACCAGCAAATTCATTTAATATAAGGGGGATGGAAAGGAAAAAGTAAAGAGATATTGAGGAAACAATAACAGGAAGTATCATAGATAAAGAGAGAAACTGAAAAACTGAAGATACACAAGAAGGCCAAATGCAATGTGTTCATTAAACCACCTCTTCCAAAGACAGAGGCCAGAACTTTGAATAAATAGATGCTGAAGAGATTCTTTGAAAAAATGATTATAGGTTCAATGTTAAAGTGAATGGAAAGGTTGCCAATATCTCCAAAACCAATGTTTTTCACCCTGCCGCCTATAACATAGTATTTCTTCAGTATTCTGATTGCTATTCATGAAGACAATTTAGTTGGTTGTGATCAGCTTTACTGAAATTAGAGAGGGGAAGGGAGAAGAGGGGAAAGGTGAGGAAGGGAGGAGAGGAATGCCCAAACATGGTCTCCACGTGCATCTTGGCTTTCACAGACCACAGTGGCCTCAGAATCATCAAATTTCTTATGAGATAGTTTAGAGACACAAGCCTGAAGAGTCAACAAAATTAAATAGGCCAGGTTATACAACCATGAGAATGTCCATGAGGAGTAGACTAGATAAGTAAATACATGGAGCCAAATTTATAATATAGAACAGCAATGCAAATCAACAAAATTGAGCTTTCTGCATCAATATAATAAAGAGGAATGGATCCTAGTGAAGGAAAAAAAGAGCAAGGCACACAATAATACACTATGATTTCACATATATGAATTTCAGAAACAGGACAAACTGAATCATACTGTTCATGGATACATATGTACATATACCTATAAAGAAAAAAAACTAGAAAATGATTTTAATAAAAGTTCAGATAATGGAGAGAAGGAGAGTACAAAGGGAATAGTATCTGGATGTCCAGGACACTAAGCAGACATTTTTTAAAAAATAAACTTTATCATATTTTTAAGAAAAACACATTGTTTGTTTTTGTTTTTTGTTTCTTTCTTTGAGACAGAGTCTCACATTGCCACCCAGGCTGGAGTGCAGTGGCAGGATCTTGGCTCACTGCAGCCTCCACCTCCCAGGTTCAAGAGATTCTCCCACCTCAGTCTCCTGAGTAGCTGTAATCCCCACCACCATGCCCAGCTAATTTTTTTGTATTATTAGTAGAGACAGAGTTTCACCATGTTGGCCAGGCTGATCTTGAACTCCTGACCTCAAGTGATCCGCCCACCTCAGCCTCCCAAAGTGCTGGGATTACAGGCGTGAGCCACCGTGCGCAGCTCTAGAAAGATGTTGTTTGTTAAAAAAGAAATCCATGCTGACAGTAGAAATTTTGAAAACACATAAAGGTTTAGATACAATAATAAAAATAATTTGTATTTCCACCACTATGGAGACTCTCTATATCACAGTTTGGTGTTTTGCATTGTTTCTTTTTACCACCTATGAAAAGTATTCTTTTTTTTTTTTTTTTTTTTTTGAGACGGAGTCTTGCTCTGTCACCCAGGCTGCAGTGCAGTGGCGTGATCTCCGCTCACTGCAAGCTCCGACTCCTGGGTTCACGCCATTCTCCTGCCTCAGCCTCCCGAGTAGCTGGGACTACAGGTGCCCGCCACCACGCCCGGCTAATTTTTTGTATTTTTAGTAGAGACGGGGTTTCACCGTGTTAGCCAGGATGGTCTTGATCTCCTGTCCTCGTGATCCGCCCGCCTCGGCCTCCCAAAGTGCTGGGATTACAGGCGTGAGCCACCACGCCCGTCGGAAAGTATTCTAACATGGCAAAATCCTAAGAGAATTATTTTTGCAAAAAATTGTGAAAAAAAGTTGCAAATAGAGTATACAATGTTTCTTATTTTCAGCAACTGTTTTCCTGTAATGTTAATGTTTTACATAACCATATACAATGATCAGAAATAGGAAGTAGACATTGGTAAAATATTAACTAAACTTCTGACCCATTCAAATATCACACATCTTCCCCCTAATGTTCTTTTTCTGTGTCAGAATCCTATTCTGGATCCCCCACTGAATTTAGTCACTGCTTGTTTCTTAGACTCTTTAAGTCTGTATTAGTTCTGCTGTCTGTTCTTATATTTATGATGTTCACACTTCTGAAGAGTGCTGATGAGTTATTTTGAAGAATATCCCTTGATGATTGTCCTTTTTTTTCCACTGGAGTGAGTTTCTGGGTTTTTGACAGGAAATACTACCAAAATGATAAAATGTCCTTCTCAATGCAATGAGTTTATGAAACACATATGCCTTGTTGCTTTGTGATGTTTACTTTACTTAGTTAAGGTGGTGATTGCTAGGATTCTTCAATGTAAACTTACTATCTTTTCCTTTGTAGTTGATAAGGTAACTTGGAGAAACAAATCATGCGTCTTAAAATTTGCCCACTAATTTTAGCATCCATTGATGGATTTTATGTGAAACAAGATCACTATATTCTTTGCCGGCCGGGCGCGGTGGCTCAAGCCTGTAATCCCAGCACTTTGGGAGGCCGAGGCGGGCGGATCACGAGGTCAGGATATCGAGACCATCCTGGCTAACACGGTGAAACCCCGTCTCTACTAAAAATACAAAAAATTAGCCGGGCATGGTGGTGGGCACCTGTAGTCCCAGCTACTCGGGAGGCTGAGGCAGGACAATGGCGTGAAACCGGGAGGCGGAGCTTGCAGTGAGCCAAGATCACATCACTGCACTCCAGCCTGGGCGACAGAGCGAGACTGCGTCTCAAAAAACAAAGAAACAAATATTGTTTGCCTAATGATCATTTTCTGTTTCCCTCCTGCCTACTACATTTACTAATTGGAATTATATTGTAAGGAAGAATTATCCCTTCTTTTTATTTATAAACATAAGTTAAAATCCAATATTTTTAATTTTTTTTTTAAGACAAGGTCTTGCTCTGTTGCCCAGGCTGGAGTGAGCGGTGCAATCACAGCTTACTGAAGCCTCGAAATCCTGGGTTCAAGGGATCCTTCTACCTCAGCCTTCCACGTAGCTAGTACTACAAGTGCAAACTACCACACCTGGCTAATTTTTTTTTTTTTTTTTACAAGGTTCATTTTAGCTAAATATTCTTTTTCCACCAGTGAGAACACTGACTGTCATTATATACAAATAGATAATTTTACTTATTTGCTTAATAGTAATGTGCACATAAAGTAGTTTCAGAATTGATAAACTATATTAATAACAAACACTTTTGCTAAATTATAGTATATACTATACTAATCCATATATATTAGATTACAGTGTGTATGTATATGTATATATGATTGATTTTTTTGTCTTTAGCCTTAAAGTATCCAAGTAAATTTTTTTTTTTTTTTTTTTTTTGAGATGGAGTCTTGCTCTATCACTCAGGCTGGAGTGCAGTGACGTGATCTCGGCTCACTGCAACCTCTGCCTCACGGGTTCAAGTGATTCTCTTGCCTCAGCCTCCCAAGTAGCTGGGATTACAGGTGCATGCCAAAACAGCTGGCTGATTTTTTTATTTTTAGTAGAGACTGAGTTTCACCATGTTGGCCAGGCTGGTCTTGAACTCCTGAACTCAGGTGATCTGCCTGCCTTGGCCTTCCAAAGTGTTGGGATTACAGGTGTAAGCCACCGTGCCTGCCCAGGGAGTATGCAATTAGTATTGTATTCCAATGTTACTTAGGTTAACTTTTATCTTCTTCCCTCCCTTAAATGTTACTATGTTATTAAGTTAATACAGCTTGGTTTATTTGTTTCATTCCTTGTATTCCATTTTGTATCCCCCATTTCTATCAGTTTTAATCGTTTGTTTAATAGTTTATTTTGCTGGCATATGAAACATTACTATAGTTGTAAGGGTCACTTATATGAAAAGGTATAGTCAAAAAAGTGTCATTCCCTTCTTATCCTTACTGTTTTTTCCCATTCCCCCTTCTTTCCACCTGTTTCTTTCTCATCCACCTCCCATAGGTAGTCAATGATTTTTAGTTTTTGGTTTAGTTTTCTATATTTCTTTTGCACAAATGAATAGAAAATTGTCTGTTTTCTTATACTCCCTTCTTTCTCAGCAAAGGTCATTATATTAAGTATATTCTTTTGGACTTTGCCTTATCACTTAAATGTATATCCTGGAATTGATACTAGTTCATAGAGATCTTAGTCATTTTTGTAGCTGCATATTACTGCACTGTGTAAATGCATCCTACTTTATCCAACCACTCTCTTATGTGGGGCATTAAAGTTTTTTGAAATATTTTATAATTCCAAACATTGCTGTGATGAATAACCATGGGTGTGCAAACCACAGTGTTAATTATTGACTTAAGTAAAAAGGAAACAATGTTGAAGATACTATATAGTCCATCTGTCTAGCATAAAGCACCTCTTTTCCAAACTCTATCTTTAATGAAACAATCATGGTAACATCATATTAAAATACAGAAATTCAGAATTAAGCTCTTTGACTGCAGAACTGTGAGGTAAAAGCAACCAAGCACAATCTTCTCTTTTATTTCAACTTTTCTGCAAATCACATTGTTCCCCTTAGTTCATAGTCATATTTGTAGCTGCATATTACTGCTATCATGTCCAAAATAAAAACAATTAGAGTGTCCCCCATTTTCCACCACTCAGGGTACCTTAGAGACTTTAAAAATGTCAATGATATCAAATTACTTTCTTAGCTCATTAAAGAATAACATACTTGATAATATTTTATGACTATAAAAGCTCAAGAAATTGCACAAGGAAGACATACTGTGGACATGTGAACAGGCACAGTAGAAATGTCTTTTACTAAGGGGCCTAACACACCAAGATTTGTGTATATAACTAAAACTACATGCAACGAAAACTGGTATTTTATATTCTATTCTATTTCACTAAAAAGAGAAATATTTTGTCCTTGACAACTAAACTGATTTCACAACTTTTCATGCTTGTTCAGACCTGTAGTTTGAGAAAACACTGTTTAATAAGCATACATGCTTTGAAGTAAAACCAACGTGTGCTGGAATCTGCAATGTACCTCTTACCAACAGTTTTCTCAAGAGAACTTGTTAACCTCTGCATGTCCATTTCCTACTTTGTAAAGTAGAAATACTATCCATAACAGAGGATTGTTACACTGACTAAGTAAGAATGCAGGTAACTCAGGCTGCAGCCCAGTTGTGGGGGAAAAAAAATTTCAGATAGCATGTAGTACAGTAGCCAACAAATGGGAAGGATGACTATCATTAAAAATGATAAAATGGATAAGGAATGTAGATGCTGTACTAGAGGATTCAAGTAGTCCATAAGCAGCCAAGGTTCAGTCTACCTTCTGTGGTTGGAAAATAATGACTCATTGGATGCTTAACTTTAGTTACTCTCCTTTCTCCTTCTTCAGCCCACTATAGTGGCCAGCCAGGTGTGAATCAAAGGAAGTCAAGATTGGACTAATGCTGTCCCCGTCTTTCCAATATATGGTCATATTCAGCATGGATATCTTTTCTAAGATCTCACAGACACGCCCAGAAATCCCTGGGAGAACTCACGTGACAGGAAGCACATTTGCCCTATTGGTCATCTCTAGTGAGTTCAGCAGAGTTGCCAAACTTGGCTCGGCATAAGAGTGGCATGAGAAAACTGATAAATATTCAGATTCTGAGGACCTACTGAAGAGTTATTATGTCAGAATAATCTTGAGCAAGGCCTCAGAATCTATGTTTAAAACACATGCATGACTGGGTGGTTCATACCTGTAATCCCAGCAGTTTGGGAGGCCGAGGCGGGTGGATCACCTGATATCAGGAGTTGGAGACCAGCCTGACCAACATGGTGAAACCCTGTCTCTACTAAAAATACAAAAATTAGCTGGGTGTGGTGGCGGGCACCTGTAATCCCAGCTACTTGGGCGGCTGAGACAGGAGAATCGCTTGAACCCGGGAAGTGGACTTTGCAGTGAGCAGAAATCGCTCCATTGATTGCACTCTAGCCTCGGTGACAAGAGCGAAACTCCATCTCAAAAAAATAATAACAAAATAAAAAATAGAACACATGCATGAACATGTGTGTGTGCACACACGCCTAGTTCTGAGATAGCCAGCCCGCTGACCAATAAGAAAGTAAGGCCTTTTGTTATTGTTCCTATTTCATCACCGACAAGTGTCAAATAGATGCTTGATTTCATAGTGGTCAATCCTCAATCTCTGTCACCAAGGCTCGAGAGCACGTTCACTGCAACCTCCGCCTTCCTGGTTCAAGGGCTTTTCCTGCCTCAGCCTCCCGAGTAGCTGGGATTACACCACCACACCTAACTATTATTATTATTATTATTATTATTATTATTATTATTTTATTTTAGCAGAGATGGGGTTTCACCTTGTTGGTCAGGCTGGCCTCGGACTCCTGATCTCAAGTCATCCATTCGCCTCAGCATCTCAAAGTGCTAGGATTACCGGCGTGAGCCACCTCTCCCAGCCCATGCATTTGGAGGCAGAGGCAGTGGTTGCAGTGAACCAAGATCGCGCCATTGCACTCCAGCCTGGGTGACACAGTGAGACTCTGTCTCAAAAAAAGAAAAGAAAAGTAAAGTAAAGAAAACACACCACACCTTAAGGAGGCAAGCAGTGGAAGTTGAAAGACCACAGAATTTGGAGAGTTTAACTCCTTCCTAGCCATGAGGAATACACTGGATAAAGTGAGGCATGTGAAAGCAAACTTCCATGTGTTGTGTAAGTTTCAGTCATTTACAGGAGTGGTTTTTGTTGTCATTAAATAGGTATAATATTACCATTCTGGAATCAAATGCCCATATAATCAGTTTCCCTAGTCTGTTTTGGAGATTTATCCATCTCCCTTTTTATTTCAATAAATACCAAAGGGCATATTTATTTTTGCACTGATGTGCAATAATTAGATTGAAAATACACATCAAGATATTAAAAACATTGATAATTTACATCACTTTTATAACAAATTCAACATTAAACAGTACTGTTTTGATACATTTCACTCGTGTTATATCAAAATTCTATATTCTCCTTATTTCAGTAGCAGAATTTGTGTCTGGAGATTTTGGGCAATGAAATTAAAATTTAAAATGATATCCAACGCCATATTACAATCAACCACGTCCACAGAACAGTATCATATCACCTTATAGCACTGGGCAAAATTTTATTTTGTTTCCATGATAAGTGGCTTGTAGTTCCACCCATACTGTTCCAGCCATATCGTTTTTCAGAAAAAATTCTTTTTTTTTTTTTTTTTGAGACGGAGTCTTGCTCTTTCGCCTAGGCCTGACTGCAGTGGCACTATCTAGGCTCACTGCAAGCTCCGCCTCCCGGGTTCACGCCATTCTCCTGCCTCAGTCTCCCGAGTAGCTGGGACTGCAGGCGCCCGCCACCGCACCCGGCTAATTTTTTGTACTTTTAGTAGATACAGGGTTTCACCGTGTTAGCCAGGATGGTCTTGATCTCCTGACCTCGTGATCCGCCCGTCTCGGCCTCCCAAAGTGCTGGGATTACAGGCGTGAGCCACCGCGCCCGGACCAGAAATAATTCTTTTGGTTGGGCTTTCATTGCCAGCTTACATACACTCTTCTTGATTGGGCAACTACCTAAAGAAATTCACTCAGACATTGTTCAAAGGATGTTTTCAGAGGGCAATGATTTATAATAGCTTAGATAGACTCTCAAAGCTCTACTTCTGAGATCGAAATTTGAACTTGTCGTTTAATCACTACATGTCACTTATTTTTCTTTCTATTGAGCTCTGGGAAGCATTGGAATACAATCTTCAGGGGGATTGAAACCATACGTGGTGAGTGGACTAGTCATTCCTCAACTATTCAGTAATAATAGGGGCTGGGTTTCACTAATAATGGGAGTAGATGTTTCAATCTACGTTTCTTATTTATTTTGCCTTATCATCAATGCTTGAATTTCAGCTCTAAGCTACTTTATTGCAATTTGGTTCTGAAGCATATGCCAAAAGCACTCAGCAAGGCTGCAGACAAATGCTTTAAAGTAAAGTGCACCTCCACTTCCAGTGACTTTATGAACATCACATTTGAAAATTAATCCTTTTTCATCTCTGTACCCTGAGTACATTTTGGACTTCCCTTCGTTCCCAAATACCCTGAATTCAAGGTATCTCAATCCATGGAGCAATTGTCCAGAGGAAGAGAGAAGCAACAGCCCCGCCCCCAACCCTTGGGAGCAGAAAGGGAAAGAATTATCCAAAGAATTGTTTAAAAACTCAGATGTAGCGGACAGATGTAAAACCATGGCTGTATAGATTGATGTCCCAGGGGTCCAAAACTTAATCTCAAATGGGCAATAATTTGTTTGGCATTAAACTAAACCAGTTTGATGAACTCAAATGCCCTCGGCTCAATAGGCAGGACTCTCCGAGGAGCCTGTGTTACTTCCCTCACTTAAGTGCAGATTTGTAATAAAAATCTTAATGCCAGTGGCATGCTTTTTGGATATATAAGAAGCTAACCACTTGGAGTATCATATTTGAGAGGTCAGAAAAGTCCACAGTTAAAGATCGGTTTATAATTTACGAAGAAAATAGAAAGTTTTGTTTCTCTGAGTTGAAATTTGCCAAGCACGGCGGGAAATATTGCAAGTTTTTGGCACAAGGCTTTGTGCTTCCCTTATAATTTGAGATCTGCGTGAAGCCTGAGGGTTCGGGGATCATTATCTGAGAAAAACCGGGCAGTTCGGTGTAGACAATTTTTATATTTTTGGCTTTTTTTGAGGTGTAACAAACACAACTCGGGATCCGAGAGGACACTCTGCGGCTGCCAGCGAGGCGGGCTGGACAGCGCACCAATCACGGCGCAGCTCCGCCCTATATAAACGGGCGGGCGCAGCGCCGCGGCTCGAGTCCCGGCCAGTGCCTCTGCTTCCGGCTCGAATTGCTCTCGCTCACGCTTGCCTTCAACATGTCCGAGACTGCGCCTGCCGCGCCCGCTGCTCCGGCCCCTGCCGAGAAGACTCCCGTGAAGAAGAAGGCCCGCAAGTCTGCAGGTGCGGCCAAGCGCAAAGCGTCTGGGCCCCCGGTGTCCGAGCTCATTACTAAAGCTGTTGCCGCCTCCAAGGAGCGCAGCGGCGTATCTTTGGCCGCTCTCAAGAAAGCGCTGGCAGCCGCTGGCTATGACGTGGAGAAGAACAACAGCCGCATCAAGCTGGGTCTCAAGAGCCTGGTGAGCAAGGGCACCCTGGTGCAGACCAAGGGCACCGGCGCGTCGGGTTCCTTCAAACTCAACAAGAAGGCGGCCTCTGGGGAAGCCAAGCCTAAGGCTAAAAAGGCAGGCGCGGCCAAGGCCAAGAAGCCAGCAGGAGCGGCGAAGAAGCCCAAGAAGGCGACGGGGGCGGCCACCCCCAAGAAGAGCGCCAAGAAGACCCCAAAGAAGGCGAAGAAGCCGGCTGCAGCTGCTGGAGCCAAAAAAGCGAAAAGCCCGAAAAAGGCGAAAGCAGCCAAGCCAAAAAAGGCGCCCAAGAGCCCAGCGAAGGCCAAAGCAGTTAAACCCAAGGCGGCTAAACCAAAGACCGCCAAGCCCAAGGCAGCCAAGCCAAAGAAGGCGGCAGCCAAGAAAAAGTAGAAAGTTCCTTTGGCCAACTGCTTAGAAGCCCAACACAACCCAAAGGCTCTTTTCAGAGCCACCCACCGCTCTCAGTAAAAGAGCTGTTGCACTATTAGGGGGCGTGGCTCGGGAAAACGCTGCTAAGCAGGGGCGGGTCTCCCGGGAACAAAGTCGGGGAGAGGAGTGGGATTTTGTGTGTCTCCGGAGCTATTTTTGACTAAGGCGTCGCGTCGCCCAAGCCGGAGTGCAGTGGCGTCATCTCGATTTTGCGTTCTCGAGTGTCGGAGTTGAACCCATTTGGGCCTCCCTTGTGCTTTGCACTTTTAGCAGGCCCTGGCCTCCAGATAGCATGGGAAAAAAAATGTTGGGATTTTCCCGGGTTTCTAAGCTGGGTTTTTCCGAGTTCCAAACACGGCACAGTGTATCAGTTTCTGTGCTGGTTACAAGCCTACTGGTTATCCCTATCGAGTATGGCAGGCAGTGAGGGACTTCAGAGGAGTACGTCTTAGGACAAGTGGCATAGTACTGACATTATTTCCGAAGGGCTACATTTCAAGTGCTTGGGGAGACTACTGCCACATAACTGAAAATTAGAAACCGACACTGCAGAAAAATACTTGGTCCTTAAATGTGGCATTTGGATGGATTAAGGACTTGCCGAAACGTAAAACTGACAGACTTGGGGGGGGGGGATGTCCCAATTAGCACGGCTTCTGTATGCAACGAGTCCCATACTTTGTTAAAGGAAGAAAGGAATGTGAGTTCTCCTAATCTGTTAAGTATCTTTCGGTGTAAGTTCTGACACCACAATGTTAAAAAAGTCGGATCTCAAAAACCAACTGCTCCAAGCGAAGTGCACAGCTGTCTTGCCTAAAGAGGCCTATTTATAGTAGCCTCGGGTAGTCTGGTCTGGGCTTTCTCATTGGGTACAAGTAAAGGAACGAAATAGCCAATGAAAAGGTAGACTTTTAAGTGTCGTTTACATTGGCATTTGTGACGACACTCTAAAATTAATCCAATCATAAACGAAATCTGATTAACCTCATTTGAATACCGCATCTATAAATGAACAGGGCCTCGGCGGGAGTGATTATTTTCTCAGGTGTTTGCAACAGTGTTCTAACTATTAACGCTACGATGCCTGAACCTACCAAGTCTGCTCCTGCCCCAAAGAAGGGCTCCAAGAAGGCGGTGACTAAGGCTCAGAAGAAGGACGGGAAGAAGCGCAAGCGCAGCCGCAAGGAGAGCTATTCAGTGTATGTGTACAAGGTGCTGAAGCAGGTCCATCCCGACACCGGCATCTCTTCCAAGGCAATGGGGATCATGAATTCCTTCGTCAACGACATCTTCGAGCGCATCGCAGGCGAGGCTTCCCGCCTGGCGCATTACAACAAGCGCTCGACCATCACCTCCAGGGAGATCCAGACGGCCGTGCGCCTGCTGCTTCCGGGGGAGCTGGCCAAGCACGCCGTGTCGGAGGGCACCAAGGCCGTCACCAAGTACACCAGTTCCAAGTAACTTTGCCAAGTAAGCATCTTTACACCTAATCCCAAAGGCTCTTTTAAGAGCCACGCATGTTTTCAATAAATGAGTTGTAATCATTTCATTCAAAAGGGGGGTTATTGGACTTAGCACCACAGTACCAATCTTTAATGTTACGTTAGTACTGCAGAGGAAATAACTTGGAAGTTACAGGGAATAACAATAGGTACTAGAAATTGAGTGCTATGGGTACGTATTAGATCGTTAGCTCATTTAGTATCACATAACACTAGCATAAACTGAAAGTATTGTAAATGTACAGCTCTTTGGTTTCCGTGTGCAGATTTCCAAGTTGATCGTGATGTTGATCCGGGACTCGGTGTGGTGACGGCCCGCCCTGAGCACGAAAGTGCACGCTCTTGACAACTTCCTTATGTTTGGAGCTTTCTCCACCACCACCCCCGCCCATTTTCTTGTAAAATTTTTACCATGCAGATATGTAATAACTGCAAGTAAAGGCTGAAGACAATGTGAGCTGAACACGGAACTATTACAAAGGTTTCTGATTTGTTTTGTAATTGGGCCAGTTTCTGTCTGAAGCTCTTAAGCGAGTGGGGCAGGGAAAGGCGGATCCTAGGCGCTGAGGTGCAGGAAAAAGAAGCAGCTTCTGAGACACCTTAAAATTCTTTTGCTAAACCGTCTTTTTCTGAAAGTCATTTAATTTATAGGTTTTTTTTTTTTTTTTTTTTTTTTTTTTTGGCAGCTTTCAGGTTAAAAGTCCTCCGGGTAACGGCAGAAACCAAATAGTCAATCATTAAGGTGCCTGACTGCACGTAGGCAATAGTTATCGCAGGACTGAAGCCCCCTTTGCAGTACAATTTATCCTTTCCTAGATGCCCCTGAGTACGGAGGACTGGAGGAGGTAGAAAGGGAAAGAAAACCTCCTTCTGGCAGGATGTAGCTTCTGCTGCACAAGGTAGGATGATGACAAAAGGTTTTCACTGCTGGGGAATGGATGATTGCGGGAGAAAAAGAATCTCGGAAAAGAGTCGGGAGGGAACTAGGAGGGAGTGGCCAGAAGGAAAGGAACAAATACTTGAGACGTGAAAAATGTGAGATGGATGAGGCTAGGTTTGGAGTCAAATGTTGGCTGAGAGGGAGAATTTAAGTGATGGATGGATGATCATTGTCTAAAAGAGGAATGAATTTAGAAGTTTGTCCTCATGCCCTCATAAACAAACACGAAATGATGGATTATGGGATACATTTTCCATAACATGGCAAGCGTGGTACTTGGACGGATAAATAAAAGCCTGAGTAATATTTTCTAAATTCTTAAAAGTAAGAAAGAGGGTCTAAGAAAGTAAACTCAGAGCCAGGGACTTGGCCCATGTTAAACCCCAAGCACTACAGCTGGCTTTTACTCAACCCGTGGAAACTGACCAGGGTATAGAGCCTGATATATCTTCTTAGGTGAAGGTGAGACACCAGACCTAAATCTGTCATCTCAAGAGTAGAAGGATGAACCACACATACAAACCCATCACAGATGAATGCAAATAAAAAAGTCAGCTCCGAAGTTGGGTTCTGAGCAGTGTAGATTCTACTGCTAAGGCTTGGACTACAAGCCATCGATGCTTACTTGTTCCTGGCATTCATACCATAGGGATTCAAACACCCAAGCTGAGAATTTAATTTAGGCATATCCCAGGCTGGTTTTGTGCCCCTGAGCACCCGGTAGAAACAAATACAAGTCATCTCTGGAAAAGAAGCTTCATTTTACACCTCAACAAATTGCCACAGCTAAAATATCCCCCCAAAAATGCACAAGGAGCTTCACAATCTAAATTAAACATCATGAAACTAGAAGTATGACTAATGAAAACAAAAGCAACAGACAATGGGAGCTGGGCGTGGTGGCTAATGCCTGTAATCCCAGCACTTCGGGAGGCTGAGGCTGGAGGATTGCTTGAGGCCAAAAGTTTGAGATCCTGTCTCTGAAAAAAAAAAAAAAAAAAAAAAGCAACAGACAATGGAAATGAAAAGGGAGAATTAACAAGATACAGACTTGAGGCCAGGCACGGTGGTTCATGCCTGTAATCCCAGCACTTTGGGAAGTTGAGGCAGGCGGATCACAAGGTCAGGAGTTCGAGACCAGTCTGGCCAACATAGTGAAACCCCGTCTCTACTAAAAGTACACAAAAAATTAGCCAGTGTGGTGGTGTGCGCCTTTAATCCCAGCTACTCAGGAGGATGAGGCAGGAGAATCGCGTGAACCCGGGAGGTGGAGTTTGCAGTGAGCCAAGATCGTGCCACTGCACTCCACCCTGGGCCACAGAATGAGACTCTGTCTCAAAAAAAAAAAAAAACAGACTCGAATTGACTAGTGTCTTTTTGAAAAAAGAAAAAGAGGCCAGGCACAGTGGCTCACGCCTGTAATCCCAGCACTTTGGGAGGCTGAGGCAGGCGGATCACCTGAGCTCAGGAGTTCGAGACCAGCCTGGCCAATATGGTGAAACCCCATCTCTACTAAAAATACAAAAATCATCCAGGCATGGTGGCATGCACCTGTAATCTCAACTACTCAGGAGGCTGAGGCAGGAGAATCGCTTCAACCCAGGAGGCAGAGGTTGCATTGAGCCAAGATCACGCAATTGTCCTCCAGTCTGGGCAACAAGAGTGAAACTCCATCTGAAGGAAAAAAAAAGAAACAAAAAGTCTTATAAATATATTGAGGGACTAAGGAAATACCAAAAGTGACCACATAGATTTGAAAAAAGAACCTAATAGAAATTCTAGAAAATAAACATGTAATTATAAGACAAATTGAAATGAAAAGCTTACTGCATGTGTTTAACAGCAGCCAATTGGACCTACCGGTAGAAATTTAATAAACTATGTAATCAGATCTTAAGGAATTATCTGAAATGCAGAGATAAAAATGCAAAAGTGAGTTTAAGAAACCTGGAATTAGGGCTGGGCAAGGTGACTCATGCTTGTAATCCCAGCACTTTCAGAGGCCAAGGCAGGAGGATTGCTTGAGCCCAGGAGTTGGAGACCAGCCTGAATAATATGGCAAACCCCCGACTCTACTGAAAATACAAAAAATTAGCCAGGCATGGTGGTGCGTGCTTGTGGTCCCAGCTACTCAGGAGGCTGAGGTGAGAGAATCACTTGAGCTAGGGAAATCAAGGCTGCAGAGAGCCATGATCACACCACTGCACTCCAGCCTGGGCAATGAGAGTGAGACCTTGTCTCAAATAATAAATAAATAAATGAAAAGAGACCTAGAATTAGTAGTAAAATATGATCTGACGTTGACCTAATCACAGTACCAGAAGAAACAATCAGGGAGAATGATGCAAATGTGAGATTTAAAAGATCATGGCCAATAATTTTCTAGAATGGATGGATTACTAATAATTAAAAATAATATAAGAAAATAAAAATTGAAACCTAATGTATTGCTCATCAAAGCAAGCCTAGGTTAACAAAGTAAATATTTAAACAGAAAAATGATACAAAAAAAGGGAGTCACTATGTGTGCTGTGAATTAATTAAGCTCTCCAAATTTTTACAGATGTAATACTGATTTTCAAAAGATTGTGACTTCTGTTACATATTGACATATGACCTCACACTAAAGCACTGTTTGAAATTCTGCATGTAGGAGGATAATTGGATAATTGGTTATTTACATGAATTTTGTGTCTAGCTAACCTTATCAAATTCTATTAATCCTAATCAATAGTCGACTGACTTGATTTTAATTGCATATAGTACTATTAGCAAATAAAAATGTTCGATATTCTCTCCCATAACTATTTATTGTTTGCTTTAATCATCTTACTGTGCTAGCTACCATCACAAACAATATGTCACATTAGACATGCTACCAGGTATTGTCTTTTTCCTCCTGTTCATAGAAATGACTTCGGTGGTTGATGATTTATAATTGCTTTTGTGTGTATGTGCATGGATGTGTATATGTAGTCTTCATTGTGTTAATGTAGTTTTTGGTTTTTGTTTGTTGTTGTTGTTGTTTTGAGACAGAGTTTTATCTGTTGCCCAGGCTGGAGCGCAGTGGCCGGATCTCTGCTCACTGCAGCCTCCACTTCCCAGCCTCCCGCATTCATCTCAGCCACCTGAATACCTGAGATTACAGGCGCACACCACCGCACTCGGCTAATTTTTTTGTATTTTTAGTAGAGACAAGGTTTTGTTATGCTGGCCAGGTTAGTCTCAAACTCCTGACCTCAAGTGATCTGCCCACCATGGGGTCCCAAAGTGCTGGGATTACAGGTGTGAGCCACCGTGCCGAGCCCGGTAGTTTCCTTCTAATCTTCTTTTAAGATTTTTTATTAGGTATGATTTATGAATTTTATTCGATCACTTTGACTTCTGAAGAAATCATATGCTTTTTCTTTTTTAACCTGTTGCCATGAAGTATAGATAGATTTCTTTGTGTTGATTCATGCTTTTATTCCTAGTCCAAATCTTATTTGGTCATGGTATACTATTATTTTAAATAATACCTGGGTAAATTTTGTTAATATTTTTCATGATTTTTTTCCATTTCTATTTGCATAAAATCATTCTATGATTTTTTTTTTCTTTTAGATTTAGTCTCGCTCTGTCACCCAGGCTGGAGTGCAGTGGCACAATCTCGGCTCACTGAAACCTCCACCTCCTGGGTTCAAACGATTCTCCTACCTCAGCCTCCTGTGTAGCTGGGATTACAGGCATGAGGCACCGCACCTGGCCCATTCTATTATGTTCTATTTTGGGCTTACCTTTATCAAGTTTCATTATAAAAATTATGGTAGCTCTATAAGCTTAACTGTGGGGCTCCCCATGTCTATTATGTTATCTATTGCCGTGTAACAAATTATCCCAAAACTAATTTCTGTGAGTCGGGAATCCAGAAGTGATTTAGCTAGGTGGTTATGGCTCCGGGTCTTCCTTGAGGTTGAAGTCAAGCTGTAAACATAGGCTGCAATCATCCGAATCCTTGACTGTAGCTGGAGGATTCCCTTCCAAGGTGGCACACTCGCATATCTGGCAAGTTCAAGCCGACTTTTGGGTGGAGGCCTCAGTTCCTTGCCCGTTAGACCTCTCTAGAGGGGTAACTGATTATCTTCAAAACCAAACAACTGTTTTCTCTTAGCAGGAGAAAAAAGAAAGAGAAAGGGGAAGGAATAAGCCGCAATGCCTTTTGTGAACAAGATTCGAAACTTACACACTTCTGCCACACTTTTTAAACGTTATTTATTTATTTCTTAGAGACAGAGTCTTGCTCCGTCACCCAGGCTGGAATGCAGGGACCTGATCTTAGCTTACTGCACCTTGGAACTCCTGAGCTCAAGCAATCCTGCCTCAGACTCCCAAGTAGCTGAGACTACAGGTGTGAGCCATTTCCTCCGGCACATGTTATTCAATATAAACAAGTCACTGAAATCTGGCACATACCCAGAAGTAGAATTAAGCTACACCCTTTCAGATAAGAATAGTAAAAGAACTTATTGAAATATTCCAAAGCCAAAAATGTGGACATTGACCCCAACTGCAAAAATACCTCAGCAAATTCCAAAGTCTTGAAGACTTCTGAGTAGATCCCCCCGTGGGTGAGGAGGCCAACCACAAGCAACACTCAGTGGTAGCAGGAGGTGGCAGGGGTGAGGGCAGGAAGCAGTGCCCCTCTCAGTCTCCCAGCAGACCTGCCACCATGATCAGCCAGCCCTCTATACCACCCACTGGCCAGCCCATCCTGGAAGATGCCAAGTGGACAAGCCAGCACTCAGACACACAGATTTGGGAAAGTGAAAAACCATTTAGCCCTGGGGCTTGAGGCAGGGAAAGGGATGGGATGGGCAAGAAGTGCATGGCCATGCCCAGTCCCAGGACAGGGAACAAAAAAGGACAAGCCTGGAGTTATTAGGATGGGCCTTTGTACTGAGTAGCAATGTGTACACCATTTGGGCTATCAGAGTTCCCCTGGACAGGAGCCTCAACATCCCCTTCCCTCTCCTCTATGATTCTTTACATCCTAACTTCTTCTGAGAGGGGAGAGCAAGGGAGATTTTATATATATATATATATAATTTTAAATTATTGATAGTTCATCTGGATTACCAAAATCTGCAGCCCTACCATAGCTAGTAGGCTGCAACCCTGGTCCCCACACCTAACATCTTCCTGCTCCCCTTCCAGCCAACTATGCAGCCCACAAGAAGGCTCTGCAGGCCCCATTGCCCAGCACCATCCCATGGAAGGCTCTGGTGGTACCCCTGAGCCCCAGGAGAACCGGCACCTTGATCTTGTAGGGTTTATCATCACCATGTTCTCTCTCTGCTGTCCCTACCATGCCCTTCTGCCATCTTCTGGGAGAAGGAAACCAAAGGATCTAAAACTGGGGCTTGGGGGAAGATTCTAGCCTCTCCTCACTCCCCTCTCCCCACACTCTTTACTCCCCAGCCCAGAGAGATGCTGCTCATATCAGGAAAGACTATATTGAAAGATGATTTATGTTTCTCTGACCTTTCCATCCCTGGGAAAATGGGAAAAAAAATCAACAATTAAAAAACAAGAAATCAGAAATCCCCCAATGAATCCACAGAAAATGATGTCTATCCTCTCCCCTTGGATTTTTGTTTTTGGAAATATTTTTAAGTTGCCTTATTGTGGAGTGGGAATCCGAAATACCCAAATGTCTGTTTTCCACGATGGAGAGCCAACCCAAAGAGCTCCCACCTTCTCTGGATGTGCCTGGTCTTGGACTCCCTAGAATCTTTCTCTGGGCTGCTGCATGTACACAGCCTCTGTCCTGGAGGCAAGAGTTTGTGGTGGCTTGGATCAGAACCATGCCCAAGATATCCTTGCTATTGCATCGTTTGAAGCTGACATCCTGTGTCTGTACACAGCTGCTACCGTTGTGTCCCTGCTCTGCTTGCTATTGCCTCATGTCAGGCCCCGTCCTGCCGTGACGTCCTGCATCCTACCCATGAAACCCCAAGGCCAAGTTTGTTTCAAACTTTTGGAGAACAAACTTGGCCTGCATCTGGAACATACTTGTTCTCAGCTGGAACATGTCCCCTACCCCAGAGAGAAAAGGTGAACACCCACAGCTGAGGCTTGGAAATGTTTCCTGTGTTGACCTGAAAGATCTCTGAGACGTCAAGGAGGCTCTGTCTCTCTTAAAAAGTGGAGAAAGTTGCCATTCTCCTCCTAGGGCCTGGTCTCATCCCCCCTCTGTAAGCCATCTATCTCTGCCCACCCTCCAATTGACCCCACCTGGGAATGAGGGATGAAAAGGAGGTGGGGGCCAGGAGGGAACCCTGCCAGCTGGTGAAGCCCTGTGGCAGGAAAATAGATGTGGACATAGAGTATACCTGACTTCTCTTCTTCAGCCACTGACTGGGTTGGGCTGTGAATGACAATGGAATGGCTGAAGTCTGCTGTCATCAGAAGCTAGGGAGGGTGATGAAGGACTGACCCACACAGACTGGGATGTGTCTTGGATACAGGGATAACTCCTTGTTCACTCTCAGTGGGATCTGGGCAACACAGAGGAGTTTGGTGGTCCTGTTGCTCACTTACTCAGTGTCTTTGACCCTCCTTTTCAACTGGTTCCTCTGTTGAGCCCAAAGGCTGGAAGTAGGAGACAGTACCACAGGCTGACAAAGTCTTGCCTGTTACCTTGGCATCTCATTGCTTTTAGCCTGGGCCCTTCCTTGCCTTTGACCTCCCAGTGGTTAGTATGTGGGAAGCCCATTTCAGTTCCTATGACCCATGTCTCAAACCATGGTCTCTGCTATGACAGTGGAATCTGAGGCCTTTCCCTGCTCAGTCTGGTGCCTGCTCTGCATCATACCAGATACTGGCCTCCTGGACCCCCTCCTCCTTCCCTTTATTCCTTCTTTCCTTCAGGTCACGCAGCCATGTACTGTATCCAGCACCACAGAAACTTCATTGTTTTTCCTATGCTGCTTCTGGGGGCACAAAGAAGCCTTGGGATGTGGGGGAAGGCTGTTCTTATCTGGGGTTTACTCCCAGGCCAGGGGGGCTGCCATCTTCTTCACACACATTCCTCAAAGAGGAAGCCCCTTTGGGGCAGGGAGGTAAGGACTTCATCTCAACATAGATTGGTGGTCGGCACGAGCAGAGGGGGATACTTTTGGCTTTTTTTTTTTTTTTTTTTTTTTTTGACACGGAGTCTTGTTCTGTCACCCAGGCTAAAGTGCAATGGTTTGATCTTGGCTCACTGCAACCTCCGCCTCCTGGGTTCAAGCCATTCTTCTGTCTTAGCCTCCCTGAGTAGCTGGGACTACAGGCATGCACCACCATGTCCAACTAATTTTTATACTTTTAGTAGAGATGGGGTTTCACCATGTTGACGAGGCTGGTCTCGAACTCCTGACCTCAGGTGATCTGCCCGCCTAGCCCTCCCAAAGTGCTGGGATTACAGGCATGAGCCACCGTGCCCGGCCTCTTTTTTTCTTTTCTTCACATTCTTTTCTTTCTTTTTTTTGTTTTCTCTTTTTTTTTTTTTTTTTTTTTTGTAAAATGATAGGAGTTAATGTTGCAAAGAGTAGTTTACATATTCAATTTCTGAAGACACTTGAATTTAGGACCGATGTATCTGTGACAAGCATGCTAGAAGTGGCAGGGGCCATCAGGGCTAGCTACTTCATACCCACTATCCTCCCCTGGGGATCCAAGACCTGAGACACAAAGCAACAGCCTGCCGAGATCTCTCTTTTCATCATATCTCTTTCAAGGTTTGTCCATGCCAACACAACCTTTGGGCATCAAACATCAGAAGGTCTGTGTGTCTCAGCCCTGTTAAGGGGCAGGTTTCTCTTTCACCTGCTCTTGCACCTGGGAACAAATGCACTACCAGTAGAGAAGGGCCATCAGCCCTCCCCCAGCCTAGACCGCTGGGGCTCAGATAGAGGTGCTAAGCCCCTAGGTCAAAGTTGTTAAATATTTTTGTGTTGTTCTATCAGTCCCTTTCCTGGTGATTGATTTTACAAAAGTAAGTAAGCTGCTTAGAAGGCCCTGGAAGTGAGGAGAAGAGCCAAGGAAGATGACTACGGAGGGTGAGGGTTGTTTTTTTCAAAAAAGGCTAGGTAGAGTGATCTGAATTATCTGGTACCCTCCTGAATGGAATCCTCCCATGTTGAAGGGTCCTTGGATTTTCCCCAGCCCCCACCCTCTCCCACTTCAGGCACGTTGATAGTAGAAAAGATAAGAACTCAGAGCTATTTCTCATTGGAGACAAAAACTTGTCATCTGGCTTTGTAGAGAAGGTTGCACCTTACGCTCATAATAGATTATCTTTACTATGGGCTAGGGTATCATATTTATTTATTTATTTATTTTTATTTTTTTATTATTATACTTTAAGTTTTAGGGTACATGTGCACAACGTGCAGGTTTGTTACATATGTGTACAGGGTATCATATTTAAAAGGACAAAAAAAAAGCAACGTCAAATACTTGAATGAGCTTGTATTATAACATTAATATTATTGAAGGTATCTGCTTTCCAGGCCAAATTGATTCATTTATTATTATAGTCCTGCTTTAGTCCTTTGTACTTTGTGGTAATTATGCTTTCCTTTTCAATACCAAAAAAAAAAGTGTATAAAAATAAAAACTTGGGCCAGGCCCAGTGGCTCAAGCCTGTAATACCAGCACTTTGGGAGGCCAAGGCGGGCAGATCACCTGAGGTCGGGAGTTCAAGACCAGCCTGGCCAACATGGAGAAACCCCGTCTCTACTAAAAATACAAAATTAGCCAGGCATGGTGGCACATGCTCGTAATCCTAGCTAGTTGGGAGGCTGAAGTAGGAGAATCGCTTGAACCCGGGAGGCAGAGGTTGTGGTGAGCTGAGATCACGCCATTGCATTCCAGCCTGGGCAACAAGACCAAAACTCCATTTTTTAAAAAAAAAAAATAAATAAATTAGTAAAAATAAAAATTTGATAAGGCAAAAAAATGTAAAAAATTTATGAACATAATTTAAAACCACTTTACCTTTTTTATATTTGAAATGCTTGGATGTAAAAAGCATTTGTGCTTTAAAGACTACATAGAAATCAAATGTACAATCACCTGGCTCTGATACCTTTATAAATGGTAGAACCTTTAAGAATTTCAACAATTCAGACTAAAATTGACCACTACCCACAGAGACAAAGCCCATTAAAATCCCCTCATAATATCCTGATGGACTTTTCCCAGATATTGTAAAGGACAAAGTGGTGCCACTACAGTTTATATAAAACATTATCCCAGCACATAGCAGCTACTTTTTAAAAAATATGCATTGAATGTATTAATTCATTTGAGAAATCTTAAACTGCAGTCTGTAAAGCAATTCTCTAGTGCATGATTGTTGTTAGAATGTCCGAGAAACAGATTGGGCCTTTTTAAAGAAAACAAACTGAAGCAGAAAAATTAATACAATAAAAATTTTAAATCTTAGAAAATATTGCAGAGTATGAAAAAATTTTTAAAAATGGAAAAAACAAATTAATGAAATTTAAATTGGACAAGAAGTTAAAGCTAAGTTAATAATTTAATATATAAAACTTAAGATTAATGATTAGGTAATAGTAAAAAAATGTTCCAAGTGTAAGATTAACAGATTAACACTCAGCAGAGAGAGGTATAAAGAAAAGAAATCAAATAGAAGAAATTAGTCATGAAGGATTTGTAAGGAAATTCATGAAGTACGCAAAACTCCCTAGGCACTGGCTTGGGCGCTGCATATACACAGAGAGATATGGTGGTCCTTGACCTCCTGGAGCCCTCAGTTAAGAAGACTTACAGCTAATGGTTTTCATTTACCTTTGTCTTTCACTAAAGCCTAAAAAAGTGTTTCTCATACTCTGGAAATCTTCAGCAAAGTCAAATGAACGTGGGCTCATACAGGAACTACCAAATTAATTGCATCAAGGCAAACATATGTATTCTAATTTTTGAGTAATAAAATATTGTTTTAAAATTTCAAAATATTCTTTATAAATACAAAACAATATTTTATAAATATTATAGCCAAGTTACAATTACTTTCTAGGAAATTGGGGAGAGCATGAGAAAAAAGGTGAGAGAAATTGAGAAGTACTCAGAAAAGGAATGGAAGAAGCAAACTCCTACTAAAAAAGGGAGGGGCCAGGTGCAGTGGCTCACAGCAATTTGGAAGGCTGAGGCAGGCAGATCATGAGGTCAGGAGTTCCAGACCAGCCTGGCCAATATGGTGAAACCCCGTCTCTACTAAAAATACAAAAATTAGCCAGGCATGGTGGCATGCACCTGTAGTCCTTGAGCCAAGAGGGCGTCACTGCACTCCAGCCTGGGTGGCAGGGCGAGACTCCATCTCAAAAAAAAGAAAAAAAAGAAAAAGAAAAAGGGGGGTGAGGGAAAGAGCTTGGAGAACTAAAAGAAACCCACAGCAGAATGTGGTAGAAAGATAGAGAAAAAACAAAAAGGGGACATGAGTAGATAGACCTTGTCATATACTTGGTGTCTCAGTTGTGTGTAATACCTGTCAAATAATAACTGAGATATTTCTCACATTTCTTGGGTTTTGGATTAAGTGGATTGATGAAAATGTCACCACATCTGAGAGGTTTTCTCTGACCATCAAATGTAAAATGGCACCCTTCTATCCTCATTCTTAACTTGCTGTATGCATTCCTCATTATTCTTAGCACTATCTTACATTTGTTTATTGTTTGCCTCCCCTTCCAATCCTGAAAACTGTAAGGTCCATAAAAACAGGGAGTTCACCTGTTTTGCTGCTTGTTTCCTAATGCCTAAGGCTGTTCCAGGCACATGGCAGACTCTCAAAACGTATTTGCAGCATGACATAATTTCTGACATAATTAAAGTGCACAAATATCTATAACTACAGGAATAGAGGCCACTACTGAGTTGTCACAGTGGTTCAACTGAATGAGTGACTCGGATTTTCTGGGTTTCACTTTCCTCATCTATACAAGGAGGATAATAATAGTAGATTACTTCTTAAAGTTATTTTAAGATAGTTCATGTAAAGCTCTTAAAACAGTGATGGACTTTTAGTAAGCACTTAGCAATATTTAACAGTTATTATATTTTCCTTTTCACTGAGTTAAAATAAAAATCAGAGTGTTCAAATCTTTTCAGGTCAAAAATGAAAGGGAGAGAATATGAGCTTTTGAACTATTTGAATCCCACCCAAGAAGGGTAATTGGAGAATTTGAAACAAAGATCACATTATTCAGTGATATTTCTTGACTAAGCATGACTTATTATGTGTTAATGCTACTAAAGTGTAGCTAGAACTGAAGTAGAGATTCCTAATAGTTCATTATAGAAGCACATGTAGAAAGAATCCTCTTTGTATAGAAAATATTAATGGTGATGGCAAAATGGCACCTAATAACTAAACCCTTCTTATTTCTTCAATCAGGGGAGAGACATGAAGACAGAGGAGAAATGAATGCATAAAATAACTGATAATATGAATCTATACATAGAACTTAGGAAGTCTCATCTGCCTGAAAATGACTGTGTGGATCCCACCCAAATCCAACTCATCCTGGTTTGCTGCACACTGGTTCATCAAAAGAAGGTTACCGAGGGGAAGGAACTAAAGGTGTTTGCACTTCATGTTACTTTTTGAGTTTATAAACATAAAAACAGAATTTACTTCTGTTACAGACCTAGTTACTGGGAATTCATTACTTGCCATGGACTACCTTTGCTAAGAAAAGTCTGAATGAGAAGATGGCAGGACGTCTGAAAAAAAAAGTTATAATTAATAAAATCTGCGGAGAATTGTAAATTCTGCCTTCATTGTTGATCCAAACCTTTCTTCTAAGACCTCCCCTTTCTAGACATCTATCTACCTATTTTCACTTTACTTTCCAGCATCAAGGAGGTCTGAGTGGATAAGGCCTAAGCACTGATGTGGCTTTGGTAATGAACCTGAAGTTAAAAACTGGTTAGCTTATGCTAAGCTGCCATTTGAAAGGTCTCCTCCAGCATCTGAATTAAGGGAAACAATGTTTTGAAGCAGTCACAAAACTTTTCTGATGCATTAGATCTGAGGTAGGACCTGATAATTTGTACTTCTAAATTATGCAGGTGATGCTGATGCTGCTGGTCCGGAGACCACTTTGGAGAGTTTTACTTTAAAGGAAATGAAACTGCCCTAAAATGCTAATACTAAATAGCCACACAAAGCCGGAAAAAAGCAAAGAATTTCAAACCGAAGATGAGAGGTCCTGAAAAATAACAGCGGTCATCCTACTCCCGGTGCGGCTATGCGGCCATGAAAAGGAGTCTTGGGGCCGGTCGTGCCCCTCCACGCAGGCTCCCTCATAGGGTCATCCCATCAACCCTCGCCAAAAACGCCGGCCCCCTCATAGGGCCGTCCGGCCACGCCCCTCCGTGCCCTAACCACAGAGCCACACGTTACGCCGCCGCCCCGTTACGCCCATCCGGCTCCCGCATAGGGCGTCACGTACGTTTAACGTCGGCCCGGCGCGCGCGTCCGGGAGGTTGCCCGTAGGCCGCTAACTGGTGGTTCCCAGTCCCCGCCGACTCGGCCTCTTTCTTCTGCGGCCACCAGATCGCGGGATATCGGAGACTTCGAACAATCCGCTGGAGTCCTTTACAGTTTAAAAACAGAGGACCGGCCGGGCGCGGTGGCTCACGCCTGTAATCCCAGCACTTTGGGAGGCCGAGGCGGGCGGATCACGAGTTCAGGAGATAGAGACCATCCTGGCTAACACCGTGAGACCCCGTCCCTATCAAAAGTACAAAAAAATTAGCCGGGTGTGGTGGCACGCGCCTGTAGTCCCAGCTACTCAGGAGGCTGAGGCAGAAGAATCGCTAGAACCAGGGAGGCGGAGGTTGCAGTGACCGAGATCGCGCCGCTGCACTCCAGCCTAGGCGACAGAGCGAGACTGCGTCTCAAAACAAAAAAAACGGAGGATCGAAAATTTTGAAGACTGAGAGCAAGGCAACAATCTTCCCTTGACCTTTTTGCTCCTCTCACAAGGGTTTTTCAGACGGCTGAAACCAACGAAAAGAGTGAGGAAGCAGGCAGAAAATTTCAGCTTTAGTCTCTCAGCATCCTCCTGCTTTCTTCTCGGGGAGCTGGCACTTCCCCCTTCTCTAGTAGCTGTAAATACGCCTCCCAACTCCAAGGAGACCTTTCTTGCATCTCCCTTACTGTTCTCACGCCTGTAGGGCTCTTCGTGTGAGGATTCAGTGTATGTATGTATGTATATGAATGTGTGCGAATAATTATTTCCTAATTGAGTTTTTTTTTAAAAAAATCATCTTCCGGTACACGCAGTGCCGTACTCCATTAAACAGCAGGCACGGTGTCTAGGGTCCGCAGTTCTTTTGGAGGCTCATGAAAATATTTTAATTTCTTCTAAAGTCAGAAGGAAAAAAATGAACATTTAAGTCGAAGAAGATGTTACATATTAATCTTCATATGACTTTAATTTTTTTTTTTTTTTTTTTGAAACGGAGTCTCGCTCTGTCCCCCAGGCTGGAGTACAGTGGCGCAGTCTCGGCTCACTGCAAGCTCTGCCTCCCGGGTTCACGCCATTCTCCTGCCTCAGCTTCCCGAGTAGCTGGGACTACAGTCACCACGCCCGACTAAGTTTTTTTGTATTTTTTAGTAGAGACGGGGTTTCACCGTGTTAGCCAGGATGGTCTCGATCTCCTGACCTCGTGATCCGCCCGCCTCGGCCTCCCAAAGTGCTGGGATTACAGGCGTGAGCCACAACGCCTGGCCTATGCCCACTAATTCCAATTCTTATTTGATCTAATTGTTTATAGATTCTTGTGAACTTTTACCTTGACAATTATGTTATTTTCAAAGATAATCATCTTTTCCTATTGAATCCTTGCTCTTCTGACTGCCTGTTCCTATCTCATGGTATTGGCCAAACCCTGTGATGCCGTGTTGAATAGGAGTACTTTCTCACCACACTTGTCTTCCTTCCGCCTCTATGGGAATCCTTCCAAAACGGCACCATTAAGTGTTATACTCGCTGTAGCTCCTCCTTATGAAGTTCTCTTCTCATTGTAGTCTGTTAAGTGTTTATGATTAAAGAGTGTTATATTTTGTTAAATGCTTTCGCAGTATCTTTGGAGATGATCATGTTTTTTCTTTATTAATCTCTTTTTTATTTTATTTATTTTATTTTATTTTATTTTATTTTTTATTATTTTAGTTTTTATTTTGAGATGGAATCTCACTCTGTCTCCCAGGCTGGAGTGCAGTGCCCTGATCTAAGCTCATTACAACCTCTACCTCCCAGGTTCAAGCGATTCTTCTGCCTCACTTTCCCAAGTAACAGGGACTACAGGTGCGTGCCACCACATCTGGCTAAGTTTTGTATTATCAGAAGAAGATAGGCCGCCATTGGCCAGGCTGGCCTTGAACTCCTGACATTAAGTGATCCACCTGCCTCAGCCTCCTAAAGTGCTAGGAATACAGGCGTGAGCCACTGCTCTGGGCCTTCCTTTATTAATTTCTTAAACTGGCAGATTTAGAATACTAAACTTCCTTCTATTCTTAGAATAAACCCTATATAATCAGCTATTTATTTAAATAACATGGTCTCTGCAATTTCTCCTGGTTTCCATTTTTTCTCATAATAGGCATTTTTTTCTAAAAAACAAAAATGAATGTTCATTAGTGAGACAAAACTATAATTTTGTTTTTTTCTTCTTTCTCTCTTCCTTCCTTTTTAAAATTTGTATTCTCCAGTTTTGCTAATAATGTTATACAATTTTACAAGAAAAAAGTGAGTAGGAGAGCTGTTTTTCTATAGTAACAGATTCTGTGAAATAGGTATCATGCCAAGTGAGGTGGCACGTCCCTGTAGTCCCAGCTACTCAGGAGGTGAAGCAGAAGGACCACTTGAGCCCAGGAATTGGAGACTGTAGTGTGCTGCCATCATGCCTGTGTATAGCTTCTGCGCTACAGCCTAGGCAACGTAGCGAGAACCATCTCAGAAAAAAAAAAAAAAAAAAAGAGATAATCTATTCCTCATAAATTCACTAAAACTTGGAATATCTGACCGGACTTGGCAGCATTTGGGTGGAAGGACGTAGAAAATATTTTTTAACTGCCTACCTTATTTTCATAATCATAATTTGTTTAGTCAGCTTGTCTATTTTCTTCTTTTTCTTGAAAATTATTTTCCACTGAGTTTAATTTTTTGTAAAAGTTACACAGCATTCTCTTGTCATTCTTTATATCTCCCTTTTTGTAGTTATGTTCCTTAATTTCTGTAACTTTCTGAAACCAGGGTTAATTTGTTTTGAAATTGTCCAACGTGTGCTTTGAAAAAAAGAAGGGATGTTTTCTGTGTCAAATGAAGGTAATCATAGATCAAATTTGCTTATTGTCTTGTTCAAATCCTAGAAAACCATTAGCATTTTTCTTTGCTTGTAATATGAGAATCTAACACTCATACAGAATATTGAAAGGTTACCCTACAATTGTAAATTTGAAATTCTCCTTCTAATTCTGTCAGTTATTTATTGACATAGTAGTGGTTCTGTAGTCAAGTGCATATAAGGTTTTGAATGTTACATCTTATTTTTGGATTTTTATTTTATCATTATGGAGTATAGCAAAGTTCTATTTTGTTCTTTTTCAAATGTACTTGGTTTTGATTATCCCTTGGTCCTTGATTGTTTTATTATTCTATTTTTTATTTCATTAAACTTTCAGTAAATAGTGATTTTTATAGTCTGTATCTAATCATTTCAATATCTGAAATCCTTTGTTTGCCTAGGGATCTAGGAGGAAATAGAAGGCTCTTTGCTTATAAGCCAAACTCTCCATAGTGTCTGTTTTTCTTCGATTTTGTGACATTTGTTATGAACTTATATTTAAACATCCTAAGTTCCTGACAGAGTGTCTGGCATATAATAGGTGTTCAGTAAATGATTGCTCCATAAATAGATAATGTGTGTAGATGTAGAGAACTTGGGTTCAAGATACTTTCTTCCTGTAGGGATTTGTTTTGTCTTCATCAGGCACAAGGGGGCACTATAAGCCCGAGTCAGTTTAATTTCAGGCCTTCTTCACTGGAACTCAAGACTTCATTTATACTTAGGGTTAAATCTTTGGGGCCAATTTTCTCCATCCACCTCCTCAGAGTCAGAGTCCTGTAGAGACAAACAAGGTTTTATCCCAGAGATGTTTACGAGTTTTTTTCTTCTTTTTTCCTTTTTTTTCTCCAGTCTACCCCTTTTTCAAACCATTCTGGCTTTATGCTATGTCTTCACTTTTGTTTAAGAGCCTAGAATTCTATTCCCCAGGGGGCAGACTTTTAATTCCCAGAGCTCATAATCCTGATTAATGGTATTTGCCCCCAGAGAACCAAAGATGTCCTATTTGTCACCCTAGTTTCAGCTTCTAAATTTTATTGTTCTGGATGGTTTCTGGGAATTTCCCTTGTGGGTTTTTTTTTTTTGCTTTTTTTTTCTTTGGGATGTGTGTGTGTTTGAGACAAGAGTCTTGAGCTGTCGCCCAAGCTGGACTGCAGTGGCATGATCTCGGCTCACTGCAACCTCCACTTCCCAGGTTCAAGCGATTCTCCTGCCTCAGCCTCCTGAGTAGCTTGGATTACAGGCGCGCACCACCATGCTCAGCTAATTTTTGTATTTTTAGTAGAGATGGGGTTTCACCATGTTGGCCAAGCTGGTCTCCAACTCCTGACCTTGAGTGATTCACCCGCCTTGACTTCCCAAAGTTCTGGGATTACAGGCATGAGCCACCGAGCCTGGCCCCTTGTGTTTTTTTGTTAATTGAGTAACTAAGTACTAGTTTGTTGGTTGTAGTTTCTCTAGTTCATAGGTGTATTGCTTCAATAGAGTTTTCCAGAATATCTTCTTTTCCACATTGCAGATAAGAGTCCTTACAGTGTCCCTCTCTATCCCTATGAACACCTTTGCTTTAATATTTTCTCTGATATTAATATTGCTAAACTAGCGCTGTCTTGGTAAACATTTATTTTCCAGGGATATTTGTCCCTCATCTTCTTTATTATTATTATTATTATTATTATTATCTTTTTAAATCCACGCATGATTTGTTTTCAGGCCCAAATAACAGGAGTACTCTCTAAGGCACATTATTACATATATTTTTGCTTCAATTAAAAAAAATCATAAAAAGATAAAATACTGTTCATGTTCAAAAACTGACATTTACTTTTTTTTTTGAAAGGCAAAATAAAACTTATAAAATTCCGTGAAATTGCAACCATATAGCAAAATACCTTGGATATATTCCATTTAATTTAATATCTTGCATCATTTTTGAGTTTTGTTGTAGGTAAACATGAAAAAAAATCACTGTTCTTGGAGCTGGAGAGAACTTTTATGGGAAAAATTTCTATCAGAGAAATCTACTTATTTGTAAGCATAGTAGCCAATTTTGTTTTTAAAGTAATGATCCTGTGGTCCAGGTAACACCCTTCAGCTCATCATCAAGTGATTACTACCTCAGAAGAGTTAAGAGCAATTGGGATTCAGGAAATATGACTAGACAGGCAATTTTCATTATATCCAACATATATTGCTTTAAATAATATATGTCAGTAATTTCTGATTACATTAAAATAAAACCAAATGTATTTAATCTTTTACATTTTTATTTTTTTAAACATCGGACCCAGTGAGATTTAAATGATATGTCATTGATTGCAACTGATAATATTGATATTATTTTTCATTTTAATTTTGCCTATTTTTTAGGCAGTGTTCAATGGCCTATTGACCTTTATCTGAGCTCTGTGATAAAAAAAACAGCAATGGTTAGCAAAATCCTCCCCACCTTCTTTTGTTCCAAAAATGGCTTATTGCAAAAACCACCCTTCATCATATGTGATTTAAATAAGACTCATGGGTCAGGCATGGTGGCTCAGGCCTGTAATCCCAGCACTTTGGGAGGCTGAGGCGGGCAGATCACAAGGTCATGAGATCCAGACCATCCTGGCCAATATGATGAAACCCCATCTCTACTAAAACGACTAAAATTAGCCAAGCGTGGTTCAAGCGATTCTCCTGCCTCAGCCTCCCAAGTAGCTGGGACTACAGGCACGCGCCACCATGCCCAGCTAATTTTTGTCTCGATCTCTTGACCTCATGATTTGCCTGCTTCAGTCTCCCAAAGTGCTGGGATTACAGGCATGAGCCACTGCACCCAGCCAGGGAGGACATCTTCTATAGGGAGGTTTTATCTCCTAGGAAGAAAAATGGGAGATCAGAGTGAAGGAAGAGAAAGACCCTCTCATATTATTTTATATTGTTTTATACTCAGTACCTGTTTTAAGAAAAAACAACAAGGAAGTAAAACCAAAGACAGGCAGCCCGGCGCCAGGCCTGAAACCAGGCCTGGGCCTGCCTGGCCTAAACCCAGTAGTTAAAAATCAACTCATAACTTAGAAACCGATGTTATTCATAGATTCCAGACATTGTATAGAAGAACATTGTGAAACTCCCTGCCCTGTTCTGTTTCTCTCTGACCACCAGTACATGCAGCCCCTGTCACGTAACCCCTGCTTGCTCAAATCAATTACGACCCTTTCATGTATAATCTTTAGTGTTGTGAGTCCTTAAAAGGGACAGAAATTGTGCACTCAGAGAGCTCGGATTTTAAGGCAGTAGTTTGCCGATGCTCCCAGCTGAATAAAGCCCTTCCTTTTACAACTCGGTGTCTGAGAGGTTTTGTCTCCGGCTTGTCCTGCTGCAAGAGCATCCTTCTTGCATCTGCTGTTTTTAAGTCCCTTTAGCTCAAAATAATCCTTATGCCACAATGGCATATTGTAATCTGGAATATTCTGCCACCTTTCACATGTTTATGTGAATGTACTATGTGGCAGGCACTATTCTAAGTGCTAGATATACATCAATGGACAAAACAAGCAAAAATTCCAGCCCTCTTCGATCTTAACATTTCTGTAGGGTTGTCATTCATTTTGTTTCTTTAACTTAAACAACCAAATCCTACCTGAATTAACACTGAAAATTTTCATTACTGATGCTTTATCTGTGTGTTGGTTGAATTATTTAAAAAAGAAATTCATGCAATTTATCTTATCAATGAAGGCAACTAATCTAATAAGATTAAAATTCACTAATCCATCTCTACATAATTTCCAGGAAAAAATGAACAGATTTAATTCATAGGATTTTGTTTTTAAAGTTCTTATCATCAATAGCAATCAAAATATCTTTAAAAGATTAATCAGGCCCGACGAAGAGTGGTGGCTCACACCTGTAATCCCAGCACTTTGGGAGGCCAAGGTGGGCGGATCACCTGCGGTGAGCAATTCGAGAGCAGCCTGGCTAGCATGGTGAAACCTCATCTCTACTAAAATATAAAAATTAGCCAGGCATGGTGGCATGTGCATGCAACTCCAGTTACTGAGGAGGCCGAGGCAGAAGAATTGCTTGAATACAGGAGGCAGAGGTTGCAGTGAGCTGAGATCAAGCTACTGCAGGCGTGTGCCACCCACAAACGGAAGGGAAGGGGAAGGGATGGGAGGGCAGGGCAGGGCAGGGCAGGGAAGGGAACTCGGAAGCTGAAAAAAAAATATTACCTAGTGAGAAATAGGAAATGGAAAATGGTTCTCTCCATCCAGATATTTTTATGGTCGGTATTTATGATGGTAAGGGACAATTATTCAAACCTTACAAAGACATTAAGGGTTGAGGGATGGCAGGGTGGCCTGCCATTTTTCTATGCCAGGCTTCAGCCTTGAGCTCTAGATCTGTAGATGTATCTTCACCCTGAGCAGCTCTATGTGAATGTTTCAACCAGCCTCTCACCTTGTTATATATATACTAGAGAAATGTGTGCACATCTACACCAGGAAACATGTGCAAGAAAGTTCACAGAAGTAATGACCTCGATAATCCCAGACAGACACAATATGAAGGTCTGTTATAATAAATTGAGTAAACCAGTGTTACTATATATTTAGCTATTTAAAATAATGAAATGATGGTACTGGAGTAACATATATGAACATGAATGAATCTCAAAAATATTGGTTTGGATAAAAAACATCATAAAATTATATACAGCTTGTGATTCCATTTATGTGAAGATAAAAATAGGCAAAATGAAATGACTTACAATTTATGGATCCATTCTTAGATATTTAAACTAAGAAAAACCAAAAAACAAGCAAAAACAAAAATAAGATTGATAAAGACAAAATGTAGGGCCATGCTTGGTGTCTGACACTTATAATTTCAGTGACTGGGGAGGCTAAGATGGGAGGATGCCTGGGCAATATAGTGAGATCCCCTTCTCTAAAAAAAAATGTTTTTTTTTTTTCTTGAGACAGGGTCTCACTCTGTCTCCCAGGTAGGAGTGCAGAAGCACACAATCTTGGCTCACTGCAACCTCCACCTCCTGGGTTCAAGCAATTCTCCTTCCTCAACCTCCCAAGTGGCTGGGATTGCAGGCATGTGTCACCACGCTGGGCTAATCTTGCTATTTTTAGTAGAGACAGGGTATCACCATATTTGCTAGGCTGTTCTCAAACTCCTGGCCTCAAGCGATCCACCCGCCTTGGCCTCCCAAAGTGCTGCGATTATAGGCGTGAGCCAACGTGTCTGGCCCAAAAAATTTTTAAATAAAAAACATATATATAGGAGAGTTATACAAGGACTGGTTAATTACTAATGACATTCTAGTTTTTTGTTTTTTTTTTTTTTTTGAGACATAGCCTCACTCTGTGGCCCAGGCTGGAGTCCAATGGCACAATCTCAGCTCAATGCAGCTTCCATCTCCCAGGTTCAAGCGATTCTCCCTACCTCAGCCAACCAAGTAGCTGGATTATAGATGTGTGCCACCATGCCCAGCTAATTTTTGTATTTTTAATAGGAACAGGGTTTCACCATGTTGATCAGGCTGGTCTCGAACTCCTGACCTCAGATGATCCACCCGCATTGGCCTCCCAAAGTGCTGGGAATTATAGGCATGAGCCACTGCGCCCAGCCCAACATTCTAGTTCTTAAACTGCCCTTTATTTTGATGATGTATTTGTGTACTCTGTGAAAAGTGAGATATACTGTTCATAAGATTGTGTGAGTGATCGCTGTTCGCCTAGCTCAAAGTTCTTCCTGTCTCTCCCACGGAATTGGGGAGAGTTATATACAGGGCCTACTTAATTACTAATGACATTTTAGTTCTTAAACTGGGTTTTTAAGTACCAACCATTTGTTTTACAATTCTTGTTTATGTTGCATATACCCTTTTGTGCAGATATAATATTTACTATAAAAATGTTTAAAACTCTCCTGAGATCTCAATCAGAGACAGGAAACCTCAATGCCACTCTACAGTTTTTGTCATTTTTTAAATTTCCCCTATCTTTTTCTTACTTATGTGCCACATCACCATTTTTATTCATATAGATATAAAAGTGCAGAAATTTTAGTCTTTAGCAGGAATTTCAAAAATCACAAATGGCAATGTTACCTGCCTCATTAAAATCATTTAAGGGTCTCAATCCAATCTTGTCAGTTGAATATCTGATATGTGTAGTTTGGATGTAGTTAAGGGCCTTCATCTGCACTTTTCTTTCTGTTTCTTCTTGCAGTTGCAGATTGTATCACTGGACTCCTCTCCCTCTGGTTTTCTTTGTGTATGTTCATTTTGTGTCTCTCCAACGTATTAGTTCATCCTCTTTAGGTGAATTTCTTTCTTTTTATCCTACTCTTCACGTCTGTCTCTCTTTCCATTGTGTCTGTTTCTTTTTTCTCTCCCTCTGCCACTTTTCCCTTAATACGGTTTAAATTTTCTCTCATTTGTCTTTCTCCTTTTTCTCTACTGACTAGATATACCATCAGAGGTTTTTTTTTTCATTTCTAACAACCTCTTATAGTCATTAAAGAAATGCTTCATTTTCCATTCTTTTAACATAAGAAGAACAAGAAGCATTTTTCTCTTTTTGCAACACAGCCCACCAAGGTAGGTGAAGATGTTTTCTAACAGACTAGATCCAAGCCAGACTGCCTAAATCATCATTCTGGTTACACCTAGTATAAGCGATGGGGTTTGGGGCAGGATGCCGCAACTTGGGTACTCTAATTTCCCTTTCTGTTAAATGAGAACAAAAGTAATATCACATGTTTTTTTGTTTGTTTGTTTTGTTTTGTTTTTTGAGATGGAGTCTTGCTGTTGCTCTGTCACGTAGGCTGGAGTGCAATGGTGCGGTCTCGGCTCACTGCAACCTCGGCCTCCCGGGATCTCCTTCAGCCTCCCAAGTAGCTGAGACTACAGGCATGCGCCACCACGCCCGGCTAATTTTTGTATTTTTAGCAGCGACAGGGTTCCACTATATTGGCCAGGCTGGTCTCAAACTCCTGATCTCGGGATCCGCATGCCTCGGCCTCCCAAAGTGTTGGGATTACAGGCGTGAGACACCACGCCAGACCTTTTTTTTTTTTTCCTCTCTCCCTCTTTGAGACAGAGTCTCGCTCTGTTGCCCAGGCTGTAGTGCAGTGCCAATCTCGGCACACTGCAAGCTCCGCCTCCCAGGTTCACGCCATTCTCCTGCCTCAGTCTTCCGAGTAGCTGGGACTACAGGCGCTCACCACCACGCCCAGCTAATTTTTTGTATTTTTCGTAGAGACAGGGTTTCACCGTGTTAGCCAGGATGGTCTCGATCTCCTGACCTTGTGATCCGCCCGCCTCAGCCTCCCAAACTGCTGGGATTACAGGCGTGAGCCACCGCGCCCGGCCCTTTTTTTTTTTTTTTTTAAGAAGGAGTTTTGCTCTGGTTGCCCAGGCTGGAGTACAGCGGTGCAGTCTCAGCTCACTGCAACCCCCACCTCCCGTGTTCAAGCGATTCTCCTGCCTCAGCCTCCCAAGTAGTTGGGATGACAGGCGTGTGCCACCCTACTCAGCTAAGTTTTTGTATTTAGTAGAGACGGGGTTTCACCATGTTGGTCAGGCTGGTCTCGAACTCCTGCCCTCAGGTGATCCACCCGCCTCGGCCTCCCAAAGTGCTGGGATTACAGGCTTGCGCCACTGCGCCCGGCCCAAGATTTTTTGATTAAATAAATACAAATAAAGCACATTAGCTATTATTCTGAACACTGCTACATTAGCTACATTGAAAATTAAAAAAGATGTTAAACAGATTTTAAGGTTTTCTCGTCATCACTGAAGTGAGAAAAACAAATTATTTTGTGAAACAAAGATAAGACACAATAAATTCAGAGTACACTTTTGTTAGATGCTAACCCACAGAGCGGAATACTTTTTGCGCAGCACCTTCATTCCTGGAGACTTAGGGCCCGGGAAATGGGAATGGTGGCAGGAGAGGAGAAGGGCTAGGGGGCTGGGGAGCGTGGGGTGAAGGAGTGGGGGCTTAAAAAGGACAGTCAAATTTAGGAAGAACAGTTTCTTAAACTGAAGTTAGCTAAGCAGCGGGCTTCAGCCAAAGATAATAATACTAACTTGAAAGTAAAGCTGTTTGTTAAATAGGCTTTCATTTTAATTTTTTAAAAAATATTTTCACTAGTTAGACGGAATATTTATTTCTGATCCTCGTTGTAGGGCTAAACTAGGTGTGACTTGCTTTTCCATTAAGGACTGTAGCCATTTTGGCTAAGAAAGTCTTTCCTGTCTTAGCTCTCTTCAAGAGATGCTATTTACTTTTTTGTTGTTGTTTTCTCCGGAGCTTTATTGCCTACCCTTTATTTTCACGATGTGTTTGTGCATTCTGTAAAAAGTGGGAAACACTGTTCTCCGGATTGTGTGGGTGATCGCCGGTCGCCTAGCTTGCCGTTCTTCAGGTATCTCCTGCTGCTCCAGAATCTACATCTGAATGTCAAGGCATAGCTTTTCCAGGAGCTTTTAAACCGACCTTTCAATTCGAAGACGTAACTGCGCCAGGAGCTTTGTCTCCCTGGCATATAAAAGCATAGAAGAGAGCAACTTCTGGTTTTTAAAATAAGTAAACTAATCTGAATTGTTTGCAATGGTAGGAACTTGTTATATAAAATGTTAATTAGGTGGCCCGTGCTCGAAAACTGCTCTCAGGATATGACCAATGGGAGAGTAGACCTAAGCTCCTTCATTTGCATGCAGACTTCACGACAAAATAACGAATCAGAGTTGGAGAAACTAAATCTTCATTTACATAACATTGTCTACAAATTCCGAGGATCAGGAGATGTAGATTTCATTTTCTTTCCTAACTGCAGAACAGCAAAGATAGCATGCCTGAGCCAGCGAAATCCGCTCCCGCCCCGAAGAAGGGCTCCAAGAAGGCCGTGACCAAGGCGCAGAAGAAGGACGGCAAGAAGCGCAAGCGCAGCCGCAAGGAGAGCTACTCCGTATACGTGTACAAGGTGCTGAAACAGGTCCACCCCGACACCGGCATCTCCTCTAAAGCCATGGGGATCATGAATTCCTTTGTCAACGACATCTTCGAGCGCATCGCCGGCGAGGCTTCCCGCCTGGCGCATTACAACAAGCGCTCGACCATCACCTCCAGGGAGATCCAGACGGCCGTGCGCCTGCTGCTTCCCGGGGAGCTGGCCAAGCACGCTGTGTCAGAGGGCACCAAGGCCGTTACCAAGTACACCAGCTCCAAGTAAACTTGTCCCTGCAACTGCCTTAGTAAACCCAAAGGCTCTTTTCAGAGCCACTCACCTTTTCACAATTGGAGCTATATACTGACATGTGAAGATACTAGAAACTCCTGCAGCTGAAATAGGCATGTTTTTAAAACTTAAAATGGCACTCACTGTCTGGGCTGGTGGCTTTATGAAACTCTGGTTTCCGTGTTTTATGAGGTATCACTCGATAGTACCTAAGAGGCAATAGTAATTTCATAGTTTTGCTCTACGAAGAGAAACTTCGTTTCTCAAGAGTCCTTAAAAATACGGGTTTTACCAAAGAAGCCCATATTATGGGGGGCTGGAGCGGGGGTGGGGAAGGAGGAGAGGAGACTGCTGCTTTCAAGTAGTTCTTAATGTTGAATTTGCTTTTTTCCTTTCCTCAATTACTTCAAAAAGGTCTTAATTTGGATTTTTATTTTAGGTTCTAAAGGAAAAAATAAAACCCTCTTCCCTCTACCGCCTCACCTGTCTGGTTTCACCAATTAGACTTGAACAATTCTCAGTGTGCAACCACACTCGCGCTCGCACACAAACACATACACACATTGTTCATTGATCGACAATCCCCATCTCATCTTTATCATGTTCTTAGAGAAGTTGGGTCTCCATTGTTAAGGATTCTCCTAATCACAAAAACTGACTATATACCTATCCCCAATCCAATCATTAATAAGGGGCATGTGATCTTTAGGATAGGTGTAGTCAAATTAATCAGATCCCTGAGGCTAGAAGGAACTCTGCCTTCTCTGGAGAACAAGTCAGGGAACAAAGAAAGTTGTATTAGGAAGAAAGGAGGGAAAATGACTTTTGGGGAGGAGGCATCTGCACTGCCTGATACAAGCAGCTTCCAGGCGAAGGTGGATGGAAGGAATATCCAGTAGGTTGAAAATGGATAGTCATTCCTTCATATTCAAGTGCCAAGCAGTGAATTTTGTACTGAGGACTTCTGCACTGAGAATAGTGGTTCTCAGACTTCAGTGTGCATCAGAATCACCTGGAGAGCTTGTTAAAGGAGATTGCTGAGATAAAGAATATGCTAACCAAGCCTCCTGCTCACGTGGAGTTTTCTTGTGATAAAGATGTGGGAGAAGATTGTGAAGAGTCTGAATGTCAAACAATGAAGTTTAGATTTATTTTGCAGACAATAAGGTTATAGAAAGCTTGTGAGCAAGGACTAACAAAATTATAACTAGTTCTAGGAATATGCTTCTGGTGGCAAGAGACTGGATGCAGTGGAGGGAAATGATGTTGAAGGAGGATAAAGTTTCAAGCCAAAGAAATGGCAGGAGTAATGGAGCAGGGGATACAATAAACAAATCAGAGAGTAGTTGAAGGGATTTCATTCAGTATTTCATCAAATATTGATTGCATTCCCTCTGTGCCAGGCATTGAAATACTTCAGTGAGCAAGATAGACAAGAGACTGCCCTTCTGAGGCTCATATCCTAGTGAAGGAAGAGAGATGATAGACTGGGCATGGTGGCTCACGCCTGTAATCCCAGCACTTTCGGAGGCCAAGGAGGGCGGATCATCTGAGGTCGAGATTTCAAGACCAGGTTGTCCAACATGGCAAAACCCTGTCTCTATTAAAAATACAAAAATTAGCTGAGCATAGTATCACAGGCCTGTAGTCCCAGCTACTTGGGAAGCTGAGGCAGAAGAATAGGAGAATTGCTTGAACCCAGGAGGCGGAGACTGCAGTGAGCCAAGATCACACCACTGCACTCCAGCGTGGGTGACAGAGGGAAATTCCATCTCAAAAAAAAAAAAAAAAAGAAGAAGAAGAAGAAGAATATAGGTCTATTTCACTCAGCAAATGGTAACTCACTCCTGTTCAATGTATTATTTAGTATTATGTCTGCGATTCCTCTCTATCTTTAAATTTGGGATCTCTAGATCTCAGACCCTGAAATCCTAGACTTCTGGTTGTTGACAGGAATCCATGGAGCCCTGGGAGTTCCTTGAGTTTCTGAGAATAATGAGCCTCATAAAATGTCTATGTTCATATGTCTATTTTCAACAGATTCTCAAAGGAGTTTTTGATCCATCTATTACTACAAACTACTCTATTTTTTTTTTTTTTTTTTTTTTTTGATACAGAGTTTTGCTCTTGTTGCCCAGGCTGGAGTGCAATGGCACGATCTTGGCTCACCACAACCTCTGCCACCTGGGTTCAAGCGATTTTCCTGCCTCAGCCTCCTGAGTAACTGGGGTTACAGGGATGTGCCACTATGCCCAGCTAGTTTTTTATTTTTAGTAGAGACAGGGTTTCTCCATGTTGGTCAGGGTGTTCTCGAACTCCCAACCTCAGGTGATCCCCCTGCCTTGCCCTCCCAAAGTGCCAGGATTACAGGTGAGAGCCACAGTGCCCAGCAGAACCACTCTTGAAGGGAAGTCAGCCCATTGAAATATACAGGTTACCACTGCTGAAGACATATAGACTATCTAGTCTACCCATTGATAACTTTTTTTTTTTTTGAGATAGAGTCTCACTCTGTGACCCCAAAGTTGCTAGGACTACAAGCATGTGCCAGCATGCCCGGCTAATTTTTGTATTTTTATTAGAGACGAGGTTTCTCCGTGTTGGCCAGGCGGGTCTCAAACTCCTGACCTCAAGTGATCCACACACCTTGGCCTCCCAAAGAGCTGGGATTACAGGCGTGAGCCACGTGCCTTGCCTGATCTCTAACTTGTAATCAGCCCCACTCTGTTCTGTCTATAATGGAACCCAACAGAGGTGATACCAAGTCGACAGGCTCATTTGGCATCAGCTTTTCTGTAAAGAGCTTTCAGGTCAATGGAAGGACATTCCACAATACTAAATAAGTTTAGTAACAAAACTGAATTTTGTGTGATAAAGTTATGCTGCTTACAAAGAGACTCAACAATAAATAAGCTTAAAGACAGATATTTTTGTTTCATGGAACAAATCCATTGTGATTAGTCCAGCTTTGTGAAGCAGCTCTGCTCCTTGTGATCAATCAGGAAATTTCGTTCCTTCCAAGTCAATGTTCTGTCATCTCCTAGGGCCTGATGTTCTCTAATTGCTCAAAATGAAATCAATACCATTATACTTGGGGAAGAAGGTAACATGGAAGTTTCAAAGCCCAGACCTGGTAGTAACTTTTCTATGTGTCTCACCTGTGTTGGAAATAATGTAGCCACATGCTTACATCTGCTCCCAGAAAGACCAGGAAATGTTGTCTCTTGCTAGATAGCCACCTGTCCAGCTTTCTTTTTATTATGATAAAGTGAAAAAACTTTATTGGAAAAATAAGGGTTTACTCAATATTCTCCACAAATTAAAATCCATTTTGAGGACAGCGAATAATACAGTGGCATACTGATAGTCCTGCGATTGTAAGGACTGGAGTAACCCACTAGGGAATGGCTTACTTATTTTTGTCTCATTTCCTGAGGTGTAAAGGGAAAGAAGGTGGGAATTTAATCATGACAACCTCGGTTTTAAACACCCATTCATGCAACCACAGTAACCTGATCTATGATTTAAGGTAAAATGACTTCTGTTAATAATAAAGTCTAAGACTATTTAAGATAAAAGGACAACAAAAAAAGAACTCGTTCAACATACCTTTAAATTGGCCACGGGTACATAAATAAAAAGTCCTTTTAAATTCAACAATAGAAAATCAGTAGATCTGGATGGAAGGCAGCTCAGAGGAACAGAACCAAACAAGTTGGCCTCTCCCCATTCCACTAAAAAATGTTGAATCTTATGTACTTTCATGGTTGTTTCTCCCACGGTAATTACTACTTTCTTCTTTAAAGAATGTATTTGCCAGTCAAGTGCCTCCAACACACCTCCCATCCCCCCACACCAATAACCATCTGAATGCCATTTTGTCTTCCTTTCATATAACAATGCCTTGGTAGGAACTAGTAACTACCTCCATTTTTTTCACTATTCTTCACGGCAGCATCAGCCTTTACCACTTGCCTTCTGAGATACAGGTTTTGCTACCTTGTTTCTCCAGCAGCTACAGTCTTTGCTACCTTGTTTCTCTGATAGCCATGAAGAATGTTAGCAGCAGTTTGCCATGTTTCCTTACAGAAATACAGAAAACACAGGCCAAGCGTGGTGGCTCACGCCTGTAATCCCAGCACTTTCGGAGGCGGAGGAGGGAAATCTCTTTTGAGCTTGAGTTCAAGACCAGCCTGGGAAACATGGCGAAAACCCATCGCTGCAAAAAATACAAAGATTAGCCGGGTGTTGGTGGCGCAAGCCGGTTGCCCCAGCTACGCAAGAGGCTGAGGCACAAGAATCGTTTGAACCCGGGAGGCGGAGACTGCAGATTGCCGAGATCGCGCCATTGATTACTCCAGCATGGGCGACACAGCAAGAGTGAAAATAAACTTTAATACACTATCCTCACCGGCCAGTAAGATATGAAGCCAAGGCGTAATAAGACCATTTAACTTGAAAACCGGAGCTACTAAACACGTGAAACTACACTTTTAGCAGTGACTACTACTCTTTCTCCTGAGTGGATAGGTGGCCCTGAAAAGGGCCGTTGGTTTTGCGGTAGTGTACTGTAGAGGTAAGCTCAGCCGCCGAAGCCATAAAGAGTGCGTCCCTGGCGCTTGAGCGCGTACACCACGTCCATGGCTGTGACTGTCTTGCGTTTGGCGTGTTCCGTGTAGGTGACAGCATCGCGGATTACATTTTCCAGGAAAACTTTCAGCACTCCGCGAGTTTCCTCATAAATGAGGCCAGAAATACGCTTGACGCCGCCGCGGCGAGCCAGGCGGCGGATAGCGGGCTTGGTGATTCCTTGGATATTGTCACGCAATACCTTACGGTGACGCTTGGCGCCACCCTTACCTAGACCCTTTCCGCCCTTACCGCGGCCAGACATCTTGAAACCACAGCTGTTAAATCTGTAACGCAATACGTCTGGCAGAGCCACGCAGCACTTTTATAATAGCATGACGGACCTGTTTGAAAACCTCATGAGAAGGGGCGGGAACCACAGTCAGTTCCCGCCCTTCTGTGCAATTCTCCCTTGCTCAGACTGGAGGAGACCAAGAGGGGCCTGAGGCAACAAAAGAGCCTCAGCTGGGATTTAATAAATACTGCTAGGTATATATATATATATACACACACACTATACTTGCAGCCATTAACTGAGCCATCAGTTCATAAACTTTCGACAAAGAAGCCTGACAATTGTCCCCCACTTTTCCCAGAATATCAAATAATTAGTACTGTTTCCCTCACAGGGTGCTTTTTTTTTTTTTTTTTTTTTTTTTTTTTGAGACGGGTTCTTGCTCTGTTGCCCAGGCTGGAATGCAGTGGCACGATCTAGGCTCACTGCATCCTCTGCCTCCCGGATTCAAGCAATTCTCCTGCCTCAGCCTCCCGAGTAGCTGGGGTTACAGGCGCCCGCCACCATGCCCAGCTAATTTTGGTATTTTTTTAGTAGAGACGGGGTTTCACCATAGGCCAGGATGGTCTCGAACTCCTGACCTTGTGATCCACCTGCCTCGGCCTCCCAAAGTGCTAGGATTACAGGCGTGAGCCACCGCGCCGGGCCATAAGGTGCTTTCAAAGTATTTTAAGTAACTCATATCTTTATTGTCTCTGAGATTATTTTTATTGATTTATGCATTCCTAGTTAACCAAGCAGGGCTCTTTGGCATGCAGGCTAGATAGTGCTACTGAGGGAACTAAAAGTATATGAAAGTTACACATTTAGAGGTCAAATTAGGATAAGATCACCGAGGGCCGATTGAAAACATGACTATGTACACCCGTAAAAGAAAACCTTGTTGGGCTGAAATTTATGAAAATTTATGCTTTGATTGTGCCTTTAATCATGGACAGATTGTAGCTAGCACTGCATCATTCACCATATTCTATTACTCCAGCAAATTGGCATCATAGTATCCCTCCAAACTATCATAGAGACAGCCTGCTTGACATACATGCTGTGGGGGTGACCCTGGGCAAGCTATACTAAGTTTCCTTGTTGTAAATGTATTTTTAAAAATCTAACTTGTAAGTATTTGTTAAGTTGAAACAGATAATCCTATCAAAATGCTTAGAATAGTGTCTAGATTCCAAATAAGCAATGACTAAACATTAATTATGGTATAGTACAATATTGTGGGTGTTTTCAATTCCTATCCTTAAGGTTCACCCTTCTAAAGGGATGAGAGACAGTATTCTAATTTGCTAAAATCTGATTTCGAGAACTCCTCAAAATAATAAATAATTAAAAACTTAACTCATCATTAATCCCCATAAAAAGTTCCAGGTCCTTTGGGTGGAATATTTGGCTTTTCCTTCATGACTTGTGAGAAGAACCAAGTTTATCACAGCTGTTTGCTGTTTATTGAGTTTATGGTACATGGAAAAGATTGCAGAGTAAGGTTCTTAGCCTGGGATACATAGAAAGTCTTCAGGGGATCTGGGAATGAGTATAGAAAAAAAAAAAGTCAAATCTTTTTTTTTTCTTTTTACTATTCTCCAACAGAAACAGCATTTTTTCTGTGTATGAACTCAGGCAACAAACAGTGTAATTGGCAGGACAAGTGCTTCTATTTATATCACATTCTCATTGCCAATATCTCGAAATTTCATTTAAAAATCTCAATCCTAAAGCCGGGTGCAGTGGCTCACGCCTGTAATCCCAGCACTTTGGGAGGCAAAGGCGGGAGGATCACGAGGTCAGGAGATGGAGACAATCCTGGCTAACACAGTGAAACCCCATCTCTACTAAAAATACAAAAAAATTAGCCGGACATGGTGGCGGGCACCTGTAGTCCCAGCTACTCAGGAGGTTGAGACAGGAGAATGGCGTGAACCTGGGAGGTGGAACTTGCAGTGAGCAGAGATCGTGCCACTGCACTCCAGCCTGGGCAAAACAGCAAGACTCCATCTCAAAAAAAAAACAAAAAAACAAAAAAAAACCTCAATCCTTCAAAACTATAATAAGTCTTAGTCATATGGGTAGATTATTATTTAATGTATTAATTTAAAAAGGACATATGCCAGGCCATGGCTTATGCCTGTAACTCCCAGCTCTTTGAAAGGCCCAGATGGGAGGATCACTTGAGGCCAGGAGTTCCAGACCAGTCTAGCCAACATGGCAAAACCATGTCTCTACTAAAAATGCAAAAATTTATCAGGCATGGTGGCGCACAGCTACTTGGGTAGCTAATCGCTTGAACCTGAGAAGCAGAGGATGCACTGAGCCAAGATCGTACCATTGCACTCCAGCCTGGGCAACAGTGAGACTCTGTCTCAAAATCAGTAAGTAAATAAAATAAAAAATTTAAAAGCACATATGTTAATATTTCACCAATTTAGATTTTTTATAATTTGATAATGGCATACTAATATAATTGTTTCACTTTGCATTCCTATATATTATCTAATGCATTTAAAACCACTATTCTGCGCGGGGCATGGTGGCTCATGCCTGTCATCCCAGCACTTTGGGAGGCCGAGGTGGGTGGATCACCTGAGGTCAAGAGGTCGAGACCAGCCTGGCAACGTGGTGAAACCGCGTCTCTACTAAAAATACAAAAATTAGCTGGGAATGGTGGTGCATACCTGTAATCCCAGCTACTTGGGAGACTGAGGCAAGAGAATTGCTTGAACCTGGGAGGCAGAAGTTATAGTGAGACAAGATTAAGTCACTGTAATCCAGCCTGGGTGACGAGTGAAATTCCATCTCAAAAATAAATAAATAAATAAATATTATTCTGGCCGGGTGCGGTGGCTCACGCCTGTAATCCTAGCACTTTGGGAAGCCAAGGCTGGTGGATCACTTGAGCCCAGTTCAAGAGCAGCCTGGGTAACATGGAGAAACCCTGACACTACTAAAAATACAAACATTAGCTGGGCATGGTGGCATGCTCTTGTAATCCCAGCTACATGGGAGGCTGAGGCACAAGAATCACTTGAACCCGGAAGGCAGAGGTTGCAGTGAGCCAAGATTGCACCACTGCACTCCAGCCTGGGCGACAGAGTGAGACTCCATCTCAATAAATAAATAAGTAAATAAATAAAATAAAATCCTTCTTAGAAGGAGAGGCATAGTATGGGCCACTCAGAGCTAAATGGTGAAAACTTGAGCAAGTTACCTATTTTATAATTGATCTGCATCCTCAGTGGTGTATAATGTCTCACCTAGTTATTCAGTTTAAAATGAAAAACAAGAGTCAAGCACTACTATGTCAACAATACTGCACAGGGCATACTGCTGCAGAAAACAATCATTTGGGGAGTAGCCATAAAGGCAAAATAAAGAAATGGAAAGTTAAGGACACTTGAGTTATGTTCTGGTTCCACACAATTCCCTATATGCATTTCTGCAAGTTTTTTTACATAAATATTTGTATGCCGTACTATAATACTAATCTGTACTTTTAGATGTTTGTAAACTACTAGGAAGATTTAAAAGTGGACAAGTATGCAGATAATACGAGACAGATTATAATGGCCTTTTACGAAATCGATGTAGGGGGCCTGGTGCCGTGGCTCATGCCTCTAGTTGCAGCACTGTGGGAGGCGGAGGCGGGCACATCACAGGGTCAGGAGTTAGAGATCAGCCTGGCCAATACAGTGAAACCCTGTCACTAGTGTCTACTAAAAATACAAAAATTAGCTGGGCGTGGTGGCGCGCGCCTGTAGTCCTAGCTACTCAGGAGGCTGAGGCAGAAGAATCGCTTGAACCTGGGAGACGGAGGTTGCAGTGAGCCAAGATCACGCCACTGCACTCCAGGCTGGGCAACGGAGTGAGAGTCCATCTCAAAAAGAGAAAAAAAAGAAAGACATCAATGTAAGAATTCAAAACAGAGAGAGATCTCATCTATTTTGAGAGATGGGGAATGAAAAATATAAAAATTTCAAAGTATGTCATTAGATTAGTTTGAAGTTTAAAACAGGGTGGGGGAGAGAGAAAAAAAGAAGAAAAAAACTGAAAAAAGATACTCTGCAAGGTAATATAATTAGACCAAGATCACATAGCTGCTAAGGGGCAAAACAAGACTGAAATACATGTCATCATGTTTGCAAATTCCATGCTTCTACTAAACCACACTGCCAGATTGTTGATTTAAGGCCATATAAAAGAGTTTGATTGCCATACTAAGATTATTCTTAAATCTAAAGCTATATGAATCCAGCTTTTTCTTCACGGCTTATAAGAATAGAGAAAACCAGTTAAGTGAAGAAAACATAAAGCTACAAGGAGATGGGGCATATAAATTTGAAGCTCATATGAAGAATATTTCACCCAGAGCAATGAAGAGAATGAATGACAGCACAAAGGGATGAGAGAAAGGAGCCACCCATAAGAAGGCTATAAAAATAGCCAGTCCAAAGAAGAGATAGAAGAGCAAGAATTACAACCATGAAAAGGCAAATAAACAAGGAAAGATGAATTTAGGAAGAATTCACCAAACTTAGTAACAGATTGGATTTGGCAACAAAGGAAAGGGAATAATTGAAGTGTCAGTTAACAAAGCAATAGTGTTGTTGTGAACAGAATATATAGGAATGTCACTTGAAAGGTTGCTTCCTAGATGTGGTTGGATATGTTGAGGGTGTGATATACGTAAACAATGAAGCCAATATCCAGCAATCTTAGACAGAAGCTACTTAGATAAGGATGGTCATACTGAGAGTCTGGTATAGAAGATGAACAAGCAGATATCCAGCAACCATCCAGAAATCCAACTTTGATACTTAGGCAAGAGGACAGGCCTGAAGGGAGAGACTTTAGTTACCTGTAAGAAACTAACTCACAAACCCATGAAGGCAAATAGGACAGTACCTCAGAGAATTCCTGCAGTTGGAAGGCTACAAGTCAGTTCTTCCTTTGTTGGTGCTCCAGGAAATCAAATATAAGTATAAAATATAAATATAAAATGGGTCAAAGCCATTTTAAGATTAGAAATACATGGGCTCCATAAAAAGTGAATACACACTCAAAGTAAATGTGATTCATATTTAGCTCATGTCTCATCTCAAACATTTGATTTTAATTTTTATTAACATTTATTAATTTGTTCATGTCCTAGTTTAATTTGCTACATGAAGTCATTTGTATTTTGATGAGATCAAAAAGTGTGAAACCCTCACCTTTTGGGCTTTACTCTGTCTGTTCCCAGCATTTATCTCCTTCATAGTCTTAGTAAAACAGAAATGTATATGCTCCCCAGATCAGCATACGTTCAAGACATTGAGGAGTGAAGAAAATCAGTTAATTCACTTTCTGCCATCACTCCATTTTCTTCTCATATCGAACATAAGCTGTACTTCATCACTATAAGCCTATATCCTTGTTTAAACAAGAAATGTAGTACTGAATATGAAACATGGCTGTTTTTTAAATTTCTCTCTCTAGGGAATTTTGTGTGTGTGTGGTGCTTGTGTGTATATTCTTTGATCCTGGTACTTGAATAGTTTACCAAAGTCTATTTTCCCCGTGTCACCAAGCATGACAGACCCCTGAACCCAAAGACTCATGAATATTTTAATAACAAATTTCCCCCAGTAAAAATTTAAAAAAAAAATTTTTTTTTGACCCTTAAATGAGTCAAACTCTGTCTCTTTTATGTCCTTTCGTGGATCTCTCCTGAGTTCAGCTATGCAAACAGTCCCAATATCAGGAGAATCAGTGATCATTGTATTTCCCATTTTCCCAAGGAAACGTTGAACATTTACTGGAACCCTCCCAAAGTAACTAAACGTCCAAATAGTTACAAGAAGCTATCATGAAATATTTTCAGCCCCAGCTAATTTTATCAGAAAGGGCTGTTGTTCTAAGTATCCGTACTGCTGTTCTTGTGGAGAAATTCAAAAAGAACCTGTTGTTTCTCTTCTCATATAAAACAGATTTCCTCGTTAAATCTCAATGAAAATCAAGTAGTTGTTCAATGTATGAGAAGCCAAAAATGTGTAGGCTATTATTAGAAGACAGCAAACAATTGAAGACACGAATGGAAGAATTTATATTTTAAATGAAAATCAAGAAGTTGTCCCTCTGAACTGTGAATCTCTGAAAGTTGGAACTTTTGATAAAGGCCGAGGCTGCCTTAAGTAAAAACTAGAGAAAGAAAATGTAAAGATCATAACACCGTAGCCGTTCCAGTTCATTGTAGAATAGAATTGGTGTGATTCCTCCTCAGGAAATTTAAACTATTTTGATTTTCTGAATTTCCGCAAACACAACTCAGAAACAGGGTTGAGACTAGGTTGCTGCCAAGCTGAAAGACTGAGCTGGGAACCAATCAGCGCGCAGCGTGTCTGTGTGTGACACACACGTAATCACAGACACACTCGCAGCCTGACTTTTTTTTTTTTTAACTGTTAGATATCCAAACCTACAATCATGTCCGAAACTGTACATGCCGTGACTCCTGGTCTATCTCCCAAGTCAAAGACTGAAGTAAAGAAAAAGGTTGCAAGTCCGAAGTTGCAGTGAAGTGCAAGATGTCCAGGCCCCTCCGGTATGTGAGTTCATCACTAATGACTTAGCCGTCTCCAAGAAGCGCAGCGGCCTTCTCTGTGGCCGCGCTCAAGTAGGTGTTGGCGGCTACGATATGAAGATCGGCCCTTGCCGGTCGCGGTGGCCTACGTTTGTAATCTCAGCATTTTGTGAGGCCAAGGCGGGAGAATCTCTTAAGCTAAGGAGTTGTTTTTGGTGGTTTTGTTTGTCCTTGGGGATTTTTTTTTTTTTTTTGAAGGAGTCTAGCTCTGCTGCCCAGGCTGGAGTGCAGTGGTGTGATCTCGGTTCACTGCAACTTCCGCCTCCCGGGTTCAAGCCCTTCTCCTGCCTCAGCTTTCCATGTAGCTGGGACTGCAGGCGTGTGCCACCACACCCGGCTAATTTTTGTATTCTCAGTAGAGACGAAGTTTCAATGTGTTGGGCAGGCTGGTCTCGAACTCTTGGCATCACGTGATCCGCCCGCCTTGGCATCCTAAAGTGCTGTGATTACAGGCCTGAGCCACCTCGCCTGGCCAAGCTAAGGAGTTTTGAGGCCAGCCTGGGTAACACAGTGAGACCTCGTCCCTAAAAATAAATACAAATTTTTAAAAATTATTTGAATAAAGTTGGGCCTTGAAAACAAACGAGGGCATCTTCGTGCTAAGGAGTGCAGCGCCTCAGGTTCATTCCCGCCAAACCAGGCAGTGTTAGGAAAATCAAGACCGAGGCCAGAAAAGCCGCTGCAGTCATGCCCAAGACAGCTGTCCTGGCAGCCGAGAGGCCCAAGAAAGCTTGGGGCGTCCTTATTCCGAAAAAGAGTACTAAGCGGACCCCAAAAGCTTTTGCTGGTGGAGGCTGCTGGAGAAGGTTGGTTGGTCAAAGGTGGCCAAGAAAGTTCCCAAGCCGGAGGCATCCAAGCCTAAGAAAGCGGCCCCCAAAACAAGGAGATATAAGAGTACCTTAAAGGCTGTTTTAAGAACTCCCCAATTATAATAAAGCTTTTTGCACCAATTCCGTGAGGGGAGGGGGAACGGATAGAGGCAAGAATGCTTACTTACCTTGAGTGAACAGAGGTTCCAGTTTACGGACAGCAACAGTAAACAGCAACTTTTATAGAAAAGGTGGTTGGCTCTGAAAAGAGCCTTTGGGTTTTGGTTAGCACACATTCACAAGACAATTTACGCCCTCTCCCCACGAATGCGGCGAGCAAGCTGGATGTCCTTGGGCATGATAGTCACTCGCTTGGCGTGAATGGCGCATAGGTTGGTGTCCTCAAACAGCCCCACCAGGTAGGCCTCGCAGGCCTCCTGCAGCGCCATCACCGCCGAGCTCTGAAAACGCAGATCAGTCTTGAAGTCCTGCGCGATCTCACGGACTAGACGCTGGAATGGCAGTTTGCGAATCAGCAGCTCGGTCGACTTCTGGTAGCGGCGGATCTCGCGCAGAGCCACCGTGCCGGGCCGGTAACGGTGGGGCTTCTTCACGCCGCCGGTGGCTGGAGCGCTCTTTCGAGCAGCCTTGGTGGCCAGCTGCTTGCGTGGCGCTTTCCCACCCGTGGACTTGCGAGCAGTCTGCTTGGTACGAGCCATTGCGAACTTCTAAACCCTGCTAAATGACGAAAAAACGAAAGTCTAGCCTTTCGTACCCGTATATATAAAGACACCCCTGTTCTGATTGGACAAGGCAGCCTTTCCCCTGCAGCTCGATTGGTGGAGACGCCCACTCCCTGACAGAACATCTCCTGCATGTAGACCAAATATTAAAACTTTCCTCCGTCCATCTTTAACTGCTGGTGTTTTCAACCCTTTCCCCTCTGTGCCATGTTTCTAGCTTTTATTTAAAACGTACTTTGGTTTTCCTTGGCAAAATTGTGTCTAGCTACTAGGATGACGTGTCTTAATTTTTTTTTAAATGTTGGCGCTGAAACTGGCTTTGATCAACGTTTTAAAAAGACGCGCGCTAGTTGTGATTGGCCAAGTGATTTCTTTTTACCCTCTTAAGTTTAGAAAGGTTAATTTCATATCTTGATTTGTCTATTTAAACTTGGAGATATTTTCAATAATTTGTTCCAAATGCACCATGACTATTAACTCATAAGTAACAATATGAAACCTGATGTTAAGCTACATGAACACATTTAATTTCACCACAATATGTCATCCTCATATGAAAGCACTCTTATCTTTTACAAGTTCAACTGGTATTTGTGTAATCTGCTGTAAAAAAAAAAAAAAAAAAAAGCCAAATTTATAAATGGCACAAAAAGACCAGTGTGCCCTTTTAGTCATGCTGAACACTGTGCTAAGAAGCTCCACCTAAGGGCCGTCTGGCTCCAGGGGATGTAGGTTTGTATTCCTATTGATAATTAATTAGGGTTAGCTCAGTAGAGTTGAAAGTGGCTTGCAAAAACAAACCCAAAAAATACTTACAAATTACAGGTTATTTCGTATCATTAAGATGCATACAAAAGACAATAAAACATTTGTTCTGGTTCTGTTGCTTTAAGTCACTAACTATATTTTTATGTAAATGTAAACACTGACAAACATTAACTTCTCTCCTGTATGTCTCAGGCCTTTTAACAGCTTTGCAATCCTAACGAGCCGCTGCATTGATCGATTTAAATTACATGTGACATAAAGTCTCTTTGCATTTTAATTAGTTTGCTTTTTTGGGTTTTTGTTTGTTTTGAGACAGTCTCGCTCTGTCGCCGAAACTGGAGTGCAGTGGCGCGATCTCGACTCACTGCAACCTCCGCCTCCGGGGTTCAACATTTTCTCCTGCCTCAACCTCTTAAATAGCTGAAATTACAGGCGCGCGCCACCACGCCCGACAAATTTTTTTATTTTTAGTAAAGACGGGGCTTCACACCATGTTGGTCAGGCTGTCCTGGAACTCCTGACCCTGTGATCCGCCCACCTTGGCCTTCCAAAGTCCTGGGATTACAGGCGTAAGGAACCGCGCCCCGCCAATTTGCTTATGTATTTTTATGGCATCTTTAAAATGGACGGTTAGTTTCACGATTCAGTGTTAAGAACACCCACTTATAAATGGAAAAATTATTAAAGAAAACTGCAAAATAGCTATTTACACAGAAAATGTGAGCCCTTTTAAGGAATACATGGGTGGCTCTGAAAAGAGCCTTTGTTAAGACTGCTTCCTTAAAAAGCCAATATAAGAGTTCTCGTTTTACTTGCCCTTGGCCTTGTGGTGACTCTCAGTCTTCTTGGGGAGCAGTACAGCCTGGATGTTGGGCAGAACACCGCCCTGAGCAATTGTGACTTTACCCAGCAACTTGTTTAGCTCCTCGTCGTTGCGGATGGCCAGCTGCAGGTGTCGGGGGATGATGCGGGTCTTCTTGTTGTCGCGGGCGGCGTTGCCCGCCAGCTCCAGGATCTCGGCGGTCAGGTACTCCAACACCGCCGCCAGATACACTGGCGCGCCGGCCCCGACTCGCTCGGAGTAGTTGCCCTTGCGGAGCAAGCGGTGTACGCGGCCCACAGGGAACTGGAGTCCGGCCCGCGAAGAGCGGGTCTTAGCCTTAGCTCGGGCCTTTCCGCCTTGCTTGCCGCGTCCGGACATTTTGAATTCTTAAAAACGATGTTAAGCAATGAAGACAAAAATGTAAAAGTGAATTTTGTTAGCAAGTGAGAAACTATTATACTTGGAGGTCGAATTGTAAATAACGCTATTTGATTGGCTAGAACAACCAACCAATTGCAAAGAAACGCTAGAATCACCTAATTTGCATACCACAGGGCACACAGAGACAATTCATCCAATCAATGTGTAAGCTTTTAAATGCCAGTTTACGATAGGAGCTCTACAAATATTACCAGCTGCAGAGTGAGGACACTTGCATTTCTCTTTAGGTTGTGGACGAAGTGTTTATTTATCATGCCTGAACCTGCTAAGTCCGCTCCTGCTCCAAAAAAGGGCTCCAAAAAGGCGGTGACCAAGGCGCAGAAGAAGGATGGTAAGAAGCGCAAGCGTAGCCGCAAGGAGAGCTATTCCGTGTACGTGTACAAGGTGCTAAAGCAGGTCCACCCCGACACCGGCATCTCATCCAAGGCCATGGGCATCATGAACTCCTTCGTCAACGATATCTTCGAGCGCATCGCTGGCGAGGCTTCCCGCCTGGCGCATTACAACAAGCGCTCCACCATCACCTCCAGGGAGATCCAGACGGCCGTACGCCTGCTGCTGCCCGGGGAGCTGGCTAAGCACGCCGTGTCAGAGGGCACCAAGGCCGTCACCAAGTACACCAGCTCTAAGTAATTCTAACGTCTTCATACCCAATCCCAAAGGCTCTTTTAAGAGCCACCCACTTTTTCAGCTATAGAGTTGTAATTACCTGCATATTTTCCGTGTTTACCACCAACAGGTTTGGTTTTATCCTCATTTGAGGGGGTTGCTGCTGTGTAGGTCTAGACCACAGTTCTTTTGACTGGTTGAAGGAAAATGCTATACTTAACCGTAGCATGTTTGTTTTACCCCAAGTGCTGGTTAGAAGGCTAGCCCATTGTGCTGATAAGCACATTTTTCTTATGTTGTGCTGTGATGTGTCCCTTGTCAAATTGGTTTCATAAGAAAAGAACTTTTGAAATATCTCTTTTGCTACTGACATAGTGTGAGGGAAAGGAATGTCTTCCTTAATTCCGGTTTAGTCATCGCAGCATTGGCGAATTTAGCTGGTTAAAATAATGTAATCAAATTCTTTAAAATATAAGGAAAGCAAGACAAGTAATGTGCATGAAAACTGAAAAAATGTGAACACCCGAGCCTGGATGCAGCACTAATAATCAACATTGTTCTTGGTTTAGTTAAAGAAAATTTGGCCACTGGCAAAATACCATTTGGGAGTAATGAGACACACCCCTAATCCTAAAATATTTTCTTGTCACTTCCTCAAAGTTGTTTTTGACTTTTTTTCCTTCAGGGTTGACTTCATATGTGTTCATTTTATTCTAATAAGCAAAAGTTGTAATTTTTAAGTGAAAAAATAATTTATGTCATTCTACTTACAAATACAATTTTTCTATTCTATATACTCATATATAAAGATACTGAAGTTTTACTGTATTCTTGGTAATTACAAGCCTTACTTAAGATCATAAACTGTTATGAATGGCATCCAGTGTAGAATACTTAAAATTTTTACAAAATGTTTTTGTATCTTAAAAATATTTAAAATATTATATATAAAAGATTCTTAGAATTTCAACCCAGTTAAGAAAAAAGGAATAGTATTCTATATTATTACTTTTTTTTTTTTTTTGAGGAGGAGTTTCGCTATTGTTGCTCAGAGTAGAGTGCAATGGCGCAATCTCGGCTCACAGCAACCTCTGGCTCCCGGGTTCAAGCGATTCTCCCGTCTCAGCCTCCCGAGTAGCTGGAACTACAGGCGCGCACCACCATGCCCGGCTATTTTTTGTATTTTTAGTAGAGACGGAGTTTCACCATGTTGGTCAGGCTGGTTTCGAACTCCTGACCTCAGGTGATCCACCATCCTCAGACTCCCAAAATGCTGGGATTACAGGCGTGAGCCACCACACCCGTCCCATAATTATTTTTCAACTTCCCACTCCCTGTCCGGCACATAAATGGACACAGAACACAGCACATGCAAAGCATATATAAACATTCAAATAAACAAAACCCAACTGAAAAAATGAAAGCAACAAGAAAAACCTAGGAAAATGAAAACTAAAAATACTAAATGGCTTCATGTGCCAATTTACATTGGCATAGCAGTCGATTTTTGCTTTCTGTAGTTCCAGAAGTAAATATCTAAACTAAGGTCTACATCAGCTTGAGGGGAATACAACAAGTTTCTGAAATTATATGCAGAAATGTGGCCATATGTGTTTCCCCTTCCCAGAACAAATTATATAGCTTTCTATCAGATTCTAAAAATGTTAAGCAGAATAAGGATACCCCAGTGATGACCACATCCTAATCCCTGGAGTCTGCAAATTCCTGGAGTCTTTGTTAGGTAACATGACAAAGGGCAACTAAGGTTTCCATGGAATTAAGGCTACTAATTGGCTGACCTTAAAGTAAGGAGATTATATTGCATGTTATGAATTAGCCCAATATAATTACAAAGATTCTTAAAAGTGGAAGAGGGAATTGGAATAGAGAACTAGAGATATGGCAGCATGAGAAAAATTTGGCCATAAATTGCAGACTTTGAAAATGAAAGAAAAGGACCATGATCTAAGGAGAGAGTGGCATCTATCAGTTAAAAAGGCAAGGGAAAAGATACAGGCTCTTTATTTCTTTACTTAATATCAAGCCAACACCTTGACACTTTTGCTCAGTAAGATCTGTGACTGAGTCCCAATTTTTAAAACTATATAATTACAAATTTGTATTTTTTAATCATAAAATGTGATAAATTTTCAAACCAGCAATAGGAAACCAATACACCCATGCAAGTTTAAAGACTGAGTAATGTACCAGCCCCAGCCCGGGACCCTACAGCTGCTGAGATGTTGATGCGTAAGAAGAACTGGATTGCCATTTATGAACTCCTTTTTAAGGAGGGAGTCATGGTGGCCAAGAAGGATGTCCATATGCCTAAGCACCTAGAAATGGCAGACAAGAATGTGCCCAACCTTCGTGTCATGAAGGCCATGCAGTCTCTCAAGTCCCAGGGCTACTTGAAGGAACAGTTTGCCTGGAGACATTTCTAGTGGTACCTTACCAATGAGGGCATCCAGTATCTCTGTAATTACCTTCATCTGCCCACAGAGATTGTGCCTGCCACCCTACACCACAGCCGTCCAGAGACTGGCAGGCCTCCGCCTGAAGGTCTGGAGGGTGAGCAACCTGCAAGACTCACAAGAGGGGAAGCCGACAGAGATACCTACAGACGGAGTGCTGTGTCCCCTGGTGCTGACAAGAAAGCCAAGGCTGGGGCTGGGTCAACAACCGAATTCCAGTTTAGAGGCAGATTTGGTCGTGGGCCTGGTCAGCCACCTCAGTAAAACTGGAGAGGATTGTTTTGCATTGAATAAACTTACAGCCGAAAAAACTTAAAAAAAAAAAATTCAGTAATGTATTAACTAATGTTCTATTAAATTACAATTTTATATATATAATACAAATATGTAAATACTATTAAAATTATTATAGAAGCATGTAAATTCTTCCTAAATATCACAGTCTCACAGAGTTTTGATATTGCTGGCATTTTAACAGCAGCAATTTACAGTTCCTTTTTGTTTAGTTTCTACATATTTGATTTCTTTTCACAGTAGAAGTCCTAACATTTGCATGCCTAGCAGGGCATACAAATTAACTAACATGTACCCAGTAGCCTTCGAACTGAAGACTCAAAGATACAGGGGAAATCATACATTTTTATGCTTAGATTCAACAAAGTAGGGACAGCTGTGTAGAAATATGATTGGACACAAAGGGTACGAGCTAATGCTAATAGACTGAGCTAATGATAATAGCCCAGCAAGGCCTGTCTATATTCTTGGACTTTCTTGGGCAGCATTCTCTCCTCCTGGGAATAGGACAAGCCCTCTCTTGAATCGGGGTCTTATGACCTACAATCAAACGAGGTAGGCCAGGCAATTTCTTTACTGCCAGTTTTTACACAAAAAGGCAGAAGGAAAGTTGGATTCATATTTTTTAGGTTTTATGGCTAGCTTTGAGTCTAGCTTTGGTTTATATGTTCCATCTTGGGAAGGAAGCAGTCTAGTTCCTATAGCTAGCTTCGGGGAAGAATGGGAGGGAGAAAGAGGAAGGTAGGAGAAGGAGAAAAAGTTACTACGGAGGCCTTCATTTTGTAGCATTGTTTTCTGAGTCCCAACACCTTTTATTTTAAAAGCCTGTAGGAAGTCGCCTATTTAATAACTTGGCCCATTACACGTTGCCAATTCTCTTGTGATAAAGGCTGCTACCAGCATCAAAGAGAACAGAAAACTAACAATAGAGAAGTAAACATTAACACACCAGTGAGTTTCTAGGTTTAGATGTGCGAGTTGGCTAGATATTTAAATGATAATTATAAATTTTAATAAACAGGGAAGAAAGAAAAATAAGCCAAAAATGTAATACGGGCGTCCACAGCGAGGACCAGAATTCATGGGATCAAAAATTTTTTTTTCTTTTCTTTGAGACGGAGTTCCGCTCTTGTTGCACAGGCTGGAGTGCAATGGTGTGATCCGGGCTCACCGCAACCTCTGCCTCCTGGGTTCAAATGATTCTCCTACCTCAGCCTCCTAAGTAGTTGGGATTACAGGTATGCGCCACCAGGCCCGGCTAATTTTGTATTCTTAGTAGAGATGCGGTTTTTCCGTGTTGGAGACTGGTATTGAACTCCCGACCTCAGGTGATCCGCCCGCCTCAGCCTCCCAAAGTGCTGGGATTACAGGCGTGAGCCACAACGCCCGGCGGGATCACTAATTATCCGTGTTTTTCTCTTCGGGAGGAAAATCCTTTTGGTCAGATTTCCCTTGGCTTGGTGGTGGAGAGGGTGAGATCTTGCAGTTTTCAAACACTTCCTAAGGGGGTTCCGTCCCCAAGAGAGCAAGCAGCAGAAATGCCAGAGGAACCGTGCCTATGGGGACAAAGCTGAACTCCTCATGGAAGGAGATTACTGCAGTTCCGGTCTTGTGAGCCAAAGCTCCTGTTCAATCGTCCTAGAGCATCCCAAGCAGCAAATGATTTTAAACATGTTAATGTATTTAATCTCATTTAGTTGTTAAAATATGCCTAAATTTCCTCTTTGGGAACGCAAGACTTGCAGAGATGACTCCATGGAGAGCGGACTCTGCCGGCGGGAACTGGAGTCGTTGGTGACGTCATCCCAGTCTGATCTGTGAAGGGTAGGGCCAGCAGGCAGCACCAAAGTTCCCGTATGCGCGTTTTCAGTCTTCATTTAGGTCCGAATTCCCGGCATATAAGAATACTACCGTCGCTTGTTTTTCAGATTTTTGCGGCTATTTTCGTTGGTGTGTTGGTCATGTCTGGTCGCGGCAAAGGCGGAAAGGGACTGGGTAAAGGAGGCGCTAAGCGTCACCGTAAGGTCCTGCGAGATAACATCCAGGGCATTACCAAGCCTGCCATCCGGCGCCTTGCTCGTCGCGGGGGTGTCAAGCGCATTTCTGGTCTCATCTACGAGGAGACTCGCGGGGTTCTGAAGGTGTTTCTGGAAAACGTGATTCGTGATGCTGTGACTTACACGGAGCACGCCAAACGCAAGACAGTGACAGCGATGGATGTGGTCTACGCGCTGAAGAGACAGGGACGCACTCTTTACGGCTTCGGCGGCTAATGCTACCGCTTAAACGACTCAGCATCTCGACTTCCCAAATCAAAGGCCCTTTTCAGGGCCGCCCACAGTTTTCCGCAAAAGAGCTCATGACTTGTTAGACGATTGGTTGGTCTCTTTATAAGTTAATTGTTCCTGTCAACAGGTACGTATATTTTTCAGCCGTTTTTTTTTTTTCGTTCCAAATTACATTTGGGGTTTCGGCATACGATTTTTTAGGCTACGATCCTTTTATGTTTATTGTAGTAGGGCCTTAGATTGCACTGAAAAGGCTAGGGTAATAGTGTCTGTTTACCTTACCACTTTTATTTTGAGTACCTAAAAATGCATGGTTTTCGACATAAGTGGGAAAACCGCAAGACACTGCGTAACCGCTCAAAATGGCGGAGAGCGAAGAACAAAGCCGGTGCCTGGCAATGGGCCGGACCCGCGAATTAGCGCAACCAATCATCTTCCTGGAAAGGAGTGTGGGCCTTAAATTCTAGCGGCCTGTTTTCTATTACTTAACCTAACGACCGAGTTTAGGTGTGTAGAAGTTCCTGGGGTAGATAAGCTCACGCAAGGAGAGGTTGCAAGCATTCATTTCGGAATTCTATTAAGCCAACCCAGTTGTCCCTTAGAAGTTATGATATTTGCTGTTTTTTGAATAAAAGAATTTGACTCTCTTTAAACCCTAAAGCTTGAAATTTAGCATTTATCTCACATGAGACAAATGTTTAGGAACTCATGTTTAGGAACTCATGTTCCTGCCTGAGGCAGGAACTGAAACACCAGATCACTTGCATCGAGACCGTGAGACTCCCTATGTTTCATCCATCATGATTGCGTCCTTATCCCTCCCTGATTTCCTGTTTTCTCGCCCTTCTCGCTACATAAGCCCCCCAATTTTGGTCGGGGAGACGGATTTGTGATTTCATCTCCTCCCTCATGAATACTCATAGAATTTTTCCAAACCTACTGAATCTGTATGTAAGGTTGACTCTGTAAGGCATATATATATTCCAGCTCCCCTTCACTGCCACAGAGCGCTCATTCCATCCTGGGATTACTTCTCCCTCTGAAAATAAAGTCTTTGTTACTTCCTGCTTGGATCTCATTGTCTATTGTTCAAAAAAGATATGTCGTCATTCCACAGTTATGCCCCAGATGTCTTGGAGATGTGGTTTGTTTAAAGAAGGATCCAGCCATAACTTCCGTTGTGTCTCCAGTTTTCTTATCTAAAACAGGCTCCTCTCCCCTACTTCCCCATTTTTGAACATTGATTTCTCGGAGACCAGACTTACAGAATGTTTTTGTTTTGCTTTTGTTTTGTATTGGCTTGATTCTTAATCGTTTTACTTGGCTTCTGTACTCCCCATGTCCTGTAAAGTACAAGTGACTTTCATACACTTAATTGAAATCGGGTGAATATGCCTGTCAGGAACAGTTTACAGATGTAATGTACATAGTACACTACATCAGAAACACATGATGTCCGGTTTATGTAAATTCCAAGTGATAGAAAAATCGCAAGTTTGGGCTGGGCACAGTGGCTCATGCCTCTATTCCGAGCACGTTGGGAGGGCAAGGTGGGTCGATCACCTGAGGTCAGGAGTTCAAGACTAGTCTGGCCAACATGGTGAACACCTGACTCTATTAAAAATAAAAAAATTAACTGGGCATGGTGGCAGGCACCTGTAATCCCAATTAATCAGGAGGCTGAAGCAGGAGAATCGCTTGAACCCAGGAGGAAGAGGTTGTAGTGAGCCAAGGTGGTACCACTGCACTCCAGCCTGGGCAACAGAGAAAGACTGCCAAAAAAATTAAAAAAAAAAAAAACCGTTGGTTTAGGGTGATAGTTCCATTGAAAATCAGATTTTTCTTCTAGCCAGCAAGTTGTCCGTAGGCTGATACTTTGAAATCAGGAAAATAAATAGTTACTTTGAATGTCATTTTTAAAAAGTGTGAGCTCGTGCATATATATGAAAAGCATCATGTTATTGGTGCTAAGGCACTAGTTCGAGGAGAAAAAGTTTTATGAGGATGTTAATGTAACAACAGCAACAAAAAGGAGCACATAGCATGTACCAAGCATTGTTCTATGCTCTGGGAATTACAGCAGTGAATGAGAAAGAACAAAACGATATGTGTGCATAGAATTTATATTTATTGGGTGGGGGTACACACACAAAATAAGTGAAACAGTGTGTCAGATGGTGCTGACTGCTATGAAGATCACTGAAGCAGGAAAAGGCATAGCATGTGGAGGGAAGAAGTGATATTTTAAATGATATGGTCTTGAAAAATTTTACTCATAAAGTGATAAAGAAAAAATACATTGAGAAAGTGAGAGAGTATTCTAAATAGAATACCCAGCAGGAAAGCATGGAGGTAAAAAGCAGGTATTATGACTGGAAAAAGGGGCAGAGGTGAGGCAGACAATGGAAGGCAGGACAAGGGACCCCTCCACACTTGTTTACTTGCTGTGCTGACTACAGCAGCACCCAGCTCCATAACCTTGCAGCCACTGAAGCTTCCGCTCATAAAATCAGCCAATCAGACATAAAAGAAATAGAACACTCTAACGACAAACATCCTCGCCATCAGCATAGGGACTTCCAAAAGACCTTCCCCAAATGAACATGTGCTATAGGGACTTTGATTATCCTAACCTAACTTTTGCATCATGTTAATGATAAAATTCATACCCCTGCGTGGAGATTTAAGCTGCCAATGAGACCTGAGACACAGGAAAAAGCATGACAAGGGACTGCAAAGGTGTATCCAACAGACCACCCCAAACATGCCATGATGTCACCTAGACGAAGCTCACAGAAGAATAACAAACTAGACTAGCTTGCTTTCAAGGAGCCAGCTGCAAGTATACCTCTGGTTGCTGTCTCCCTTTCTGCTCAAGCCGAAAGCCCTAATAAACTTCCTTGCTCAAGTCCATCTTAGATTCTTGGTCGATTTCTATTTTCTGAGGGTCAAGAACCCACTGCCAGTATCAGACAGGGTGCAAAGAAAAAGCAAATATGATCTGCGAGGCAAATGGAGACGAGTCTCTATATGGCCTTGCAGACCAGTGTGACTACTGTTTTACTCTGAGTGAGATGGGAGCCACTGCAAGGGTTTGATCGGAGAACTGACATAATCTGATTTATAGACACACACACACACACACACATACACATATATATATATATTTTTTTTTTTTTTTTTTTGAGACAGAGTCTCAGTCTGTCGCCCAGGCTGGAGTGCAGTGGCGCAATCTCGGCTCACTGCAACCTCAGCCTCCCAGGTTCCAGTGATTCTCCTGCCTCAGCCTCCCAAGTAGCTGGGACTACAGGTGTGTGCCACCACGCCCAGCTAATTTTTTGTATGTTTAGTAGAGATGAGGTTTCACCGTTTTAGCCCGGATGGTCTTGATCTCCTGACCTCGTGATTTGCCCACCTCAGCCTCCCAAAGGGCTGGGATTACAGGCGTGAGCCACCACACCGGGCCTGATTTTTATTTTTTTAATGAGCTATCTGGATGCCTGATGAAGAATAAACTATGATGAGACCAGGATAGGAGCAAGGAGACCAGTTCGGAGGGTACCACAGTAATGCAGTTGAGATGGCAGTGGCTTGGACCAGTGTGTTAGTGGTAGAGGCTGTGAAAAGTGGTTGGATTCTATATATATTTTGAAGTAAGGTTCATAGTTCTTTTCTGAGCTACTGAATGTGTAGAGTATGAAAGACAGACCAAAATGTATGGATGATTCCAATGATTTTGCCAAAGCAACTGGAACTGGAGGTATCAATTGCTAAAATGTGGAAAAATAAGGAACAAGTTTTGGAGAGGATTCAAATTCTTAGTTTTGGATATCCAGAGAGAATTTAAGATGCCTGTTACATATCTAAGAGAAAGATATGAAAGATATGAAATAGGCAGTTGGCTATAAAAACCTGCAGGTTAGAAAAGAAACATGGAGATATAATTCACAGTCGTCAAACCATAATTGCCGTAAGAGTGAAAAAGCCACAAGATGGGATTAAATATCTTAAGAAAGAAGGTAGATAATAAAGAGAAAAAGTTTTGGGTCAAAGAAGTAAAGAGTGTTTTTTTGTATACATGACATGTGAATTCCTAACTTACAGTTTTACAATTTCTTTCTCCAGTAATTTTCCTTTTCTCCTGTAATTTTCAGAACAAACAATAAATATTATCCCTATTTTACAAATGTGGAAAAATTCCCTTACTAATAAGAGTATGAAATAACACTGGAATCCTCACTTAAATAATCTATTAAAGTTAGAGCCATGGGGAGATCACTTTGGAGATCCAGTTATAGATATTCACAGTTTTTCCAAAATACACCCACTCTCACCACATATTTGGGGACATTTGAATCCCCTGATGCAATTCTATGTGTTCTCAGGCATCCTGAAGCCTATTCGTGGAAACCAGCTTCAGAGCTCTGTATCTGATGCTGCCTTTTCTCTTCCCTTAGCACTGCCACTTCTGATGGCTCTGAGAAGATGGACCTGGAGAATGAAAATCTCCATCTGATTCTTTTGAACTGATATTTCCTTGTTGCTGTGGAGATACTATATATATATATTTATGTCATGAACACTAAATGACCAGCCTACAGCGTTGTACTCCATACTCAGAGACCCTGTTATTTACTTGAAAGTCCAATTAATATGAACTTCAAATTTCAACAGAATCTCGTTATCTTTGCCAAACAGCTAATCTCATCATCTTGAAATTGGTGAATGGCATTTATACACTTTTAGTTGGAATCATCTCTTTTTCTTTCACATCCTACATAATAATCTATCAGTAAGTTCTATGAGCTCTTCCTTGAAAACACAAACAGAATTCAACCATTTCTCATTCCCACTGCTGCTACTCTGGTCAAGCCCTGCCATCTCCTACCTTTATTATTGCAACACCATCATCACCTGGTTCTCCCAGAGGAATTCCAATAAAGGGCAATTCAGATCAGATGACTCCTCTGCTGAAACCCCCCCAAGTGGTTCTCATGTCACTTAATGAAAAACTCAAGGCCGGGAGCAGTGGCTCACGCCTGTAATCCCAGCACTTTGGGAGGCCGAGGCGGGCAGATCACGAGGTCGGGAGATCCAAACCATCCTGGCTAACACGGTGAAACCCCGTCTCTACCAAACATACAAAAAATTAGCCGGGCGCAGTGGCGGGCGCCTGTAGTCCCCAGCTACTCGGGAGGCTGAGGCAGGAGAATGGCGTGAACCCGGGAGCCGGAGCACGCAGTGAGCCGAGATAGCGTCACTGCACTCTGGCCTGGGCCAAAGAGCGAGACTCCGTCTCAACAACAACAACAAAAAAACACCTCAAGGTCCTTTCAGTGGGTTACAGCGCCACACTGTCTGATCCTTGTTACCTCTTTAGCCTCAAATCCCGCTACTCTTCCTCTCCTTCCTAGCCAACTCGACTAGTTCCTGGAACTTGCTAGAAGTACTCATCACTCTCAGGAAGGACGTACTAATGGTTCCCCTTGAGTGGTCCACTCAGCTTCTAGGTTTCTGCAGGTGTTGTTCACTCACTTCCTTCAGGTTTGTATTCAAATATCATAGTCTTCTTGAGGCTATCCATAACAACACTGTTTAGCATTACAACACCTCCCCACCGCCTCCCTCTATATTTTTTCCTGCCCTTGAGGAGCTTTCAGTCTATTTGGTCAGTCAAAACATGCCCTCATGGGAAGCAGAGCAGGAATTAAATATTATATAGAATGTCAGAAAAGAGGCCAGGCACAGTGGCTCACGCCTGTAAGCCCAGGAATTTGGGAGGCTAAGGTGGGTAGATCACATGAGGTCAGGAGTTCGAGACCAGCCTGACCAACATGGTGAAACACTGTCTCTACTAAAAATACAAGATTAGCCAGGCACAGTGGCTCACGCCTGTAAGCCCAGGAATTTGGGAGGCTAAGGTGGGTAGATCACATGAGGTCAGGAGTTCGAGACCAGCCTGACCAACATGGTGAAACACTGTCTCTACTAAAAATACAAGATTAGCCAGGCATGGTGGCACACGCCTGTAATCCCAGCTACTTGGGAGGCTGAGGCAGGAGAATTGCTTGAACTCAGAAAGTTCAGAAAATAGTATAAATCATGTCGGTATTGGAAGAGATGGTTGATGCTTGGACAAGTGGCTTGTTAGGCCAATGACAGGAATGTAGACTTTCTTCTGAACATCGGGAACCACGCAAAATCCCTTTCCTGACCCCTCAACTGTTCTGATTATGTAAAACAATTCTCATATCTTTTACAAAACTATTTCTTGCACTGAGTATATTGAATTCAAATTATGTGTTTAATTTATCTGAACAAGTGCCTGAATGGATATGAATAAAATAAATACAAATCTAAATGAATTTACAAATGATAAAATGAAATACTTCAGCGTACATGTGAAGTATTTCCTTTCCCTTGCAGAAAAGGAAAATATTTCAAGAAGAATCCCTTACAAAACAAGTCTCACAGGCCGGGCGCAGTGGCTCAAGCTTGTAATCCCAGCACTTTGGGAGGCCAAGGCAGGCAGATCACCTGAGGTCAGGAGTTCAAGATCAGGCTGGCCAACATGGTGAAAGCCCATCTCTACTAAAATACGAAAATTAGCCGGGCATGGTGGCACACATTTGGCCTGTAGTCCCAGCCACTTGGAAGGCTGAGGCAGGAGAATCACTCAAACCCGGGAAGTGGAAGTTGCAGTGAGCTGACATTGCACCACTGCACTCCAGCCTGGGCGACAGAGCGAGACTCCATCTGAAAAAAAAGGGAAAAAGGGAAAAAAAAATCGAGTCTTATATAGTAGCAGAGATTTTTGTTAAGTGCTCACTCTTTTTTCAGCATCTACAGACTTTTGGAGTATAAGGGGAGATTTCCTTTTTCATAACCAAATTTTTGCTATAAGCAATATTTCATAGTTTACAGAAGTTCTTTTTATAGAAGTTGAAGTGACTTTTCCACAAACATGTTTGTACATTATTTTTCTTGTTTCTTGTTTGTACTTCTAGATACATTTAAAATTGTAATAAATCGATATACAAGTTATAAAGAATAATATGATGGCCATGCTTGAACCCAATTGTCAATCAAATATATTTGTTATATCTGTTATATTTGTCATATTACCAAAAACTGCTTTGACCTCTTCTGTCATCTTCCTGCTACTGCCCCCAGAGGTAACCATGACCATAAATTATGTCACTTTCTGGCCTTAATCCTTCTTGTTCCTCTGTTCCTTACAGTCATTTTGTACTTTTTAAATTAGCCTTCCCATTTGATCCTCTTTGAGGTCATTAGGACATTATTTCATAAACATGAACATGTGCTCAGAGTCACACATATTATTAGGTGGTTCACAAATACTTCTTAGTCTATTTTTTCCTGGTTTATTTCCTTTTATGCTAGGATATTCTATTCTCTTGATTTTCGATTTCTTTAGTCAGCGTATCTTAAATTTACTCTATTCATTTGTATATTGCATAGGATAATAGCTGGTATGTAGTTGGTGCTCAATAATTACTTGTGGAATAAATTAATTTTTCTTAACATACAGCAGGGAGACTTGGAGAGGAAAGGGCCTAGGGAGAGTTTCCTATTTCTTTTTTTTTTTTTTTTTTTTTTTTTTTTTGAGACGGAGTCTCACTCTGTCGCCCAGGCTGGAGTGCAGTGGCACGATCTCGGCTCACTGCAAGCTCCGCCTCCCGGGTTCACGCCATTCTCCTGCCTCAGCCTCCCGAGTAGCTGGGACTACAGGCGCCCGCTACAACGCCCGGCTAATTTTTTGTATTTTTAGTAGAGACGGGGTTTCACCGTGTTAGCCAGGATGGTCTCGATCTCCTGACCTCGTGATCCGCCCGCCTCGGCCTCCCAAAGTGCTGGGATTACAGGCGTGAGCCACCGCGCCCGGCCGAGTTTCCTATTTCTTAACCACACCATTGATAGTTTGGGATAGAGACAAATAGAGAAAGTTATCTTTAGAGGAGCTGTCTGTTGCACCAAAAAAAAAAATGTAACAGCACTGTTAACATCTTGGCATTGACCCTTATAGTCACTCTTTTTTCCTAAAACTATATGTGTGTGTGTGTGTGTGTGTGTGTGTGTGTGTGTGACATCATGTAAATAAGAATACACTACTTGGCAACTTGGATTTACCCCATACAATGCCATGAGCATATTTTATGTCGTTTTTTTTAAAGCATTCTTTTTAACAGCTGCATAATATTCCATTAGGGATAAAACCTAGTTTTAGGCAAAGTCCAACTCTTCAACATTAGTATTTCCAGTTGTTAGCCACAGTAAACAAAAATATGGACAATATTAACAAAATTAGAAGTTAAAATCAATGAGTTTGTATATTTTTAAATATTTGCAGAAAAGAAAAGGGAGTAGTCTGGAATGGGGACTAGATTTCAAACTTGGATGAGTAAGTGAAGCCAGGTAGAGTATCATAAGGTCTGTCTTGGTTGTGCTGAGTTTCAGATGCCTGTGAAATACTTATTTCATGTACTATTTAGAAGCCTAATCACCATAATTTTTGATATTGACTGAATTGCCTGACTGAAATCCAAGTCAGCCCACAATTCAAACATTGAAGTCCAATACCAACTACTTGAAAATGTGACTATTTGGAGATAAGGTCTTTAAAGGTGTAAAATGAGGTTTTAAGGGTAGGTCCTAATCTATTCTGACTGCTGTCCTTATAAGATGATATTAAAACACAACCCACACACACACAGGGAAGACCAGAGAGGGGAAAACCCAAGGAGAGTGGCCCCAGAAAAAATCAATCATGCTCACTGGTTTGATCTTGAACTTGTAGCCTTCAGAATTGTGACAAAATTAATTTTTTTAAGCCACACAGTCTTTGGTAGTTTGTTTTGGCAGCCCTAGCGAACACACTTCTCAAACATTTTCATTCTGGGAATACTTTTCTCCACACCTTTTCTATGTTATGCTAGCTTTTGTACTCCACAAAGACAAACACACAGAACACAGATGCACACCCACCCCTACTGTATGTTGTAGGGGAGGAAAGAGCGTTTCCTTTTACCCATCTTATGTTCATTGGCTGGGGCCCTGAAACAAAATACAGATTAACAACAGAAAAATATACACTTTATTTTTATTTTGATTTATTTATTTATTTTTGAGACGGAGTCTTGCTCTGTCGCCCATGCTGGAGTGCAGTTGCCCGATCTTGGCTCACGGCAAGCTCCACCTCCCGGCTTCATGGCATTCTCCTGCCGCAGTCTCCCGAGTAGCTGGGACTACAGGTGCCCGCCACCACACCCGGCTAATTTTTTTCAATTTTCAGTAGAGACGGGGTTTCACCGTGTTAGCCAGGATGGTCTCGATCTCCTGACCTCGTGATCCGCCCGCCTCGGCCTCCCAAAGTGCTGGGATTACAGGCGTGAGCCGGCGTGAGCCACCGCGCCCGGCCAAGAGAAAAACATTCACATTTAATATGAAGTTTTACATGACATAAGGAAATAAGGACCTGAAGAAGGGCTTAAACCTGAGTGTGTTTGCACTAGGTTTGATGAAGAGAGTCATGCAGAAATATAACAAGACAAAAATAATATGAGCTAAGGATAATAAACAAGGAGAAATCTAGCAAGGTTTATTTGTTCAGATTCCTCGCATACTCTGCAAGACTCCCAGGAGGGTCTTAAGACCTGCTTCAGAGGAAGGTCATACGAACATTCTTGTCTATGTTGTTCTACTAATGTCTTAGAATATTTACTATGTCAAGGCGCCATACTTTGGAGTACTATGTTGTCAGAAACCTGAGGTTGCTCATGGAGTACTATGGAGTAGTGACCTTTTTTTTTTTTTTGGTCCCATTTTAGAAATTTGATTAATGAGTATAAACTAATGGTTTCTATGTTTGAGACGGAGTTTCGTTCTTGTTGTCCAGGCTGGAATGAAATGGCGGGATCTTGGCTCACTGCAACCCCCGCCTCCCGGTTTCAAGCGTTTCTCCTGCCTCAGTCTCCGAAGTAGCTGGGGTAACATAGGCATGCGCCACCACGCCCGGCTAATTTTGTTATTTTTAGTAGATACGGGGTTTCACCATGTGGGTCAGGCTGTTTTTGAACTCCTGACCTCAAGTGATCCACCAGCCTCGCCTCCCAAAATGCTGGGATTACAGGCGAGAGCCACTGCGCCCAGCCAGCCAAAACTGTAATTTTTTTTTTTTTTTTTTTTTTTTTTTTTTTATGAGATGGAATCTAGCTCTTTCGCCCAGGATGGAGTGCAGTGGCGCGATCTCTGATCACTGCAACCTCCGCCTCCCGGGTTCAAGTGACTCTCCAGCCTCAGCTTCCAGAGTAGCTGAAACTACAGGTGAGTGCCACCACGCCCGGCTAATTTTGTTTGTATTTTTTTAGTAGAGACAGGGTTTCACAGTGTTAGCCAGGATGGTCTCGACCTCCTGACCTCGTGATCCGCCCGTCTCGGCCTCCCAAAGTGATGGGATTAGAGGCGTGAGCCACCGCGCACGGCGGAAAACGAGATTTTTTAGATCAACTTTACATTGCCAATGCCCATGGTATTCCCTCCACAACAAACTCCACAAGAGTGCTCAGAAAAGTCAAACTTGTTATCAGGTGATCTTTAGGGACCCAAAGACTACTCTTCCTACCCTTTCCAGTGTTGCCCAGGCTGGAATTGCACTAGCGTATTCACATGTTCCTGCAGTCTCTAGCCCGAGAGTTTAAGCTATCCTACCACCTCAGCCTACCGAGTAAATGATAGTACAGACGCAAGCCGTCACACCTGGTTAGCTTCATTTTTTTGCAGAGACGAGTTCTATGTTGCCCAGGCAAATCTGTTAACTCCTGAGCTGAAGAAAGCCTCATGCATCGACCTCCCAAAGTGCTAGGATTACAGGATCTTGCCAACACAGAACAGGAGTATCTCCTGATCAATTTTTTTTGAGACGAAGCCTCGCCTTTGTCGCCCAGGCTAGAATGCAAAAGCGCCATGTCTTTTCACTGCAACCTTTGCTTGCTGGGTTTAAGTGATTCTCCTGCGGCAGCCTCCCGAGTCTCTGGGATGACACGCGACTGCCCCACGCCCGGCTAATATTTGTATTTTTAGTAGAAACGAGATTTAACCACGTTAGCCAAACTGGTCTCGATCCGCACGCCTCGGCCTCCCAAAGTGCTGGGATTACAAAATCGGAAAAATTATTCCCTAGAAAACGGTGAAATTCAATATTAAAGCTCTTTATGTGAGACTTGAGTGGCTCTGAAAAGAGCCTTTGAGTTTTAAAGCACCTAAGCACACATTTACTTGGAGCTTGTATACTTGGTGACAGCCTTGGTACCTTCGGACACTGCGTGCTTGGCCAGCTCTCCGGGAAGCAGCAGACGCACGGCGGTCTGGATCTCCCTGGAGGTAATGGTCGAGCGCTTGTTGTAGTGGGCCAGACGGGAAGCCTCGCCTGCGATGCGTTCGAAGATGTCGTTAACGAAGGAATTCATGATGCCCATGGCCTTGGATGAGATGCCAGTATCGGGGTGAACCTGTTTTAGCACCTTGTACACATACACGGAGTAGCTCTCCTTACGACTGCGCTTGCGCTTCTTGCCATCCTTCTTCTGCGCCTTGGTCACAGCCTTCTTGGAACCCTTCTTCGGAGCAGGAGCTGACTTAGCTGGTTCAGGCATGCTGTCAGAAAACAATAACAGCAGTGAGAATGAACGCACTTAAATAAAAGCTCGTGTCTAGAGTCTCTCCTTTTATAGGCCTTTCATGCAAATAAAGAATTCAAAATATCCAGCTCTGATTGGGCAATGTGTTAGTGACGCATACATGTAAAATAGCCTTCACCTTATTTCCTTTCTAATTGGTTGGCTCGTCAAAGAACAATTTTAACCAATCAAATTGCGCCTTTCACAATTCTACCGATGACTATAACTAGCTTCTTATTCCTCCATCGAGCCCATTCTTTTTCTTTATTCAGTGGATTGTTAGTTCTTCTGCTGTTAGGAAGCCACTATGTCTGGACGTGGAAAGCAAGGCGGCAAAGCTCGGGCAAAAGCTAAAACGCGTTCTTCCAGGGCCGGTCTTCAGTTTCCAGTTGGCCGTGTGCACCGCCTCCTCCGCAAAGGCAACTACTCCGAACGAGTCGGGGCCGGCGCTCCAGTGTACCTGGCAGCGGTGCTGGAATATCTGACGGCCGAGATCTTAGAGCTAGCTGGCAACGCGGCTCGCGACAATAAGAAGACCCGCATCATCCCGCGCCACCTGCAGCTAGCCATCCGCAACGACGAGGAGCTAAATAAGCTTCTAGGTCGCGTGACCATCGCGCAGGGCGGTGTCCTGCCCAACATCCAGGCCGTATTGCTGCCTAAGAAGACGGAGAGCCACCATAAGGCCAAGGGCAAGTGAAATGATTACTAGTCAAATCCGTCAGTGATCCCGAGTCCCAGAAACCAAAGGCTCTTTTCAGAGCCACCCACCTTTTCTGTAAAGTGCTGGAATACACATACGATGCCTGAAATCTCAATGTTCACTGTCCTAATTTTTAACGAACGCTTCTGACGTTACTGGTCAGTTCTTTATTGAAATCCTTGCTCACATTTCATGCACTAATTTATCTTACTGGTGTTTCTTTGCAGTAAAAATGCGTTTATAAAGGTATACAAGAATAGAAACCGAGGTTGTGACACCAAGGTTTCACTGCGTTATTTTGTGTATAGGTCCATGCTGTGTATACAAATTTATCATTAATACACAGGCTGTTTATTCATGTGCACTTGTCAGAAAAGGGTGAAATATTAATACAGAAACGAGAGAACAAAGAAGGATAGCTGCCCATTAGCATTTCAGGGCGGGCTTTTTAAGTTTTAAAGATGACTGCATTCCGGCTGGGCTCAGTGGCTCATGCCTGTAATCCCAACACTTTGGGAGGCCAAGGAGGGCGGATCATAGGGTCAGGAGTTCGAAATCAGCCTGCCCAACATAATGAAAGCCCGTCTCTACTAAACAAATACAAAAAGTAGCCGGGCGTGGTGGTGTGCATCTGTAGTCCCAGCAACTTGGGAGGCTGAGGCAGGAGAATCGCTTGACTCCGGGAGGCAGAGGCTGCAGTGAGCCGAGATCACGCTATTGCACTCCAGCCTGGGTAACAGAGCAAGACTACGTCTCAAAAAAAAAAAAAAAAAAAAAGACTACATTCCTCTAGTGAGAATTGTGTTTGTTGGATTTCTCTTTTCAAAAGGAGCAATTAACACAGTATTCTAAAATAAACACTAAACGAAACTAAGCAGTAACGGCCTGACGCCCTAGGTCAGACCTGTAATCCCAGCAATTTGAAAGACTAAGGCAGAAGAATCGCTTGAGCCCAGGAGATCAAGACCAGCCTGGGCAATAAAGCGAGACAGCCCCCTCACCTCCACAAAAAGTAAAAAGCCTGCCCTGCCCGGTGGCTCATGCCTATAATCCCAGCACTTTGGGAGGCCGAGATGGGCGGATCACTTGAGGTCAGGAGTTCGAGGCCAGCCTGGCCAACGTGGCAAAACCCTGTTTCTACTAAACATACAAAAAAATTAGCCAGGCATGGCGGTGGGCTCCTGAAATCCCAGCTACTCGGGAGGCTGAGGCAGGAGAATCGCTTGAACCCGGGAGGCGGGGGTTGCAGTGAGCCAAGATCATGCCATTGCACTCCAGCCTGGACAATAGAGCGAGACTCCGTCGTCTCAAAAAAAAAAAAGAAAAGAAAAGAAAAAGCCTGGCCTGGTGGCTCAGTCTGAGATCTTAGATACTTGGGAGAATTACGCGGGGAAGGATTGATTGAGCCCAGGAGTTCGAAGCTGCAGCGAGCTATGGGGGGCAAAGCAAGATCCTGTTTAGGAAAGGAAAAAAAAAAAAAAACAAAAAAAACCCAGCAGCAAAAACTTAGTTTTATGACCTAAATTTATAAATGGACTACACTGTAAAGCACAATTAATTATTCAACTTTAGTAGAAATCCAGTCACATTTCTCTGTAAAAAATCTCAAATCTAATTGGATCACACACCAGGCCCTATAAAGAGAAGTGATCTGTAAATCTGATATGAAAGGTCATGGCCTGCACCAAGCCAACCACACGGAAGTCCACTGGTGGCAGACAGCCTCCTAAGCAGCTGGCCACCAAGGCAGCCAGCAAGAGCACTCTGGCCACCAGCAGCTTGAAGGTGTCCCTCAGATATAGGCCCTGAATCATGCTGAAATTCATCGCTACCAGAAGTCACTGAGCTACTTAAGGGAAAAGCTGCCCTTTCTTAAATGTTAGGACAAGGTTGCTGAATGAGATTATTAAAAAAATTAATGCCCCTAGGGTTCTAAATAATTGCAGTTATATGTGTTCCACTGAACAGAAGTTATTGGCATCACAAATAATTTGCATCAAAAATAATTTCTGGTGATACAAATAACAGAAATTATTTGCATCACCAGACAAAAGCCTCCAAGAAGTAACTTCGATAGTTTGATACCTTTAATCAATGGTAAATTGTGAGATGATGTAAGCACATTTCCCTGCAAACTTTGTAAAAACTATAAATTTTTTATAGTGGGATACATTCTTCCCCCTCCCTTTTTTCCTCACAAGTCTTACAATGTTTCTTAAATAAAATTTTCACTAAAACACGATTAAAATATAGCAATTGCAAGATAAATGTCTATGAAGCCCCATAGTATAACTCCCTGACATTCTTTACTCAATCAAATTGGGGCTCAGAAACAATACCCCAAAATGAAGGCCAAAGAAGCAACCTCAGAAGCAAAATTTTTCTGTGACTTTCTCCTGCCCTCTTGTCTCTCAGTCCCATTCTCCCCTGAGGCTAGACATAGAAACTAGAATTCCGGTTTCCCAAGGTGGCTTATGACAACCAGAATCCTTTTTCCCCAAAGCCAACCACAAAAACTAAAAATATTACTCTAACTTCCCTTCCAACTTTTCGTGTAAAAACTGGACACAGAGAAATTATTTGATCCACCTTGTTTAATTGCAGGTCATAAGACCCCATTCCAGAGATGGAGCTGTCCCATACCCAATACCCAGAAGGAAGGAATGCATGTTCAAAGAGGTGAGGGATGAAATGAAAATTCTAAACCCCTTTGACAGAATAATGGACCCTCCTTTGGCTAAAAGACCCCAAAAGTTTAAGTTCCCAGGCATGACAGGATGGAGGCTGCACATCCTGTTTGTTTCTACCCCTCTTCCCCTTTCTAATCACTGCTAGATTTTCTCAAAGTCCGATTTGAGGGAATAATACACCGGAAAGCCCTTTTACTTACTTTATCTGGCCTCTTCCACCCTCCTCCATGGTGGTCCAGACAAGACAGATATTAAGGACCATAGAGTTTCTTGATAAATGACTGCAGGCCCACAACTGGTTGTGACCAGTCTCCTGAGAATGCAGATCATGGACTTCTGCCCTACATTTCAGTTTTATATATAGGACCTAATTATAACTCATTTAAATGTTAAATCTTCACCCCAAAGTGATCATGGGACATATCTTACATACATGTAAACCTAATACACATCTGATTGGGTGTCCTTCATGAATATTCATAGCTCCTCCTATAACCTGTTGAATATGTATATTTCTCCAACCCAATCCTCAAAAATTCCTGTTTTATCCCTCCCTGCTTCCCTCCAAGTGCCTGTCTCTCAGCAAACCAAAGCTACCCTTCCCAGCCTGTCAGAATGGCCACCTTGCAGGCTGCAACTCTTTGAGAAATAAAGCTCCTTTGCAAATGTATGAACCTTCTCATTCTTCAGTTGACAGAGGCCAAGAAGAGTCTAGACAAACAGGCCTTGCTGGGTTTCTCCACTCGGTTTATTAACGTTTCATCATACCCTTTTTATCCAATCAAATTTCTACAAGGTTGTCCATATGTTGTTGAACCTAAGCATAGAATTGGACAATTTTTCCTGTATCTTTGTGTTTTCATCCTAAAGGCTCCCTTGAAGACGTTAATAAATTTGTGTAACTTTTCTCCAATTAATCTGCCTTTTGCAAGCTAATCTTACAGCAAAGCTTCAGAGCTCGCCTTGGCTCCTATATAATAATAAACACTTTAACTTTTTATTCTTTTTAGACTTCAAAGTAATTGACCTGATGTTCTCATCCGAGTTTTTCTTGGAGCTTATGTAGCTTCCAGGAATAGCAAATTATTTTCCGGACTTTCTTCTTTTCATGAAATGGCATTGTGCTTCCACAGTGATTTCTCTTCCCCTTTTTTTAAACACCAGAATTAGCAGTTGTAGAGGCTGTCCCTCAAAAATATATGATCGAGGGGAAAATATTCATATAACATTTCTTTTTTTGTTGTTTTGTTTTGTTTTTTTTTTTTCATTTTTGGGTCATGCTCTGTTGCCCAGACTGGGTTGCAGTCTCACAATTATGACTCACTGCAGCCTCAAATTCCTAGCCTCAAGCAATCCTCCTAACTCAGCCTCCTGGGTCACTGGCATTATCGGACTGAGCCACTGTGCCCGGCTAAAAGAATTTCAAATACTGTCCACTTACTGATATTTTGCTATGGAAAAATTCAAACATCAATAATTTTGCTAGTTGCCCACCTCTTCTTGCGTCATTGAGTAATGGCTTAACAAGCCCCCTTAGCTCTCTAACACAACTGTATAGACATATAGATGTAGATATAAATATAGATATTGATTTATTGTAAATAAAGTCCAGATGCTATAACTGGGTTCATAGAAATATATTGAATGTACTCATTGTTTCAAGGCCTATGCTGTCAAGATATGGTAAAGAATCAAGAAACAGAGAAGAGAAATGAAGAATCCTGGAACAGTGCTATCTACAAAGAATAATGCAAGCCACGGCCAGATGCGGTGGCTCATGCTTGTAATCCCAGCACTTTGGGAGGCCAAGGCAGGTGGATCACCTGAGGTCAGGAGTTCAAGATCAGCCTGGCCAAAATGGTGAAACTCCCCCCATCTCCACTAAAAATACCAAAACTACCTGGGTGTGGTGGCTGGTGCCTGTAATCCCAGCTACTCAGGAGGCTGAGGCAGGAAAATCGCTGGAACCGGAGAGGCAGAGGTTGCAGTAAGCTAAGACGGCAGCACTGCACTGCAGCCTGGGTGACAGAGCAAGACTCTGCCTCAAAAAAAAAATAAAAATAAAAAAGAATAATGCAAGCCACATATGTAATTTTGAATTTTCCAGTAAGCACATTTTAAAAATTAATAAGCAGGTAAAAGAATTTTAATAATTATTGTATTTAAAACAAAATACAAAATAATTATTTCAAAATATAGTCAATATAAAAACATTATTAATGCAATATTTCACATTCTTTTTTAAATCTTAAGTCTTCTAAATATGAGGGACATCCTATTCAATTTGATATTACATTTTTGTTGGAAATAAATGGAATTTCATTTTGATTTCATAAATTTCAGTGCTGAAAAATAAAATTCATATATCTGATTGTTTAAAACATATCTAACATTTTCCAATAACTGAAGTATCAGCCTTTGAATTAAAATAATGAAAAGTAAAATAAAAATTCAGGCCGGGCACAGTGGCTCACGGCTATAATCCCAGCACTTTGGGAGGCCGAGGTGGATGGATTACTTAAGGTCAGGAAATCGAGACCAGCCTAGCCAACATGATGAAACCCCGTTTCTACTAAAAATACCTCCACCCCACCCCCCCCAAAAAAATAAGCCGGGCATGGTGACAAGCACCTGTAACTACAGCTACTCTGGAGACTGAGGCAGGAGAATCGCTTAAACTCGGGAGGTGGAGCTAACAGTGAGCTGAGATCACCCCACTGCACTCCATCCTGAGTGACAGAGCAAGACTCCTTCTCAAAAAAAAAAGAAAGTCAGTCCTCAGCAGCAACAACCACATTTCAAATGCTCAGTAGCCACAACTGGTTTCTGACTGTTTTATCACATAACACAGATCCTATGGGAAATTGTGTTCAGGTATGGAAATAGTGATGGAAATTACTGATTAATACAAGTGAGCTGCTAAGTTCTTATGTAATCATGTAAATTTTGCACTGACTTCTAAAATAAAGCTTTACACATATTTAGAGATGAGGATTATGAAAGGAACTGAAGGTAGGTTCCAATGGCAAAACACCGGATTGACAGATTTAAGAACACTGGGGAGGAAATAGAACTATGGGGCATAAAGATGGAATTTCCTTAATGGTTCTCACTGACTGTGACCTAAAGTTTATCTTTTGATTTTGGAAACATTTTTTAGATGTAGATATTAACATTCTAATAATAGAAATGAAAAAACTAAAATGAAAATGAGAAAACAGAAGATAATATCAATAAACAGGTCTTGGGCCTCAGAAGATGAGATGTAGGGAGTGTGGAGAGGAAAAGCACAGGGGGTGCATAGCTCTCATTAACAAACGGCCCAGCCCACAAATACGTAATCATATTATACAAAAGGATTTCAGTTCTTCCCTTGCTTCCTATGAAACAATTTTGCCAACATACCTAACCGTTTTACCGTGATTTAAAGTGTACAGAATTTTCTTTTTCTGAAAAGGAGAGAAGCAAGGGACTCATATATATTTCAGATGTGAGATTGAAACGCACGACAATGTGTAATTTCAGTCAAGACTTGCCCACGAGTCCTAAGATAATTCAAATTTGCAAAATAGACACTAACTTGAAAGGTGCAATTGTATCAATCCTGTGGTTAGCAGAATTTTGATGAATGCCCTAAAATAGGGCAGGTTTAACAGAATTCAGGGAATGAGCAGGAATGCACAAAGCATCCTTTGTCTCCTCTCCACTCCAGCTTGCAGACATCCGCGGGCATTTGCGGGCAGTGATAAATTTGGTTTAGCCGTTTCCCCTCCCTGGAGGACGGGGGCTCCAGCATATTCATGATGTCAATCGCCTTGGACTACATGCCAGCGTCATTGCGAACCTGCTACACTTTACAAAATAGCTTTCCAATGAGAAAGAAAACCTACTGGGAAAGAAAAACAAAAAGAAACTAGACCTTGCAACGGGCACGCACGCGCACTATCCCTCTCTGAAATATTTATAGTACGCTTACACAAACGCGAACTTGTAAATCAAAACTCTGCCTGAACCAAAGTAGCCAATAGATTAAAAGTATGTAAATTAGGAATTCCCAAACTGCTCTTTTTATTGGCTAGGAAAAGAACACCTTACAGGGAATCCGATAGGTTAATTCACAATAGTGTTAGGCTGTAATGTCATTCTTTAAGAATCTTTTCCAGTAAACATTTGTTACTTTTTCAAAGTAATTGGGAGCTGTTGAGTGTGGAAGCGAAAACCAAGTTAAGAAGTCCTGTTATTTGGGTGAGTCCAGTTCCTATAAAAGTTCTGTTGGATGTGTCTTAAATTGTTCGGTGCACCTCAGCTCTCTCCCGCAGGGATCCGGAGAAACTGCGCCATTGTTGTCTTACAGAGAAACAACCTTCTAACACTCTCTTCGCCGCCATCTTTTTCAAGATTTTAAATTGAAAATACTTTTTTTGACGGCTCTTGCCATTATGTCTGGACGTTTTAATTTCAACAAAACGAAATAATAGTGTTAAGTTCTTTGAGTCAAACCCGATATTACAGAGGTAGGGATTCCAGGATATTAGAATTTTACTATAACACAAATGAAACACAAAGTTCCTTATGCTTAACAGTGTATCTTAGAAAACCTTGTTTGAGTGAATTAGCCTTGTACTCTATAATGAAACGAGGAATCATTGAGAGATACTTAGGCAACGGATTTTAAATGAGTGAATAAGGAAGGGAAAAACTTCAGGAAAATGCAGAAAAAAGCAGCGGAGATTTTGGAAAAAAAATTCTAAAGCACTTTCTAACGCAAACACATTCGATTTTTTATAGCTAAACAGGATAACAGATCAGTCTATTAAGTTAAATGATCAATGTCTTTGCAGGTCATGGTCTACGTGAAACATCAAAGAAACCTGTAACGGAAAACGACTTGTTTGAAAGAGCCAGTTCTCTATCCAAATTTACCAATCAGAATCTTGCACTGAAAAAATAAACCAATCGTGAATCTCTACGGCCACTTCCGGAATTTAGCAACCGATCACTAACAGGGATCGTCCACAATCCAATCAGAGTGATTCTGTTCCTATATAGAGGGGCAAACCAATCTTCCTAACTCATTTACTTTGCAGATGAACTATGGCGCGTACTAAGCAGACGGCTCGTAAATCCACAGGCGGTAAAGCACCGCGCAAACAGCTGGCCACTAAGGCAGCTCGCAAGAGCGCTCCGGCCACGGGCGGCGTGAAGAAGCCCCATCGCTACCGCCCTGGCACCGTGGCTCTGCGCGAGATCCGTCGCTACCAGAAGTCTACCGAGCTTCTAATCCGGAAGCTGCCGTTTCAGCGCCTGGTGCGAGAAATAGCTCAGGACTTCAAGACCGACCTGCGCTTCCAGAGTTCCGCGGTGATGGCGCTGCAGGAGGCCTGCGAGGCCTACTTGGTGGGGCTTTTCGAGGACACCAACCTGTGCGCTATTCATGCCAAACGCGTGACCATCATGCCTAAAGACATCCAGCTTGCCCGCCGCATTCGTGGGGAGAGGGCGTGAATTGTTTTGAGTACAAACCTTAAATCCAAAGGCTCTTCTCAGAGCCAACCACTTTGTCCGTGAAAAGGGCTGTAATCCTTTGAGACGCATTAGACCACTAAACTGCACTGATCCAAATAGACATTTGAAATAGTGGCATTCAGTTCCCTCGATGCTTCATTTAAATTTCCAAATTTAAGCGCTCCCTCAGGTTTTCGCCTAGGGCTGGGCCTCCCTACGCTGTTCTCCATTGGTTTAGCTGGCTTTGTTTTGCTGTTCAGGCCCTCTGCTGCTTTCTTGTACATTGTTCTCGTTTTCTAAACTCCTGGCCACTTAATTGTACCCTGCTTAACCCATCCTCTTGTTTTCTGGCTCAACGCTCTTTCATGTGGTGGCCTGCATTTTAGGTCTTAACTGCATAGGCTTTCAACGCCTTGGTTTTGCCTTTCCTTGATGTTTATTTGACCTTGCCCGAGGGGCCAGCGCTTTTGATCTGCATCAGGCTGCCTTACTCCACTAGTGTTTTGAGACCCAGCTACTTGCCGGCGACGGTCGGTGCCTTGGGTGCGGTCAACGTTACTCTCTGTGCGCCTGATACTGGTCTAAGGCTAAGGTTATTAGCTGGAACACCTAGACCCGTGGCACTAACACACAGCTCTTGCAGACTTGACAGCCTTGCATAGGTTCTAAACTGCAGGAGTCAAAGCAACGAAGGTGCAGATGGGTGTGTCTCAAACCTGAGTGCGAAAGGAAAATGCAGAAATCATGAGCCTTTTCAACTTTCCAGTTGATATCTTTTGTTTGCTTTTTTCTTTTCTTATTTATTTATTTATTTATTTATTTATTTATTTATTTATTTATTTTGAGACGGAGTTTCGCCCTTGTTGCCCAGGCTGGAGTGCATTGGCGCGATCTCGGCTCACCGCAACCTCCGCCTCCCGGGTTCAAGCGATTCTCCTGCCTCAGCCTTCCGAGTAGCTGGGATTACAGGCATGAGCCACCTCGCCCGGCCTTCCGGCTGATATCTTAAAAGAACTTTTCAACTTTAGTAAATACCCTGTCTTAATCAAATCTCATTAAAAGTACCCCATATTTATCAACAAAACATGAAAATCCTTGGACGGCTTCAAAGTTCTTACAGAAAATATTCTGCCTTTCCTTTCCATACAAAGGCACAGCTTCGAAACTGGTAGGTGAAGGGAAGGAAAATAAGGAATTCTGTTACGAAATCATACAGGCTGTTATTTGGAAATACAGAAGGGTGTATGTACTATATGGGATACTGCATGCTATTTGGAAGAATTTTGTTTATTTAAACATTTCAGCAAATTCCTCAGTTTTGATATGGGGTGCAGTATTTTTAACTCATTGAGAAATTTCTACTAACTTTTTTGAATGTGCTCTTTTCCCACTAGTTGCACTAAGGAAAGAGGTTAGTCATGTGGTAAAATTAATAGTGACAAAGCTGTAAATAGCTCTGCAGGCCAAGGTAGCCATAGTAAGAAGTCCTGGAGATTTATGGAAGAAATTTTTGTTCATGGAAGCCTGTCAGACATGAAGATGTGGGTCTTGTGAATTGGAGATTCAGTGCGTGAGGAAAACAGCCTAACTATCCATAATTAAGGTAACTACTGTCAGATATTTGTAACATAGTGAACATCCTATTATGCTAGATAGAAGCATTCTCTATTTGAATGTTGTTTCCTGTATCCTGTACTTTCTTTAAGATTCTAGCTCAACAAGTTTTAACCTGTATTTCTCTTACAGCTACTGGAATTCAGTACGTGAGGACTTGGACTTGGTGGGCACAGAATGCATCTTTTTATATCATTAAATCCACCAGAACATCTAGCATGGTCATTTGCCTAAAACAAAGCCTCTGGAAATTTAGTCAAGTTGAGATGTAAAATAAAAGATTACTGAACAGAATTTAACATTGAGTGCATTCCTATTTACAAAAATAAAAGATTAGATAAAGTTTATATAATTTTAATATATAGTTTTTCTAAATAGGAAAAATCCACACTTATTGAGTGGCTGCAATGGGCCAGAAGTCATGCAGTATTTTATGAAGCCTCCAAAAATGTAAGTTCAATAGTTATCTATTATCAAAAACAAATTTAAAAACTGAAACTAAGAAAATTTCAGATAGTGCTGGAGCCAAAACTTTCCCCACTAGGCATTACTGTTTTAAATAAACAGCCTCAGCAGAATCCTCATCAGTTACTCCTGAGGGCTTTATCACCTGGAAGAGCTACTAACATGTTTAAATTTTTCATACACAATAAAATAAATGGATGTTTTAAAATTTACAGGGTCTTAGGCCAGGCAGGGTGGCTCATGCCTGTAATCCCAGCACTTTGGGAGGCCAAGCCAGGCAGATCACCTAAAATCAGGAGTTCAAGACCAGCTTGGCCAATATGGATAAACCCCGTCTCTACTAAAAAAATACAAAAATTAGCCGGGCATGGTGGCACTTGCCTGTAATCCCAGCTACTTGGGATGCTGAGGCAAGGAGAATCACTTAAACCTAGGAGGCAGAGGCTGCAGTGAACTGAGACTATGCCACTCCACTCTAGGCTGGGTGACAAAGCAACATTCCATCTTAAAAAAATAATAACACCAGCCTGGCCAACATGGTGAAACACCATCTCTACTAAAAATACAAAAATTAGCTGGGCATGGTGGCAGACACCTGTAATCCCAGCTACTCAGGAGGCTGAGGCAGAAGAATCTTTGAACCTAGGAGGCAGAGCTGGCAGTGAGCTGAGATTGCACCACTGCACTGTAGCCTGGGTGACAGGGAGAGACTCCATCTCAAATAACAATACTAATAATAAGAAAATGAACTTTACAGGGTCTTATATGATTGTGAAGTTCTATTATATTATAATTAGTACTGCAAATTGCACAGAAATGTAACTGATGTACATACAGGAAAATATGACATTAACACTGACAAATTTTAGCCTTTCTGCATACTATTCAAATAGTAGCCTTGATTTAACCACACATACACAGGCAACTTTTTTCAAAGGCATACACTGAGATAGTAGTAAATAATACCAGATGTCTTTAAAATAAATTGTGATTTTATTTGGGGAAGATCTCAAATCTGACCCCTGTAAGATCATACTTTCTATGTACTTGTTGGTACACTATATAGTATATATCCATTTCACAGTTACATAGTTGCCTGCAAGTACTTATAATTAAAATAAAACAAGTATGTAATCTCTGAATAACCAATAGCTTCTTCATATTATAAAGATAATAGCTAAAACTCAAGACAATTCAGAAATCCCATTTTATTATTTCTCCATACTCACCCGACTCGACCTGCCAACAGTAAATATTGATATGTAACATTTTGGAGTTTGCAAGGCAACGGTGAAATTTTTTTTCTTTGTTTTTATTTTGTAGTTGCCCCCACTAAAAATTGTATATATATAAAATGGTATACTTCCGAAGATAAGGTAGTCTGTAAATCAGGCCATGGAAACAAGGGTCATGAAAGGGGCAGAGAAATTTGTTACTCTTCTTTTCCCACACAGGAAAACAGAAAATGAAACCACTGAATTTGATGAGTATCTGACAATAATGTAACCCAACTGATGGAATTTTTTAATTCAGACACACACACACACACACACACACGCCCCTAGAGTAGTGGAAAATAAGACAAATGCTCTAGAGTTCAGTTTAGTTAATGGGAGAAAATAATAGATGCATTAAAATTTTTCTATTGATAATAATTGTTCTCAACTATTAAATGTCATGAAAGCACATTTTCAGAGATAAGTTTATGTTTTGAATTAGAGGGATTTTTGCATGGAGATGTAATTTCAGAAGGAATTGGAAGTATTAGAAAGATTCTCACAGGGAATTGTTCCTGAACAAAGTTGTAAAAAATAATAATAATAATAATAATAATAAAGAAGAAGAAGAAGAAGAAGAAATAGAAAGATTACATTGTTATAGTGTCTGTGAGTGCCAGCAGAGAGTATTATGAAAAGGGGCTAAGATGCTACAGGGCTTTCCCTTGAACCTATGAGAAGCCAGTGACTTTTTTCATAAGGCATATTTGGTTTTTGTTTTTGAAAATGGGCCGGGCGTGGTGGCTGACACCTGTAATCCTAGCACTTTGAGAGGCCGAGGTGGACAAATCACCTGAGATCAGGAGTTTGAGACCAGCCTGAACAACATGGTGAAACCCCCTCTCTACTAAAAATACAAAAACAAATTAGCCAGGTATGGTAGCGTGTGACTGTAATCCCAGCTACCCGGGAGAGTGAGGCAAGAGAATCACTGGAACCCAGAAGGCGGAGGCTGCAGTGAGCTGAGATCGAGCCACTGCACTCCAGCCTGGGCGACAGAGCAAGACTCTGTCTCAAAAAATAAAATAAATAAATAAATAAATAAATAAATAAATAAATAAAGAGTTAAGAATTTAGAAATTGGAGGCTAGAGAAATTAGGGAAATAGTAAGCATTGGAATAATCCCAGCTATGAGAGAATGAAGAGAGAATGTAGACGGGAGAATATGTCAGAATTATTGAGGATTCTTTAAAAATCAACCTGATTTAGTGACTGTGTTAACAGGGATGATTGAGGCCTCCCCACAATACCATGAAATTCTGCATCCTCCAGTTAAAGTAGTGACTTCAGGTTGATCCTAAAAATTACCTTTGTGTCAGACCTATGCCATACACGTAAGTACTCTCCAACAGCTAAGATAATATGAAAATGCCCTTCATAACTTCCATGCTAAGACACTGTTAGTTTTCTTTACCAATCTCAAGATATTCATTATAACTGCTACCAAAATTTTAAGATATGGAGAAAGATTTAAACAAGTTCAGATTTCCTTGAAAACAAGTGCATGTCCTCCGTGGCAAATGAATATGAACATGAATTTATATAAATCAGAGCAACTCTGGAAGATCATTGATTGAATCATCACATTTAATTGCTTCTCTTGCATTCCAAACACATTGTGAAATGGATACTTCACAACGGGCCGGAAACAGAAATACATAAATTCTGCTTATTTCTCAATGAGCCTAAAAAGGAACCGGAAAATACCACTCCTTTTCCAGTTGATGTAACAGAATTGAAGCAGCGTTAAGAATGATTCCAGAAATCAAGAAACTTGTTTGAGACCTAGGTCCACCATTTACTGACAGCAAATGGTCATTTCTTGCCATTTCACCTTTCTAAGCCCCAAGTTTCTTAACAGTAAATCAAGCATTTTAGCTATACCTGATATAAATGCATTGTAACTGCCCAAGTGAGGCAGTTAAGTAAGTGCTTTGTAACAGTAAGAAACTAGAGGTATGTTATAGTCATTTGGACTGCTCTTGCGGAATGCCACATTCCCCACCTAATTCTCTTATTCCTTATCACTTTTCATCAAAAGCCTAAATCATGTCATTCTGGGTACTAAAGACCTCCCAGATCTCTTCTCCGCATTGGGAATTGGAAAATAATACCCCAAAACGAAGTCCTTAGAAGCAGAAGTGACCTCCTGCTATCCTTTGGCCTCTCATCCTCCATTGAGGCTACACATAATAACTAGAATCCCTCTTCCCCAAGGTGGTTACTGAAACTAGAACCCCTTTTTCTTCAAAGCCAGCCATAAAACCTAAAAATCTTACTGTAACTTTTCCGTCTCCTTTCTGTGTAAAAGCTAGCCATAAGAAAGTATATGTCTTACGTTGTTTGGCTGTAGGTCATAAGACCCTCCCTCATTCCAGAGAGGGTCCTCTAGAATGAGGAAGGAATACCCAGAAGGAAAGAATCTTGCCAGAGGCCAAGAAGAGTCTAGACACAGAGGCCTTGCTATGTTTCCCCAGTCTATTAGCATTAGATGACACCCTTTTTATCCAATCACAGTTCTACATGGCAGTTGGTACTTTGTTGAACCTAAGCATAAAAATGGACAGTTTCCCCTGTACCTCTGGGCCTTCATTGTGAAGGTTCCCATGTCACATAAACCTATGATGAAGTTTGACTTTTCTATTAATCTGCCTTTTTTCCGTTGATTTTCAGTGAACTTTCGGAGGGTGAAGTTTTGCTCACCCCTACATACCTGTATTTTTCACTCATTTTCAAAAAGATTATTTTGAATAAATATTTCAAATCCTCCCATTTATTCAGATCCCCTTCTCAATCAAGCCACTCTCATACAGGGAGGTATTTTGGCTTTCTCTACAAAGAAGAAATTGTGTGATGTAGCCGTGGTTCCCAAAAAATTAAACTCCTGCTTATAACTAGAAAGATGTCACAGGCTACATCCTTTTCTTTGTGGGGAGGGAGGCAAATAATAATGTAAAATATAATAAAATATTAACTAATAAGCAGAATGTAAACAAAGAAGTAAGATTAAGAGGTATTATAATCATGAGGGATTTATAGTATTTGGTCCCACTGCAAACTTGTTCAAGAGTTCATGACTTGTTTTGTGCTATGTATTCTGGAGATTCTGGAAATCTATAGATGCCTTCTCAAAACCATGTTTTTAAAAAATACTTATACAGGGTAAGAAAGGTAGTGACACTAAATTTTTTTTTCTTAAAGTCTGTATATGTGCTTTAGTTACACATCAAATAATAAGATCTAGCAGCAAGTATAATGTTGGCTTGAAAGGTTCACAATTAGTGTAAACTATTTCAAGACACCTGTAATAAGTACAAAGTGATATGAAAATATCTATGATTATCATTGATGTGAAATCCAGTGATTAGCTGCCTGTACTCACAAAGGAAATAAGCAAATTGCATTTAGGATTTGTGAAAATGTAATTTTTTCCCATCTAGAGTCCCATAACCATCTGTAGAAATCAGATTTTGTCGAGATTTCTCCGTACTGTTAAGTGGGCTTTTCTAAAATCAAAAACAAAACAAACAAAAAATAACCTCAGCCTCCCAAATACAATGTAAACAGTAGTACATCCAAGTCAGCCCAACTTCCTATAGCCCATTTATTTGTCCTGGTAACCCCAATTTCAGGCTTCTTCCTCCCTTCTCCAAGTTTTTTCATTTATTTTTCCCTCTCTATTTCTTATCTAATCACCAAATATGTATTGGATAGCTAACTCTAGCTCCCTGGTTCAGCTCAATCTGTGAGAAAGCAATTTGGGAAAAGAAGCAGATTATAAGCTGACAGAGGTTCCTTTCATACTTTTTACTATCTCTCAGCATCAGGGTGGTAGCAATACTTGTGCAGATTGACGCAGAATGACAAGGTGAGTAGTCTCCAAAAAGAGAATTCCATTTGGAGAATTCCATCTGAGGGGGAGGTGGAAAAAAAAACAGGCTTTTCGACTACGTCCCAGCATACACAACTGTTAATATCGCAACCTGATTGGTGAAAAATTTTCTCTCGGAAAAACCACGCAAATAAAAATCTAAGAATACGTTCTGATTGGTTAATTCAGCAGGCTCTGCAAACCAACAGAAAAAGCAAGTTTTACAAAACTGAGCCAGAGGCTATGATGAACTATCCCTCCGATTGGCTTAATACAAGAATTGCATTTTTTTCTAACATTACCTGGACGTGGGAAGCAAGACCACACTCGCGCCAAAAGCAAGACCTGCTTTGCCACGCGGGCCTACAGTTGCCAGTAGGGCTAATACACCGCGTCCTCCGCAAATACAGCTACTCCGAGCGGGTTGGACCAGCATGCTAGTGTTACCTGGCGGCAGTGCTAGGAGGTTAAGAGTAGGCAGAAATAAATGAACAAGCAAGAGAGCCCCTGGGAAAATAAGTCCTGGAGACGCTGGCCACTGACAGAAAAAGACAATGGGCACACTTTTTATTTTGAGACGGAGTCTCGTTCTATCGCCCAGGCCGGAGTGCAAGTGGCGCGATCTCGGCTTACAACTTCCGCCTCCCGGGTTCAAGTGATTTTCTACCTCAGCCCCCAAGTAGCTGGAATTACAGGCGCGCGGCACCACGCCTGACTAATTTTTGTATTTTTTTTTAGCAGAGATGGGGCTTCACCATGTTCTTCAGGCTGGCCTCGAACTCCTGACCTCGTGATGCCCCCGCCTCGGCCTCCCAAAATGCTGGGATTACAGGAGAGCCACCTCGTCACGCAGTGCAGCCCCCACACTATTTACAAATACAGTACCTGAGGGCCGATATCCCAAAGCTAAGGCTTATCAAAGGCCTGCGAAAAGACAGACACCGGGCACCACCAGCAGTTGGCCATTCTCAACGACCAGCTGCACAAGATCGTGGGCCGGAAGCACCTTGGGCATGCCACGTACTGCTCACAACCAGGACGGGATGTGCTCAGGAAGTCACCTCAACGCTAAAGTAAACTAAAGCATTTACACCACATCCCTGTGTCAGAAATAAAATTTTTTCAGGGCCACTTTTAAGCGCCGCGCTTTAACAGAAATCGGCCGGCCAATCACACACCACCGCGGGAATTTGAAGAAAAAGTAGGACCTGGTGGCTCAAGTAGCCTTAGCTATCCGGTGACTGTGGCTGAGACTGAGACGGAAGGATCCTTGCGCCCAGGCTGCTGGGAGCTGTTAATAACTGACCCCCAACCAGCACGACTAGGATAGACCGTGGCCGCACAACACCGCAGCACCCGCACCCCTCTCCACCCCACTCCCCCCTCCAAAAAGCTTCAGCTCTTTTGACTGAGACCTGTGGGTGGCTCTGAAAAGAGCCGTTTAAAATTTTCAAAGGGGAACGTCCCGCCAGTTTCACTTTTTCTTCGGAGCTGCCTTCTTTGCCTTTGTAACCTTCGGCTTCCCCGACTTAGGCTTGGCCGCCTTGGGCTTAGGGGCTTTGGCCTTAGCTGGACTCTTGGCAGCTTTTTTTGGCTGAGGTGTTTTCACCTTTTTCGCACTCTTGGCCACTTTCTTGGTCCCAGCAGCGGTTGCTGGCTTCTTTACCTTCTTAGGAGTCTTTTTGATGCTTTTCTTCGGGGTAGCGGCGCCAGCCACCTTCTTGGGCTTCTTGGCTGCCCCAGCAGGCTTCCTAGGCTTGGCTGCGCCAGCCTTTTTGGCCTTGGGTTTGCCTTCCCCGGAAGCCGCTTTCTTGTTGAGTTTGAAGGAGCCAGAAGCACCGGTACCTTTGGTCTGCACCAGAGTACCTTTGCTCACCAAGCTCTTGAGGCCAAGCTTGATACGGCTGTTGTTTTTTTCTACATCGTAGCCAGCAGCCGCAAGCGCTTTCTTAAGCGCGGCCAGAGAAACGCCGCTGCGCTCCTTAGAAGCTGCCACTGCCTTGGTGATAAGCTCAGATACTGGGGGTCCGGATGCTTTGCGTTTCCCAGCAGTTGCGCCTGCCTTCTTCGCCTTTTTCTTCACAGGTGTTTTTTCTGCGGGTGCAGGAATGGTAGGAGCAAGTGGAGCAGTCTCCGACATGTTTTTGTCTTCCCAGAAAAGACAATAAGTAATCTCAAACTGTCAGAACAGCATGTCCTCTACGAGGGAGGCTGAGGGTTTATATAGAGAGACGCTGAGTGATGATTGGTTCCTTGCTCCATGCGCGGCGCTGCTGGAAAAGGACTCCTCGTATCTACCGCGCTGCTGTGTTTGTTGCCCCTTAAAAAAGAGTAAAAATATAAGAAATCTGGGCATGAAATAATTAGAGACTTGGGGGAAACTGATCCGAGAGAGTTCGGGCTTCATTCCTGCCTTTGTTTCTATGCATAGTTTTAAAACCGGCATCTTGAAACTTTTCTTATTCCCCCAACTCTCTTTCAAACTTCGGTCAAATCGAGACAACTTTCATGTTTTCCTTAAAAATACTATTTCTCCCTCTTTCATTTGCAAATCTCTCTTCCAGGGCATTGTTCTGTGAATTCTTACCGTCTCAACTTTATATAGATAAACTCATTTTTATCCAAATGTGCAGGGAAATTGGGTTTTTTCGCAGGAACAATAGCACAGGCTCTCTGGCGAGCTGTTTGCATCAACCTCTAGGAATTGGCACTGAGGTAGAAAGTTCTATGTACAAGAGGGGTGATTAGTTTAGAAAAGATAGTTTAAAAAAAAAAATAGTATTTGAGTTACCAGTGTGTAAGCTGGATTTGATCTCCATATTTCAGTGGTTTAAACATTTCCAGAAAGATAAGGGTGAGGCTACATTATTCCTCTTACAGAAAAAAAAGTCCTAAGTAGAGTTACCAACCTTCTCTTAAAAGTTAGGATCATGGATTTTTCCGATCTAGAATGGGCATTAAAGATCAACTACCACATCCCCAAAAAAGAAAACTGAACCAACAAATAATAGAATGGCAGGCCAACATCATTTTGGCAACTGTGAGCATTGAGAGCTTGTGTACATGTTTGTGTCCCATCACTTTATAAATAATTTAATGAAATACACTATTTTTTTGCTAATATTCATCATAGAATTTTGTACATTTTTTATATTTTAAAATCATATTTATAATACAAATTTCCCTTCCTCTTTCTCTGTACAACCTGTTTGAATAACTGGTAAAAGTCACTTTAAAAAAATAAAATACAAATTTTCAACATTGCAAGTGTGGGCATCAAGGGTTAGAAAGAAAAATATCTGATTTAAATCACTGTAAATTTTCATCATTCTACTTGGCTTTTTACACACAAAATATGAACTAAGCTGTCACACCCTAAATTAATTGGTTGAATATGTCCACCTAAGGAGCTGAACAAACATTTCAAAGCAAACATGAGTAACTTCAGTATTCTTTATCTGTTAGTTTGCAATACAGCTGATGGAATTAGGTTATTATTAAATAATTAAGCACAAAATTGATATTCTCCATCAAGTAATCAGATGCTGAAATGAACTCCTATGTTGAAGAAACAAGAGAAGTAGTTTGATGTTATGTTTCTTCTAACAAAAATACTCATTTCAAAAAATCAAGTTATTCTGGCCTACACTCAATAGTGATTAGAGGATTTTTTCATATAAATCCTAGATAAAATAATCAACTTTAAAGATGTCATCTCTCCTCATTCAACTAATTTCATAAAAATTACTTAGCTTGTCTTGGCCAGGCGCAGTGGCTCACGCCTGTAATCCCAGCACTTTGTGAGGCCATGCTGGGCAGACCACCTGAGTCAGGAGTTCAAGACCAGCCTGACCAACATGGTGAAACCCTGTCTATACTAAAAATACAAAAATTAGGCGGGCATGGTGGCACACGCCTGTAATCCCAGCTACTTGGGAGGCTGAGGTAGGAGAATCGCTTGAACCCGGAAGGCGGAGGTTGCAGTGAGCCAAGATAGTGCCATTGCACTCCAGCCTGGGCAACAAGAGTGAAATTCCATCTCAAAAAAAAAAATTACTAAGCTTGTCTTAAGTAATTATTTACTCTCTTGCATGTATTAGAAACAAGTCTCTGGGACTTAAGACCGTGTTATACACCACTGAAATACAAATGTGGTTTATAAAAAAGCTAAACTTATAGAATTGGATTAGTAGGACCCCACAATTCCAGTAGGGAAGCATTTTATAGGTTTCTGGAGGCAGGGGCGGTGCATCATTATGGATATCATTTTCAACAGTGATAGTCACAAGCATACTCTAAGTATTTTTTTTTGGGACCATAGCTTTATATTGCCTAGACGTAAAGGTACAATTAAAATTCAGATTGTTTACTGTTTATTATTTTGATCATTATTGTAGTCTTAATAGTTGTTGAATAATTGTTGGAATTGTTCACCGTGTTAGATATAGTCAATTAACAGATGCCACCATTTCATTCTTGTGCAACACTGACTGGTTCCCATAGCTACTTAGGATCTCAGTAAGTAAAAAGGCATTGGGCTAACTAATCTCTGCTCTTTCTGGAGGGCAATAACTGAGACTCAGTTTCACCAACAAAGTTCGCCAGATGTTCAAAGAGGAAAGGGGCTAGGCTACATAAGTTGGGACCTGGTACTTATCTTCTCTGTAATTGTAGCAAGGACAAGGTTCCTGAAAGCTGGATCACCCCATGGACTGTAAACTTGAAGTCCTGCAAAGTTTCACCTATTACTTTGGTAGCCCTCAAAAAGAGTTCTGTGTTGCTTTGGAATCCTAAATCTGAATATAATCTAAAACAGTAGATTTCCCATTACACTGAGGTTGGAACCATTTATTTTATAGATGCAAAAAGTAGCTAGGAAAAACTAGTTAGATAAGTGATAGCTATCTAACTTAAGGCCCAGTGTTCTCTTCATTTTGTGTTAACTCCCCCATCCCCACCACCACCATAGTAAATGACTATGAGAGTTGTAGGTAGTATTCAATAGATCAATCCAGTGACACTGTGCTTAAGCATCACACAATTCAGATTTTAAAGATTTCCAAAAAAAAAAAAAGAAACTATATAGAATAAATATTAAAAGGGGTGAAAACATATATAGACTATTATAGAAAATAAAGCTTTGTGTTAGAATCAAACGTGTTCAAAAAGTCCATGAGAAATCACATCGATTGTAACCGTCTATGAGGTAGTCTTACCTGAGGACACTGGCTCCTTGAAATTCCTCTTCAAGTACAACAGTATTGTGTTAATTTTATTTCCTAAGAAGGCCACTACTATACTCAAACTTACAGTTTTCTCTTTACATGTCTCAGGCATCCACCAAACTCCCTCCTCCCTTCTAGACTGGATTAGAAGCTCTTCAGAAGAAACCCCCTTATCACAGATACAGCCCAATAAAACTTTCTGCGATGATAAAAATATTCTGTATTAACACTGTCCAATAGGTAGCCACTAACCATATGTGGCTACTGAGTACCGTAATGTGGCTAGAGTAAGTGTGCAAATTAATTTTTAATTTAAATTAATTTAAATAAAAATGAGCACATGTTGCTAGTGGCTAATATAGGACAGCAGAGCTTTAAAACAATTATTCTCAAACTTGGAAGAGCATACCTACCACCCACTTAGAGATCTCATTAAAAATGTAATATCAATTCCATTGATTTGGGGTTGGGCCCGAAATTCTGTATGTCTAACAAGCTTCAGAGTGATGCCAGTATAGCTGGGATATGGCTGCTCCGCCCTTAAATACCTGACAGTAAGTAGAAGTATGCTGGTCTGATATCTGCCCCCTAACCCTGAGTGTACTTTTCCCTTTACTAAACTTTTGAGTTCTTTAAGAGAATAAATGTGATTATCTTTGTAAACCTGGTATTTGTACACTATTCTTGGCATGTAGTGGACATTAAATTGTTGAATGAATGAATGATGCTTGTTTGGTGCCTACCTCAAAAAGGAGAGCACTTGAGATCCTTGTGTCTATTCCTACAGGTAACTGAACCTAAGCCAAAATTTAAGTAGACTCTTAACTCCACAAAATGAATAATCTTCTCACTGCTTTTAGGCACCAGCAGAGACGGGATTTTTAAGTTACCCTTGCAGTATATAGGAGGCAATGAATGTGAAGCAGTAGACTGTAAGAGTTAATGTTGAATTTTTCTACTACACATACCCTATGATCTGTGTGTAGAACACTTCTTCCGGAATCTTTTATTAGGACAGTATTTCACAGAATTTATTAGTATTATTTTTGTTAATTTACAAACCTTTATTCACCATGATTTACCATGTATGCTTTAGTGGCATGAAAGCAGTGGTAGGTAGCAAGGTAGTGAGACTCCAGAATCGAGCCAACAATACAATGCCATTTATTAGAGGATAATGTCTTCAAGCCTGGGATTCCTTATCTTTACACCTCAGATATTGCATTATACATTGAAAAACTAAGAATGAAACTTCAATTAATATTGGTTTCCCTTACTAGAGGTCTTTCTTTATTAGGAATGCCAAAAACGATGTGAATGTATATGTCTCTGCCAAACGCTAAGTCTCATGATTGGCCAAATTTAAGAAGTATTGCTACATTTTAAGAATTAATAAAAATGGCCGGGCGTGGTGGCTCACGCCAGTAATCCCAGCACTTTGTGAGGCCAAGGTGGGTGGATCACCTGAAGTCAGGAGTTCGAGACCACCCTGGCCAACATGGCGAAACCCCGTCTTTACTAAGAAAATACAAAAATTACCCAGGTGTGGCGACGCGTGCCTGAAATCACAGCTACTCGTGAGGCTGAGGCATGAGAATCGCTTGAACCCAGAAGGCGGAGGTTGCAGTGAGCCGAGATAGCGCCACTGCACTCCAGCCTGGGCAACAGAGTGAGACCCCGTATCAAAAAAAAAAAATTAGTAAAAATACATTTTCAAAGAATCTTCACATTTAAAAATTAAAGCTAGGCGCCTGTAATCCCAGAACTTTGGGAGGCCGAGGCGGGTGGATCACCTGAGGTCAGGAGTTCGAGACCAGCCTAGTCAACATGGCGAAACCCCATCTCTACTAAAAATACAAAAATTAGCCGGGCGTGGTGACGCGCGCCTGTAGTTGCAGCTACTGCAGGGGCTGAGGCAGAAGAATCGCTCGAACCCGAGAGGCGGAGGTTGCAGTGAGCCGAGATCACGCCACTGCACTCCAGTCTGGGGCAGAGCAAAACTGTTTCAAAAGAAATAATAATTTTATTCTCTTGTCTATCCATTCGGTAGACAAGTGTAGCGTTACTGCCTCCTTTTTGCAAATAATAAGGATTTTAGGAGACAGACATTATCAGTTCGAGAGCCCACAGGCACTGGACTAGAAGACACAGAAACCTACACTCAAGACCCAAACAAGGAAACAGGAAGGAGTCAAATCAACTTGCATTTCCCCTACCCTCACCGCCCCCTTTCCTTCCCAAGGCAATAGTGTAGGGGACGCCCAGTAAGTTACGGAAAAGGCGGAGACAGAGGTTTCGTTCCCGCCCCTCCAATTCAGTCTCCAAAAAGGTCCGCATAATTGATATATAAGGGGCTTCAGTGTGTAGCAAAGTTGCAAAAGTTAAGAGTTGTTGTTTGTCTTCGATCATGTCTGGTAGAGGCAAAGGTGGTAAAGGTTTAGGAAAGGGAGGCGCCAAGCGCCATCGCAAAGTGCTGCGTGACAACATACAGGGCATCACGAAGCCCGCCATCCGTCGCTTGGCCCGACGCGGCGGCGTGAAACGCATTTCGGGCCTCATTTATGAGGAGACCCGCGGTGTTCTTAAGGTGTTCCTGGAGAATGTGATACGGGACGCCGTAACCTACACGGAGCACGCCAAGCGTAAGACAGTCACTGCAATGGATGTTGTCTACGCGCTCAAGCGCCAGGGACGCACTCTGTACGGCTTTGGTGGCTGAGCCTCACCCCGGCTTTTTATTTAACAGCTCACCCATAAAAGGCCCTTTTCAGGGCCACCTCCTTCGTCACACGAAGGGCTGTAACTGATGACGACTTGGGTTTCGTTTTGTAAATTTGGGATTCTAACTGAGTTAAACCGAGCCGTTTTTAGCGATCTTCCTAAGATGGCGGATGTGCTAAGGAGAAAGGGAAGGCGAAACATTAGAAACTTGTTCAGGTATTTCGATCGCAAACATTCACAGGAAAAGATGGTGGAAATGGTTTGGGAATACCAGCAGCCTTTTATGACGTATGTGATGTGTTTTATTCCCACGTTTCTGAAATTTACTCCTATGTTAGGTGGCTGGGACTTAACTACACTAGCATTACATGTTTAGTTTTTGAGATGGAGTTGCTCTTGTCCAGGCTGTAGTGCAATGACGCAATCTCGGCTCACCGCAACCACCCCCTCCCGGGTTTAAGCGGTTCTCCTGACTCAACCTCCCGAGTAACTGGGGTTACAGGCATGCGCCACCACGCTTGGCTAATTTTTTATTTTTAGTACAGAAGGGGCTTTTCTGTGTTGGTCTGGCTGGTCTCGAACTCCCGACCTCAGGTGATCCGCCCTTCTTGGCCTCCCAAAGTGCAGGGATTGCAGGCGTGAGCCACCGTGCCCGGCCTTAGTGTTATTTATTAGGCATAGAACGTGAGTAATCTTAGGGCGGCTGTGGACAGATCAATTACTGGTAAACTTAATCCACTACTTGTGTCCGGGCGCGGTGCCTCAGGCCTGAATCACAGCACCTTGGGAGACCACGGCGGGCGGATTACTAGAGCTCAGGAGTTCGAGACTAGCCTGGGCAACCAAAATGGTGAAACTCCGTCTCAACTAAAAAAGTTAAATAGGAAAGTTAGCCCGGCGTTGTGGCGGACGCCTGCTGTCGCAGCTAATCTGCAAGGGCTGAGGCAGGAGAATCGCTTGAGCACGGGAGGCGGAGATTTCAGTGAGCTGAGATGGTGCCACTCCACTCCTGCCTGGGCGACAGAGACCATGCCTCAAAAAAAAAAAAAAAAAAGTAAAGTTTGGCCGGGCTCGGTGGCTCATGTCTGCAATCCCATCTGTAATTCCAGCAGCTTGGGAGGCCGAGGTGGGTGGATCACTTGAGCTCAACGAGTTCGAGACCAGCCTGGCTAGCACTGCAAAACCTCGTCTCTACTAAAAATACAAAAATTAGACGTAGACGTGGTGACACGCGCCTGTAGTCCCAGCTACTCGGGAGGCTGAGGCAGGAGAATCACTTGAACCCGGGAGACTGAGGTTGCAGTGAGCCGAGGTCGCGCCACTGCACTCCAGGCCTGGGGCACAGAACAAGGCTCCGTCTCAAAAAGAAAAAAAAAAGCCCAAGTTTTTGTCTTACCCAGTGAATTCTTTGTTGGGGCACTTACTGTGATTTCAGGTCATTGATAATTTTACTGCTTTATTTCTCAAGTACTGGTAATTTATAACCCAAAGTGTTTCTCCTTGTGCTTTGTCAACCTACCCGGTTATCACCCGCGATCCTGACTCCTAACGTTTTCATTTTTTCACCATACCGAAGAAGTGGCTTCTCATCTGTTCTTTTTTTGTCAATGGTAATTCATTACATACACTGTTCCACAAATATTCTTCAACTTGGGGTTTCCTCTTCAAGAAGCCTTTACCTGATTCCTATGGGCAAAATCGGTGTCTGGGGTTTCCTTACAATTCACGAAGCACACTCTACACATGTCCCTAGCCCTACTTCAGAATTCCCTATACGACTTAGGAGCTACTGCACACTTAAATAGTTGGGAGTAATTCTTGCCCTCTTCCCAAGATATTTTCAGGTCTTGAACAATGTCTTTAATTTAGTATCCTCAGGATGTAGTATTTAGTTCATAAATGTTTGTGCAATGACTGAAGGAATCAATGAAATTAAGCTATCTGGGCCATCACCAATATACCGTTATAAAAATCATTCCCCTTTAATTAAGCAATATCTCTACTCCCACAGAACCATCTTCTCTATTCACCTTTACACAAATGTCAATATTCATGGCTGCCAACAATTTATATTACAGACTTTTTAAAATGCAGATTGAGATCCATTCACGGGTAATGAAAATAATTTAGTGGGTCCCAACCAGCATATAAAACGTAAATAGAATCCAATATAACAACTAGAAATTATCAAAGTATCCCATCTAGTAAGTAAAAATATTGTGTCATAAAATTTTAGTTTCAAATAGATGTACTTTTGGTTTTACTTTGGAACTTGAAGGAGAAAAGGTTCAAAAGATACTGGTCCATTTATTTAATGTATATATTTGTCAAATTCTCAGGTTAGGACATTGCCTCACTTCCCTGGGTTTCAGAACTTCAATACTCAGCCTCATTTGCAGCTGGAATGCAGATCTGTAACCTAGGCTTCACCAATGAGTCACAGGTTTAAAAGACTTATCTTCAAAAATGGGACCCAGGAGAGAAGAGACTGCCTAAAGCCTCTGTTTCTGCTGTGACAGATGTCAGATGGGCCAACTTTTGGTAGTAGCAGCAGCCATAGGTTACAGGTGAGTCAAGTTCTGATTCAGAAATAACAGGTGTGACACACCAGCACCTGACTAGTTCTGCAGCACAGCTTTGGAGTTTGTCCCTGGGAGTGTCATCAGGCGTGGTTCTACAGCCCTCCCAAGAATGCTAATATCTATTCAATATCCCTTTAAACATCACAGTTAATGTGCGATTACCAGTCAGCTGGCAACTAAGAATTTAGAGTTTCAAACAAAAAGGGTTTTAACTATTTTCTAATGGACTTTTGTGTATTTTAGGAATTCGGAGTCGTTTTACAACACTATTAAAAGGTTTTATGCCTTACTATACTTCTGGTAGCAATAATGCCTCCCCCCCAGATGCCCGCATCTTAATCCCAAAAGCTGCGAATATGTTTCCTTAAATGGTAAAAGTAACTTTCCAATGTTATTAAATTAAGGCTTTTGAGATTGGATGATTCTGGATTACCTGAGTGGTGCCATTGTAATCACAAGGATCCTTATAAGTAGAAGCGAGGAGAGTCAGAGTCAGAGAAGTGATAAGGGTAATGGAGTGTGATGCCTTTTGTAAACAGAGGAAGGGGCCACACTAGTTGCCCTTTGTTTCCTGAAACACATAAAGCTTTTCTCACCTTGAGATTTTCCACTTGCATGTCCTCTGGCCCAGAACATCCTTGGCGTGGCTCCCAATCTATGTGTGACTTCACACAAGAGCAGTGATATTTAAGCCAGTCATTTTGGCTACAATTCACTGTTTAAACACTATGTCATACTTTACAGGGCCATAGAAAATTATGGCAATTGCTGGAATGTTGTTTGACAGAATAGAGTGGAGAAACCCTGAAAGGTAAAAAGCTTGGCTTTGACAGAAAAAATAAATAACAATGAGAAAATGTGTATCCTAGAAAGGGTTTTTAAATTCTAGATTGACTCTTGCATTAAAATCTATTTTTAAAAAGTTTTGTTGTGTTCTGCTTCATGTGTTTGTTGTTGTTAAACAATGATTATTGTGTCGTTTCATTTACCCCTATGAAAGTGAAATAATACAAATCAAACATACACCATTGTAAGTTAAAAACTCATAGATTGAGAAAGTAAATATTTAATTCTGTGGAATTAAGTATATAAAGTTTTTCTTATATAAGAGTCTGTAGATCCTGTGTGGTTTACAGAAAAATTTAACTTTGACACCGTCTCTACAAGCTGTTTCCAGTGGCAAGGCAAAGGATTGGCCAAAAAAAAAAAAAAAAAAAAAACATATAATAGAAACACAGAACTGTTCACGACGTTTATTTTATGAAACATGGAAGTGGTGTCATTTCCTCATAAAGTGTCTTCCAGTAGGACCTCTAGACTTATTTCCACTTTCTCCTCCAAGCCCTGGGCTTTGGGAGACTAACTGTATGGTTCTGACCAATATGCTACCCAGACCTCCACCTTCTGGAAGGATTCAGCCAGTGGAAACCCCATGCAGGAGACTGGAGGAAAGGAGGAAAATGAGATGGGGTATTTATTCCCCAGTTTCCCTTTCATTGGCTGTTAGCAGCATCTCTCCAGACCAGGGATCCCTCTCTCTGCAGCTATAGCAATTGCTTCCCATGCCCCTTCAGGGTTATAAGTGATCCTTACTAGACCTGGATGGAGGCACTACTTTTTTAGTTTTCTGTATCCTGCCCTTAATTTGCAAATAATTTCTTTAAGAAACCCTCCTCCAATTATCCCATGTGAGTAAGCTACTTGTTTCCTGTCTTGACCTTAGCAGAACCCAATATTTTCACTACACAGCACAAAGTTTATGGCCATAATATCCAAAAGAATTGATGTAACTTAAATGCAAGTTTCTCCATGTCACACCTCATTAACATGCTTCCAACAGCATAAGGTTAATTCTCAGTTTCTCAATTTGCAAGAGGAGGCCCTCCTCAATCAGGCAACTGCCAGGCATGCATCTTTGGTCATATATGTATTCCCAGTCTCCATGGCATCAAACTACTTATTGCCCCTTGTGTCTTCACACTAGTGGAGACCTACCCTCTCCCAACAGTACCTGAACTGCCCTGTTCCCATGTCCCTCCCCTCTGGCTAACAGCTGATCATGATGAGTGAGAGCAAGAGGAATAAATGTGCCTGCATATGACAAGTGTCATGCGGCTCAGTGTCCTGCTACTTGCATCCTCTCTCTGCAGACAGGTCTTTTACACTTACCTGTTCAGAGACCTCTCCCGTGATGGCACCAGAGTTTGTAACAGTTTATTATGTTAATTTTTCCCAAATTTTTATTATAAAAATATTCAGAATAAAACATAACAAAAGATGGGTTTATCAGTCATCCACTACCTACATTCAATAGAGTGGATTTTACCACCATCCGAAAGTAAATGACAGACTCATGAGAATTTACACCTACACACTTCAGCATCTAACCCCTAACAATAAGGGAAATTCCATGTAATCTCAATATATCAAACCTTTCTTTAAAAACTTACTAAAATGACCTGTTATCCAGTTCACGTTCAAGTTTCCTTGATTATCTCCAAAATGCCCTTTAAAACTTTAGAGACAGAATGCAATTAATACATTTAGTTGCTATGTTACTTTAATCTCCTTCAAACTTAAAGTCCTCCAGTTTTTCTCGGTGGCTTTTTGAACAAAGCAATTGTCCCAAATGTTCCACATTCTGGAAGGTTTTTTCCCCCTCTTGAGATGTTTAATTGGCTCTTTGACCCCTGTACTTTCATAAACAGTAAATTGAGACACGAATTATTGCAGTTACACCTTATCAAGGTGTTTCTATATTTACGATGGATCACAAGCAAAGGCACGAAACAGGTAAACTTCTTTTAGTGCTGCTAAATTAGATCATTGAACTAGCAAGGGGGCCAGTCCCTCCACTGCAGACACATTTGTCAGAACGGCACCTGGCAAGTTTGTGCTAATTATTGTGTATTCTCTGGTTATTGAAATTGCTTATTAAGCAGAATATAAAAGTCGGGTTATCTTGGCACTAAAACTACAATTTTAATTACGGAGGGTAATCCTAACAGTAAGGAGAAAAACACACTACCATAACCACATTTTGAGAGCTTTTAAGTGACAATGTAGCCGTTGATGTCCTCAGCCAGCCCACCAGATTTCTAATCTCTGAACACACGATTAACTTACCACCTGTATTCCATGTTGTATGTCAGCCTTGGCGTAAATTTATACTTTACAGCATTATACACCTAACAGCTTTTGGGCACCTACAGCAATAAAACACACAATATTGCTGAGTGCGTTAGTTAAGTTTCCACAATGTCAAACGTGAGCCCTTCGGAAGAAAACGTACGCGGCCCTGAAAAGGGCCATTAACGATATTGCAAGGAAAGGCCTGGCCTCACTTAACCGCCAAAGCCTTACAGGGTTCTTCCCTGGCGTTTGAGCACGTAGACCACGGCCATGGCGGTGACCGTCTTGCGCTTGGCGTGCTCCGTGTTGGTCACGGCGTACCAGATCACATTTTCCAGGAACACCTTGAACACCCGGCGGGTCTCCTCATAAATGAGGCCCAAGATGCGCTTGACACCGCCATGCCGGGCCAAGCGCCGGATAGTGCACTTGGTAATGCCCTGAATATTATCGCTCAGTACCTTGCGATGGCACTTGGCACCGCCTTTCCCAAGGCCTTTTCCGGCCTTGCCCCGAACAGACATGATAAACAAGTCAGAACTATCTCTAAACAAAACGATTACTCGCTTTCCGCAGCCTTTTATATAACGGTAGAGTAGACCTTTTTGAAAACTGAAAGACCAGGAAAGGCGGGAAAACGTATTCAGTCCCCGCTCATCTACTTCTAGTAATAACAAGACATAAGAAATTCTCTTGTAGTAGGGAGATTTGCTGGCATTTAGAGAATAAGGATCTCTAAACGAAAGTGTCAAACATGTACCTAGAGGAAAGTATCTCGATTTTTGATGTCTGTATGTGTTTAAAGATTTACTCCTGGCCGGGCGCGGTGGCTCACGCCTGTAATCCCAGCACTTTTGGAGGCCGAGGCGGGCGGATCACGAGCTCAGGAGATCGAGACCATCCTGGCTAACACGGTGAAACCCTGTCTCTAATAAAAATACAAAAAATTAGCAGGGCGAGGTGGCGGGCGCCTGTAGTCCCAGCTATGCAGGAGGCTGAGGCAGAAGAATGGCATGAACCCCGTGGGGTGGAGCCTGCAGTGAGCCGAGATCACGTCACTGCACTCTAGCCTGGGCAAGGGCGAAGCCCGTCTCAAAAAAGAAAAAAAAAAGATTTACTCCTTCCCTGTATATTAGAGCATTTACCATGCTGAAGTTGAAACAAGCCCAAATTCCAAGACATAAAAGAATTCCTAATCATATTGCCAAGCCGCCCAGCTAAAGAGAAGTAGCCTGGTTTTTGGTTTCGAATCTGTGAGTGACTGCTCTCTCACCGATATTAGACATGTTAATCTGAGTTTCAATGGCCCTATCTGTAAAAAGGGTAAATACTTGTTAATAATTGAGTTACTTTAAGCAAAACACTGGCATATAGTTAGTAAATGATTTTTTTTTAAAATACGGAGTTTCGCTCTTGTTGCCCAGGCTGGAGTGCAATGGCGCAATCTCTGCCCACTGCAACCTCCACCTTCTGGGTTCAAGCTATTCTCCTACCTCGGCCTCCCAAGTAGCTGGAATTACAGGTATGTGCCACCACTCCCGGCTCATTTTTGTATTTTAGTAGAGACCAGATTTCACGTTGGCCAGGCTGGTCTCCAACTCCTGCCCTCAGGTGATCCGCCCGCCTTGGCCTCCCAAAGTGCTGGGATTACAGGCGTGAGCCACCTCACCGGCCAGTTGGTAAACGAATTCTTATTGCCACAGCCTTTTTTTACAGACAAAATAATAATGCAGAGGTAAAGCACACCGAAGGATTTTAAAACATTGCCTTTGCAACACCAATACATTCAGTGTGCTTTCACTTATATTAAGCACTATACAATTAAGCAATGAAGAATTGCCCAGAAAAAAGATAATGTAAATTGCCAGAGGCTCCATGCCCTGTTCTCATGTGGAGGACAGAAGGTACAGGGGGTGACTGTCTTCTGGGGTTGATACAACAGGAAACTCAGGGAAAGCTGTCATAAATGTTAATAGGAGAAAAGGGGAATTTGCTCACAAGCCAAAATAAAGACATAAGCACCACTAAATTTTTACATTACAAAATACTTGCTGAGCTAGTTAAACGAGAGCATTTAAGTGGAAATAAATGATGTCTCTAAAATAGAATGTTCAAAATAACAATGGATTTTTTATTGTGCAGTTACGATGCACCAAACAAACAGTCCTAAAGATCATGGGTTTTTGAAGCAGGGTCAGCAATATCTAAAAAATCATGTAACTGCATAAATGAATTATGGCCTAATGAGCAGGTCACCACAACAAAAAGCCAAGAGTGCAAACAACTATTTGTGGGGAAAACAAACAAACAAACTTGATAAACCATGGAATTCCAAGCAATAAAAGCAGCAATCCCATCACAGCCTATTTCTACATTATTTTGAAATAATTAGATTTTTTTTTTTTTTTTTTTTTTTTTTTTTTGAGGCGGGGTCTCACTCTGTAGCCCAGGCTGGAGTGCAGTGGCACGATCCCGGCTCACTGCAACCTCCACCTCCCAGGTTCAAGTGATTCTTCTGCCTCAGCCTCCCTAGTCGCTGGGATTACAGTTGCCTGCTACCACGTCCGGCTAATTTTTTGTATTTATAGTAGACAGGGTTTCTCCATGTTGGCCAGGCTGATTAAATTACTAGAATAACAAGAAATTGCGCTGGGCACGGTGGATTACGCCTGTAATCCTAGCACTTTGGGAGGCCAAGGAGTCACATCACCTGAGGTCAGGAGTTCCAGACCAATCATAGCCAACATGGTGAAACCCCCGTCTCTACTAAAGCTACAAAATTAGCCGGGCGTGGTGGCACACGCCTGTGATCCCAGCTACTCGGGAGGCTGAGGCAGGAGAATCGCTTGAACCCGGGAGGCGGAGGTCCCAGTGAGCCGGGATCCCGCATTGCGCCACTGCACTCCATCCTGGCTGACAAGAGCGAAACTCCGCCTAAAAAAAAAAAAAAGTTGCAATAATATTTCCTTGAACCCCGTTTTCCCTGAGCATAGTGTACAGCTTCACCTGCACCTCGGGGTTTTAATTGGAAGGCTCCCATGCCAAGTAAAATTTGTATTATATTAACTTGTATCCGTTTCTCCTGTTGATGTCTCAAATGAACTCTCAGGGCAAGCCAAAAAGAATAATAATGATTTAACTCCCCATACTGTCACAAATAAAGCTTTCGTACACTTTTGTCAACAAGTTGTTTCCTTTGTCCCTGTAGTTTTGGTTTTGCCTCAGCACACAACCATTTTCTGTTTTGTTGTTTTGAGACAGGGTTTCGCTGTCACCCATGGAGGAGTGGAGTGGCGCGATCTCGGCTTACTTCAACGGCTGCCTCCCAGGTCCAAGCGATTCTCCTTCCTCAGCCCCCGATATAGCTGGGACTGCAGGAGGGCGCCACCACACCCGTATTTTTGTTTTTTGGTTTTGTACTTTTAGTGAAGACGGGTTTTCACTATGTTAGGCAGACTAGTCTCGAATTCCTGACCTTTGTATAAGTAACCCGCCCTCCTCGGGCTCCCACAGTACTGGGATTACAAGGCGTGAGCCGCCACTATCGGCCATTTTGAAGACAATGGCCAAGACACAAAAGCCTAGTTTAGAAGAGCCACCGGCCCTGCCCCCATCCCCTAACCCTCCACCCTCCTTGTTTTAGGAGACATTACTCCCTAGTGCTACGGCGCTTTCAACTGAAATTGTTGGTGGCTCTGAAAAGAGCCTTTGGTTTAAGTTGGCGCACACCCTCAGTACAACTTATGCCCTCTCTCCGCGAATGCGGCGAGCGAGCTGGATGTCCTTGGGCATGATAGTCACTCGCTTGGCGTGGATAGCACACAGGTTGGTGTCCTCAAAGAGCCCCACCAGGTAAGCCTCGCAGGCCTCCTGCAGCGCCATCACAGCCGAGCTCTGGAAGCGCAGGTCGGTCTTGAAGTCCTGCGCGATCTCACGTACCAGACGCTGGAATGGTAGCTTGCGAATCAGTAGCTCAGTCGATTTCTGATAGCGGCGGATTTCACGGAGGGCGACAGTACCAGGCCTGTAGCGGTGGGGCTTCTTCACGCCACCGGTGGCTGGCGCGCTTTTGCGAGCCGCCTTAGTGGCCAGCTGCTTGCGCGGGGCTTTGCCGCCAGTGGACTTACGAGCTGTTTGCTTCGTGCGTGCCATAGGAATGGGTTTCAAGCAATGGTCACAACTGAACAAACAGTTGTTCTTACTCCTATTTATAAAGGCAAAGTCCTTCTGATTGGTCCGAATCTTCCAGTTTCGCGCCCTGAATTATGTAGTGTGATAGGACTTGTGATCAGCTACTAGGTCTCATTTTAGAAAATCTTAACCTATCTAAATGCTTTTTTCCCCTAGTTCCTTACATTTTATTATGTTTTATGTGCCTACCTGTATTACGTACCTTCATTGATTTTATTTTAATCAGTTTGTTTGGGATTATGTTTGACAGACGGAAATGAACGTTCTGCAGTTCCGGAGCGATTCAAAAATACCGCGTTTGAGAGTGATTGGTCCAGCTCAATGTCTCCTTTATATTTTTTAAAAAACTCTTACTTTGAAGAAATATTTTATTTTTAATATAAGTACCCTATTTCATATATTCTGAACCTTTCAACAAACACTGGTTTCACTTCCAGACACTCCGTTCCTAGGGGATATTAAAATCCCATCGCTCTTGAGATGTGTTCATCCTTTGATTACTGAAAAAGCTTAAATTTTTATGTAAGAATGCTAATGACCTTGATCAGATTATAAAAGAAAGCCAATGGTATAATTCTGGAAACACGTAAATCTTTAGCTAATTTCCATTTTAGAATTAGTTATTCATAGATAATTTTAAATCCGGAAGCTGCAATTTGGTAGGAAACTAGAAACATAATATCCGTCTTTGTTTCTGTTTAAATTCTCACCTAAGGAGACAGAACTTATAGGTAGATGTTACTGGCAAGGCATTAGTTTTTCTAATGTTTTGAATGAAAAACTACGTTTTTTCCCCCGGGAGGTGTAGAAAAGGATTTAGGGTAGGTTTCGCATAAATATCCAATCAAAAAGTAGACTTGAATTTAACTTTTTTATTGGCTGATTTGGTCCAATCAGGGATTGAGAATGATTAAGCACCTATTTGCATAAAAGACCTACAAAAACGGCCAGCTGTGCTGTTGAGCCTTCACTTTGGGGTGTATTCTTACTCCTTTATCTTGTTGCAATGCCTGATCCAGCTAAGTCCGCTCCCGCCCCGAAGAAGGGCTCCAAGAAGGCGGTGACCAAGGCGCAGAAGAAGGATGGCAAGAAGCGTAAACGCAGCCGCAAGGAGAGCTACTCCGTATACGTTTACAAGGTGCTGAAGCAAGTCCACCCCGACACCGGCATCTCCTCCAAAGCCATGGGGATCATGAATTCCTTTGTCAACGATATCTTCGAGCGCATCGCCGGCGAGGCTTCCCGCCTGGCTCATTACAACAAGCGTTCGACCATCACCTCCAGGGAGATCCAGACAGCCGTGCGCCTGCTGCTGCCTGGGGAACTGGCCAAGCACGCCGTGTCCGAGGGCACTAAGGCCGTCACCAAGTACACCAGCTCCAAATAAATGGACGCATGTTCAAACCCAAAGGCTCTTTTCAGAGCCACTTAATGATTTCAATTAAGAGTTTTAATGCTGGGTGCTGCTGTATTCTATGGGAGAAGTGTCGCCAATACAGGTAAAATTTTCCTACATCACCTGTTTATTCTGTGCGTTTGACAAACACTAAGCTTTTAGAGTTTATTTGTCTTTATAAAGGTGGGGTACAACTACATTGTTCAGGCTGGTCTTAAACTCAAGCGCTGGTCTTAAACTCAAGCAAGTTTTCCCACCTCGGCCTTGCCTTGTATTACTGAGCAGATAATTTGACACAGCAGGAAAAGTGGGCATTCTTGTTTAGGAACCAAAAACTAAGTTTGCAACTTAAAATGCAATCAATTTGGAGCAACACGTCCACCAGTCTAGAGCTGGTAAGTTTGAGTATTCAAAATGAGTTGAAAGTACATTTAGTGCCTATAATAACCCACTCTAGATAGCATAATGTGGTCTTTGTAGGAGTCTCGTGGAAGTTAATGTTAACTGGGATATTGTAGTTTACCAAGTACCTGAGAAAAATTTAAATTTCTTAATAGATAAGGATTAGGAGACAAACTTTATGGAAATGAAAACAAAATGCCATGCAATAAACCTTTAGTTATTTGGCAAGTAGTATGAGGGCTTCTAGCTGTCTTTGAAAAACTTAAGATTTGTAAGACAAGGAAGAGCAGAGAATATAAATAGTAAAGGGCCTGGCAACAATGTGTCTTTGTTTTTAGGTAACGTTGGTTGGCAGTCAGCAAAAAGGCCAGGCTCAGGCAGTCTTAACTTGAAAACGCTAACAGGAATCACCAAAACTATGTATACAACTCCTGCTGTGGGTTTTTTAAATATCAAGATTACCGATTTTAATGGTAGGGTAATATAGACTGAAATCCCCACATTCCTCCACCCTCATGGGCATTTCTCTTGGCTCATAAAATATGGGGGTAGCAGGAGGAAAGGGAAGAGTATATTAAGAGCCTATATCTGAGAGGTACGTTCAGTTTTTCCTCAAAAGTATCTGGTGGTTGGACTAGTAATTTATTCATTTATTGAGAACCTATTAAATTACAGAAAATACTTAGTAAAGAGCAGTGAGAAAGATAGAAACTATCCCTGTCCTTTACCTGGATTGAAATCTAAAGTGGATATTTGTACAATAAACTCACAAACTAAAGAAAGAAACGTAAGTCTGAAGGTCACGTTTTTCTTTTAACCGGCTTTTGATGGGACTGAATTTAAATTGCCAAAAGGTGAATTAACATAATCTTGAAAACTTGCAAGTTCCTGGAGGCAGTTCTGGAGGGAGGGTGGAGCAAAAGAGATGGCAGAAGAAGAGGAGCCAGCAGCACTGGAATTCAAAAGTAGACATTCTTGCCTCCTCCCTAGTGGACAGGGAGGAGGGGTGGGGAGAGCACAAGAGAGCCGTGACAGAGGAAGGGAGAGAGCACAGAGTTTAAGTCTATATTGATGGAACTATGGTTACAAATAGGGGCTACCCATTTATATTCTCATCTGGCCATGTCTCATCAGTGATTTACAAGGATTTCATAGAAGTGCTTTAATAAAATGTACAACCTCACTGAAATATAGAAAGTAATACTATAAGACAGCAAATATTGTATATTTATGCAAATAATTTTTTAATAAAAGGTTTTTTTAATGTCCACCTGTGTGAGTTAGTATTTGATACCTCTGGAAGTAACAACTTAAAATAGTTACTAGTTAATAAAAATGAAAGTCTACTTTTCCCTCACACAAAGCTAATACAGCTCAGACATGGGAGTTCGAATATCCTTAGAAATTCCCTCTCACGGCCGGCGCGGTGGCTCACGCCTGTAATCCCAGCACTTTGGGAGGCCGAGGCGGGCGGATCACGAGGTCAGGAGATCGAGACCATCCCGGCTAACACAGTGAAACCCTGTCTCTACTAAAAATACAAAAAAATTAGCCGGGCGTGGTGGCAGGCGCCTGTAGTCCCAGCTATTCGGGAGGCTGAAGCAGGAAAATGGCGTGAACCCGGGAGGCGGAGCTTGCAGTGAGCAGACATCGCGCCACCGCACTCCAGCCTGGGCGACAGAGCCAGACTCCATCTCAAAAAAAAAAAAAAGAAATTCCCTCTCTCACGGCCGGGCGCGGTGGCTCACGCCTGTAATCCCAGCACTTTGAGAGGCCGAGGCGGGCGGATCACGAGGTCACGAGATTGAGACCATCCTGGCTAACACAGTGAAACCCCGTCTCTACTAAAAATACAAAAAATTAGCTGGGCGTGGTGGCAGGCGCCTGTAGTCCCAGCTACTTGGGAGGCTCAGGCAGGAGAATGACGTGACCCCGGAGTTGGGGGTTGCAGTGAGCCAAGATCGTGCCACTGCACTCCAGCCTGGGCGACAGAGCGAGACTCCGTCTCAGAAAAGAAAAAAAAAATTTTTTTCTCTCTCTCTGTATATATATATATATATCATATATACATAAAATGTGTGTTTGTCCTCTATATATAATGTGTTTCTTATTATTTGGAATTCTCTCAAATATATTCTGCTATTGAATTCTCCCATGGAGGACCAACCTAACAAATGGGACAGATGAAATTCACAAGAAGTGTTAAGTATTACCTATACAAGAAGTCTGTGAGATGTAGACAAAATTCAAAACCTATATTCATAATCAGTCATAGATCAGTAGCCTGTGAGACGTGTTAGACATAGAGAAAGTCAGTAGGGCTTGTGTGTGCACTACTCAGAGACAGGAAGAGATGAAAGAACCAAAAACTGCTGGATATTTATGAGACACCACATATTTATAAAGTACTCAATATTTATGGGGTCATAAATTGACCGCCCACTGTTAACATCCATTTTCGCTGGTTTCATTGGCCCTCTACAGACAGCATGCATATAAAAGGCATGGCTGGTCAGTATGCCACTATTGAGCAATATAAGTGGCTGTATACCAATAGAGCAAGCATGTGTTGGCTCCACATAATTTGCATCTGCTGACTCCTTTGCTTATCATGAACTCTGTTTCTCGAAATCACCCTCTCAGTGGGGAAAATATGCAAGGGGGAGAGAGAAACCTCACACATATGACATGCATAACCAAGGATTCAGGTAGTGAGACTGTGTCATTTGCAACCTATCTGAAATGTGTTCACTTGCCAAAGCTCTTTCCGCTTGTTTCTAACTATATGTTTCAAATTGATTCAATAAAATTAAATAAGCCGTGGAGCTCAGGAAACTTACATTGGGCTATGAGACTTTCTATTCATAGCCTCTGGAACAGCCTCCCTGGTAGCGTATTTGGAGGCTATCATTGCATTAAAGTAGTTTTCCGCATGACATTGTAATTTTGTCTTTCTGAATATATCCCTGTTCCAGCTCCAGCTATCATGTTTACATTTAATCCTGAAGGAAGGGAAGGCCTGTGCAGTGGCTCACGCCTGTAATCCCAGCACTATGGGAGGCCGAGGCGGGCGGATCATCTGTCAGGACTTCGAGACCAGCCTTGGCCAACATGGTGAAAGCCCATCTCTACTAAAAATACAAAAATTAGCTGGGCATGATGGCCTGTGCCAGTTATCCCAGCTACTCGGGAAGCTGAGGCAGGAGAATCACTTGAACCTGGGAGGTGGAGGTTGCAGTGAGCCAAAATTGCACCTCTGCACTCCAGCCCGGGTGACAGAGTGAGAGACCCTGTCTCAAAAAAAAAAAAAAAAAAGTAAACATTGGCAAGAATTGCTTCAGTTAGGAAGATAAGAAAACAATGCATCTCTAACTAGAATCAAATGTTCATTTTAACATGAACAGACGGTGCTGACTTCAAATGTAGCTGTTTGCAATCAGCATAGGGCTTAGGAAATCAGAAAAACACCTTGAGAAGTGAAGTCAGGGCTACATGGTCAGACTCAATGCCTAACATGAATGAGATTGGGCTGAGTTTGAAGTCCAATGGCACTCTGTTTTTCTGTTTTGTTTTTTGAGACGCGGTCTCACTCTGTCACCCAGGCTGGAGTACAGTGGTGTGATCACGGCTCACTGTGGCTTCGACATCCCTGGTCTCAGGTGATCCCACCTCAGCTTCCCAAGTAGCTAGGACAGCAGGCACACAACAACATGCCCAGCAAATTTTTTAATATCTTCTTGTAGAGACAGTGTTTTGCCATGTTGCCTAGGCTGGTCTCAAACTCCTGGGCTCAAGTGATCCATCTGCCTTGGCCTCCCAAAGTGCTAGGATTACAGGTGTGAGCTACTGTGTCTGCCTATGCTATTTTAAATATCCATTCTAGCCAGCAATCTGGTGAAGTTCCAATTCTACCTGCCTTAGTCCTGTCCTCTATCTTCCTGGATTTTCTCAACTCAACATTGGAGACATACCTATTGGTGTCAATGTTCTTTATGCATTGACTCCCCCTGACCCTCACCAATAAGATTCAACCTTGCCTTTTGCTTACTTGCTTGCTTGCTTGCTTGATTTATTTATTTAATTATTCTGAGACGGAGTTTCACTCTTGTTGCCCAGGCTGGAGTGCAATGGCTTAACTGAAACCTCTGCCTCCAGGGTTCAAGTGATTATCCTGCCTCAGCCTCCTGAGTAGCTGGGATTACAGGCATGCAACACCACGCCCGGCTGATTTTGTATTTTTAGTAGAGACAGGGTTTCTCCATGTTGGTCGGATGGTCTTGAACTCCCGACCTCAGGTGATCCTCCCGCCTTGGCCTCCCAAAGTGCTGGGATTACAGGCGTGAGCCACCACACCCAGCCACCTTTTGCTTTAAACAGTTCAGCTTTCTCATTTCAAGGTACTCTGCGTTGTTCCTCAAAGCCTTTCACATCTGAAATGCCCACATTACTTGAATCAAACCACAAAGGTGAACCACACATGGTCCTTATTATCTAGGATATGAAACATTGTCCCATGGAGAAAATAATGTCCCATGGAGAAAATATTGTCCCATGGAGAAAACAACTTATCAAACAAAAATAACCAAAAAGGTCAGAATATATTTTTCTTGTTTTTGTTTAAGCCCTTCTTCTTGCACACTGAAGAATATAAAGAATTTATTCAAGCACAAAGCATAAGGATTGAACACCTGGAAATACCAATTCCAAAGTGATAGAGATAGCATTCTGAAATAGGGAAGTTCAGATTTCGTTTATAAAGTTAGAGGAGCTTTTAGCAAGGCTCTGCACAACTTCAGGGGAGAATAGCTGAAGGCAACTGTTCTCTAACCTTGAGGCAGAGGGTAAGGAGCAAGTGCAAGGGAGCAAGGGGAAATTATCTTGATCAGGCTTGTTTGAAGTTATCCTGGAATTGACCTTTGAACATCCGTGTGTGCGTGTGTGCGTGACATTCCCTGAAAGGGGAACAATAAATATTAATTACCCACAGATTGTGTTTGCCCCAGGCTTTCGGCATTCTGCCTGCACTGAATAAAAGCAAGCAGCTCCAGCTTCTCGGGGCTGCACTTTGGCCACTTGAGCCAGGCAGTCTCCTAGCTGCTCTTACACACTGCATAGCTGTGTGTGAGTACTCTTTTCATCCATCAGTCAGCCAGGGTCTGCAGGACAGATCCGGCAAGTGGTGCCCTGTATGAGGAATGCTGCAACGGATCTGGACTGAACCCTCAAAAATAAAGTGACTGCTCAGTAAGTAATTGGTCCCCACTGGGGATTTCTAAGTTCGAGGGGATTTTCAAGCTAGGGTTTCATCATGGGACAACAGTTATAAGCTCAACAGCAACAGTAGATAAAAGTATTGAAACAGCTGCTTAAAGCTAGTGGAGACTTGGTTTCGGAGGCTCAATTAAGGGATGTAATGCAAACTGTTGTATTCCATAACCCATGGTTCCCAGAAGAAGGCACACTAGACCTAGGGCTCTGGGAGCAATTGGGAAGAAATCTTAAACAACATTATGTACAAGGGCAACAGGTCCCAGTAACATCTTTAATGTTATGGGCTTTAGTTAGGGCTGCTTTGGCCCTGCTCTACACAGAAGAGCCTAAAAAAGGAGGGGAGGAAGAACCATCATCTACCTTACTGCCTCCTCCTCCTCCCTCAGCCCCGCCATTACCCGGGTAAAGATACCAAAGAGGAGACGGAGGATTTTCCTAATTCCCCTCCCCCAATAAATCGGGAAGAAGACAAGAGATATACTACAGTTATGGGACCCTGTCTTAGGCAAGCAGCATTAGAAGGGGAGCTCCTGGCTTGTCCTGTGATGGAAGATCAACAGGCCAATTGGGTACATGAGCCTATTACTTTCAACACTTTTAAGGAAATCAGGAAAAGCATTAGAGAAAATGGACCTGCTAGCCCATTCACAAGAGGATTAATTGAGGTCATAGCAGATAACTACCATATTGACTCCATGGGACTGGTCAGTGCTAGCTAAAACAACTTTAGAGGCCCATCAATACCTCCTCTAGAGGGCAGAATATAATGAATTGTGCAAACAACAGGCTAACCAGAATCAATTGGCAGGACAGAACATCAGCTGCTATGCTCCAGGGGAGGGGTCCCTATGTTAATGTACAACAACAATTAAATTTTGTCCCTCAAGCCTATGCGCTACTGTCTTTGTGCACTCACAGGGCCTGGGACCAAATTCCCGAAGGTAGAGTTCAACAGGGATCTTTTATAAATGTTCCACAAGGTCGTTAGGAGCCATTTGTTGAATTTATCTATCAGTTAACCCAGGCAATTAAGAGACAAATTAGTCATGCCAAGACCGCTGATATCTTATTGTTGCAATTGGCCCATGAAAATGTTAATGTGGATTGCCAGCAAGCAATGCAAGCAGTCACAGGGAAAGCAGCTACAGTAGGGGAACTCATACGAGCATGTCAGCTGGTGGGGACTGAAACACACAAAGCCAGAATATTGGCTATGGCATTAAAGCCTCCAAAAGTAAAAAGGGATAAAAATCCAAATTGTTTTCAGTGAGGAAAGCCAGGTCATATGAAGCGGGAATGCCCCAATAGTAAAGACCAAAGTAACTCAGGAAAAGAACCCCTTTCTATATAAGGACAAGCCATAAAACAGAAAAGGGGGAATATGAGTAAGGACCCTGCAACACTACTAGCACAAGGCTTATTTACCCTTAACTTCCTAAATTTAAACGATAAATTTCAATCAGCCATAGAAAAGCACTTTGCAAAAACCTTTCAAAACATAAAACCTTTACTTTTTATGGAAAGATGTAAATAGTAAGCTATGGTGAGGTCCAAATGATTTGTTAACGTGGGGAAGAGGATATGCTTGTGTTCACACCCCCTCAGGTCCTCTTTGGATTTCTGCGCGACATATGAAACCATACCATGGCATGGCTGGAACCCAACCCGGTACCAAAAATAAAGGAAATGACCCTGCAGGACCTGCAGCCCCAAAACGATGCGGCTTCCTCGGACGACACAGGCCCCGGACATTATGCTGAAGAAGACAACTCAGGAAGCTGAGCAAATCCTGCTCCAGACACAAACACCATTCACTCCAGATAATCTGTTCCTTGCTATGCCCTCCGTTGTACATTGCAACACTCGCAGGGTATTGGTTTTTCTTATTCTCTCACTCTGCCTGCAACTCGTACCTGCTACACTCTATTAGGCCCATCTTCTAGATCCACCTTTCTTCCGCCCTGTTACTTGGGCAGACACCCCCTTCCCAGCTTCTACCAATGTGACTGCTTGGGTAGGAGGGATAAACATACCCCTGGTGGGGTTCCTCAGTAACAGCCCTATAGAACAATGTGCAAAATCACCTCTCCTGGATAGACCCCCACTCCTGTGGGTCACTCTTTGATTGGAAATGAATATTACTGATTATACTCACGCTTGTCTTATGTTACCTACTGCTTCTGGGATGCAAAGCTGGAACACAAGCTGTAACCGCTGCACCTGTCAAGCTTGTCACTGCACACATCTGTATTCTTCAATCAACAAAACCTGATGCAAAAACAGAAAAGGGGGAGATGTAGGAGATCAGTCAGAGTGGTGAGAGAAACTGTAAGGAAAGGAGCAGGCCTTCTGAAGGGTCAGAAGGCTCTGCATAGCTTCGGGGAAGAATAGCTAAAGGCAGCTGTTCTCTAACCCTGAAGCAGAGGGTGAGGAGTATGTGCAAGGGGGTGAAGGTGAAATTATCTTGATCAGGTTTGTTCGTTTGAAGTTGTCCAGGAATTGAACTTTGAACATCCGTGTGACTGACGTCCCCTGAAAGGGGAACAATATGTTAATTACCCACAGATTGTGTTTGCTCCAGGCTTTCGGCATTCTGCCTGCACTGAATAAAAGCAAGCAGCTCCAGCTTCTGGGGGCTGCACTTTGGCCACTTGATCCAGGCAGTCCCCTAGCTGCTACACTGCATACCTGTGTGTGAGTACTCCTTTCATCCATCAGTCAGCCAGTGTCTGTGGGGCAGACCCCGCAAAGCAGGACAACAAAGGGGAGGTTAAACAAGGATCATTAATTAAGAAGCCAGGGCCAGGCAAGTTGGCTCACACCAGCATTTTGGGAGGCCGAGGTGGGTGGACCACGAGGTCAGGAGTTCAAGACCAGCCTGGCCAAGATGGTGAAGCCCCATCTCTACTAAAAAATACAAAAATTAGCCGGGTATGGTGGCAGGTGCCTGTAATCCCAGCTACTCGGGAGGCTGAGGCAGGAGAATTGCTTGAACCAAGGGGCAGAGGTTGCAGTGAGCCAAGATCATGCCGCTGCACTCCAGCTTGGCTGATAGAGTGAGACTCCGTCTCAAAAAAAAAAAAAAAAGGCAGGAGACTTTTGTCCCTAATGCCTAATGTTGCTTAATTCTGGACATGACATTGTATATAACAAGAAAAAAGAGAACTCAAGTTATCTCATCTCTCTCAAGCTTAATGTGTTTTGGGAATTCCAACAGCTGGTTTTTTTGTGTGTTTTTTTTTCTTAAGGAAATGAGGTCTCATTTTGTCACCCAGCCTGGAGTGCAGTGGCACAATCATAGCTCACTGCAGCCTCCAGCTCATATCTCTAATGACTCTCCCACCTCAGCCTCCAGAGTAGGACGGGCTACAGGAATGCACCATCACATCATATTTTATTTATTTTCACAAACTATAGCACAGCAGTGGAATATGCTTAACATTAGGAGAGTTTTGAGACCCACTACCCGGGTTGAAATTTGTTACATCATTTTTATTAACTGGATGACTTTAGGCATTATGCAGAAACATTCAGCTTGTTTCCTCATTTACAAAATAGAAACAATGGATTTTCGTAATGATGAGGCGATTGCTCAAGCTTAGTTAGAGTTGGGTCTAACAAAGAATTCTGACTTCTATTTCACTTTTCTTTCTACCAGTATCAAGAACAAAATGGGGGCTTCTGCACAGCAACTTCAGAAGATAAGCAGATTTTCTGGAAATGGATTTAGAGCAAGAGAGGATATCTAAAATCAAAGATATATGACACTGCTGGGGCTCAGAAACTGATATCCCAAAATATTGCACTTTGACATGCTGAACTGAAGAAGCTACAAGGTCTCTCTGACCTTCTCCCCACCCCTCCTGTCTCTCAATCCTTTCCGTCTCCCAAAGCACAGGATGAAGTTGTTTTCAGAAGTTCCTTATCTGCCTAAAGTCCAAACCTGCCAAAGAATACAATTATCTTTAGTCTCTACTCTGAGTTTTCATTAAATGAACTAATATCACAGGGAGAAACACAAGCCTGTCAACAAACCTAGATAGATTTTGTCACAAACCACTGTCTACTCTGCAGCCCTAACAGACATTGTCCCAGGCCCTTGCATGTTCTTCAAGCCCATTGAATTCCCCTACAAATCATTTATTATATCCCTAAAAACACTTCTCAAGCTCCCATTTCCCTAGGAAGTAGAATAAACATCTATGTCCAATTGCAGTATTGGGTGATCACTCTATCCACCCCCCTCTGCAGTGTACACGTTAATAATTTCATATGCCTTTTATTAATTCTGGTCATTAATTTAACCTTTTTCTTCTTTGGGGCCCACGTTGAAACCTCTATTTTCAACTTCTCTTCCAGTTAGGTGTGGCCTTTTAGCTAAGTTCCTGCCAATGGAACATAAACACAAGTAAAGATTGACATTTCCAGGCCTGGGACATAATAACTTTCCACGAAGGATTTTTCCATGTTCTTTCCCCTTGCAGGGCAAATGTAGAAGCCACATTTAGGATGGCTAAGCCACAAAGACAGAGGGCATCTAGGTTCCAGAACCACTGCTAGAAGAAAGAGGGACCTGCTGATCTAGAATACCCTTTTTGAACCTCATATCCGCAGAAAATAAACTTGTATTTATCTTAACTAGTATGCTCTGCACCAAAGAAGGGTCTAGATTCTTAATTTCTAAAAGGAAATGCATTCACTTGTTGCTGGATGAATCTTCAGGTCAAAACACTTCATCTGTAAAAGAAACATAAGATTTCATGGAGAGAAACAAAGCAAAATGTGGACTTCTTAAGAGTTAACCAGAGGAGAGGAAGCTATATTCACATCTATCAGCAGTAGAACTTCTGTCCACAGCCTAGTGATCTTTCAAATGTGGATGTGACCATAAGGATGAGGTAGTTTCATTGGATATGTTGCCTCTTGGGTCCTCCATTAGAAAAGCATAAGGAGGGTTGGATGCGGTGACTCACATCTATAATTGCAGCACTTTGGGATGCTGAGGCAGGAGGATCACTTGAGCCCAGGAGTTCAAGACCAGCCTGGGTAATATAACGAGACCTCATCTCTATATTTAAAGAAAAAAAAATTAAATAAAATCAGTAAGGCGGCCGGGGGTGATGGCTCATGCCTGTAATCCAACACTTTGGGAGAGAGAGGTGGGAAGATTGCTTGAGGCAAGGAGTTTGAGACTTCAGTGAGCTAGGATCATGCCACTGCAGTCCAGCCTGGATAACAGAGCAAGACTGTCTCAAAGAAAAAAAAAAGAAAAAGAAAAGGAAAAGAAAAGAGAAAAGAAAAATAAGAAAAGAAAAGCTCAAGGAGAAAACAGAGACTCTATAATATTGACATTGCTCCCCAAAAGTCTCGTAGAATAATCTGGGTAAATTTTGTAAGACACCAGATATGTCTTTTTTCCTCTAACTGCACTTAACCAAAAAAGTGAAAGTAATTGATAGTCCATTTTTGACAGTTATAATCATAAATAAAATCCCTGGATCTCATATCGGACAATAGTCTCACTCAATATGAAGGATTAAGAAGAAATGTGATCTCTCAATTTTTTGTCAAGGTTTATCTAGGGCTCAAAATCAGTAGCTGGGAACATGTATCATCTTCATCATAATTTAATTTTGTTTTATTATGGATTCGGCCATCACATTATAACCATTATAGAAATTTTAATGTGGAGTTCTGTTGCTAGTAGGAGCAGTTTTCTTTGTACTTTGGAGCTCATCCGTAGATATCTAGTATAATGAAATCTCAGAAAATGTTACAGCATATAAAGCCTTGTAAAGATTACATTGGTTTCTTTCATGTGAAAAGTAAAATGATAGCAATTTTGCAGATCTCTTATTTTTTATTTTAAATAAATTATCATATAATAATACTCTTTCCTTAACTACTGGTATCCTTGAATAAGGCGAGCAGTCTTCCATGGGGTTAGCACTCATTGCTTATCTTTTCCTGCCCCTGCCTCTTGATTCACTGTCTTAACTGAATGTCCTTGGGTATCTGGAGCAACACGTTTGAAAAATTAAAATGTATGAATCAGGCCGGGTTCAGTGGCTCATGCCTGTAATCCCAGCACGTTGGGAGGCCAAGGTGGGGAGATCACCTGAGGTCAGGAGTTCAAGACCAACCTGGCCAACATGGCGAAACCACATCTCTACTAAAAAAAAAAATACAAAACTTAGCCAGGCGTGCAGGCACCTGTATTCCCAGCTACTTGGGAGGCTGAGGCAGGGAGAAGTGCTTGAACCTGGGAGGCGGAGGTTACAGTGAGCCGAGATCCTGCCACTGCACTCCAGCCTGGGCAACAGAGTGAGACTCTGTCTCAAAAAAAAAAAAAAAAAAAAAAGAAGGCAGGGCGCGGTGGCTCACTCCTGTAATCCCAGCACTTTGGGAGGCCAAGGTGGGTGGATCACCTGAGGTCAGGAGTTGGAAACAAGCCTGACTAACATGGCAAAACCCCATCTCTACTAAAGATACAAAAATTAGCTGGACATTGTGGCACATGCCTGTAATCCCAGCTACTCAGGAGGCTGAGGCAGGAGAATCACTTGAACCCGGGAGGCGGAGGTTGCAGAGAGCCGAGATCGTGCCATTGCACTCCAGCCTGGGCAACAAGAACGAAACTCCGTCTCAAAAAAAAAAAGTATAAATCAGTACTGAGTTACCTGGAAATTCCAGCTTAAGAAAAACAAAGGCCCTGGTTTTATGTAGTTGGCTATCAGAACAATGTCCATAGCCCAAATATGCACCCAACTCAGGATCCATGAATCAATGTTTCTTCTCTCTGGTATGATCTTCCTACAGCTGTATAAAGAACTCACTCTCTTCTCTGCTCAGTCTTGTCAGGACCAAGAAAAATCTTCGCCTTCACCCTCTGAAGTTTTTCTCAAAAATCAATTACCAAAAAACAGATTAATAGGAGAGAAAGGCACACAAGTTTATTAACATGCAGGAGGGAGAACCACAGAGTAATTACCCCAACCCCAGCAGGGGGTACAGAAGCTTAAATGCCATCTTTAGGTTAAAGAATGGGGACTCAGAGCATGGCCAAAAACAGGTTAGGGTGGTCAATCATGCAAGACAGGTTATGGGAGGGCTTTGCTAACAAAGGTGGTCTTGTTATGTAGATGAAAACTCATAGGTAACAGCCCTCAAGAAGAATACATATATAGTAAATGTTTCTTTCAGACCTTTAAAGGTGTCAGACTCAGATTTTTTTTTTTTTTTTGAGAGGGAGTCTCGCGCTGTTGCACAGGCTGGAGTGCAATGGCACAATCTCGGCTCACTGCAACCTCCGCCTCCTGGGTTCAAGCAATTCTCCTGCCTCAGCCGCCTGACTAGCGGGGATTACAGACGCCCACCACCATGCCCAGCTAATTTTTGTGTGTTTAGTAGAGACGGGGTTTCGCTACATTGGCCCAGGCTGGTCTCTAACTCCTGACCTCAAATCTGCCTGCCTCGGCCTCCCAAAATGCTGGGATTACAGGCGTGAGCCACTGCGCCCAGCCTGGTGTCAGACACTTAATCTTTCCTAGATTGGACAAGGTAAAGCCTCAGAAAAAAACCCTGGCAGCACCAAAGCAGGTTTTCTCTACAGATGCACATCTCCACAAAAGGCAGCTCTGCAGGGCAACTTCTGTTTGCAGACCCTCCAAAGAGCCATCTCAAAATATGTCAAAGAAGTATACTTGGGGATGAAATAGTTGATTTCCTTCAGCCTTGTTGGCCTAAAAGAAAGATGCAGAGGCACAAATCATAACTTAAAGAATTTATGGCCGGGCGCGGTGGCTAACGCCTGTAATCCCAGCACTTTGGGAGGCCAAGGAGGGTGGATCACGAGGTCAGGAGATGGAGACCATTCTGGCCAACATGGTGAAACCCCGTCTCTACTAAAAATACAAAAATTAGCCAGGTATGGGGGCATGCGCCTGTAGTCCCAGCTACTCAGGAGGCTAAGGCAGGAGAATCACTTGAACCCAGGAGGCAGAGGTGGCAGTGAGCCGAGATCGCACCACTGCACACCAGCCTGGGTGACAGAGCAAGACTCCGTCTCAAAAAAAAAAAAGAATTGGCGCCAGGAACGGTGGCTCATGCCTGTAATCCCAGCACTTTGGGAGGCCGAGGCGGGAGGATCACAAGGTCAGGAGATGGAGACTCATCCTGGCTAACATGGTGAAACCCTGTCTCTACTAAAAATACCAAAAAATTAGCCGGGCATGGTGGCGGGCACTGTAGTCCCAGCTACTGTGGAGGCTGAGGCAGGAGAATGGCGTTAACCCAGTGAGCCAAGATCACACCAGCCTGGGTGACAGAGCAAGACTCTGTCTCAAAAAAAAAAAAAAAAAAAAGAATTTACTTGAGCCAAAGTCAGCACAGCAGCTCAGAAATCTCAGGCCCAAGTAATCTTGGATATGAGCTCCACTGGCCTTTGTTAAAAATAGGTTTTTAAAGGCAAAAAAGGGGGGACAGAAGGTGGGCTGATACAAAATTTTTTGTCAGGAATTTTCCTTGGTTTACAGAAATAGCATTAATTAGTTATTGGCTATACATTGTAAAGCTACAGGGTGTGGGTTACAGTGTGGGATGTGGCATTATTAGATAAACTTATAGCTACTTATAACAATAACAAGCAGTATCTAGAGATGAATACATAGCTCAAAGAGGGGAGTAGGTTGTGATTGCTGTCTCATTTTAATGTTACTGTGGGCCTGATAATTTAAAATGACTCCCATTCCTCAGATGAAAGTTATTTTCTTGGCCTGGTGTGGTAGCTCAGGTCTGGTAGCCCCAGCACTTTTGGAGGCCAAAGTGAGAGGATCCCTTGAGCACAAGAGTTTGAGACTTGCCTGAGCAACATAGTGAAGCCTCGTCTGTACAAAAAAAAAAAAAAGTTATTTTCTTTTCCCAGTCTTATCTCAGTTGTGAGTTCTTCCCCATCCACCATTTTTAAAATTACAGCTGTCTACCACATTCCCTCCTGTCCTCTGGCAGTCATTCCCTTTATCCATTTTAACTTTTCTACGTCTTTTTTATATAAGAATATACTAAACTCTTTTTTTTTTTTTTTTTTGAGACAGAGTCTCACTCTGTCGCCCAGACTGGAGGGCAGTGGTATGATCTCGGCTCACTGCAACCTCCACCTCCCAGGTACAAACGATTCTCATGCCTCAGCCTTCAGAGCAGCTGGGACTACAGGTACGTGCAACCATGCATGGCTAATTTTTTGGTATTTTTTAAGTAGAGATGGAGTTTCGCCATGTTGGCCAAACTGGTCTCGAACTCCTGACCTCAAGTGATCTGCCCACCTGGGCCTCACAGGCCATAGACTTTGTGTAACTTGTGTTTCTTTCTCCTAGATGCATCTTCAACCTTGGCAAAAATAAACCTGTGAATCAGTGGAGATCTGCTCGGTCACTTTTTGGTTTACACTATTGGGGAGAACAAAAGAAGTACAGAAAAGAGCTTTCACTCTTATGGGCCTGGTGATGCACCAGAAGATTCTATAAAGCAAGCTTTACTAACTACCCTTTATCTATGTTTGCTTTCCCCAACATTGCCGCCCCTGGACACTCAAAGTACTTCTCCTTCGTCTTCTAAATTATCTAAAAATTCACTGTTCTTTGTTGAAGACACTACACAAAAGCTGGAATTCAAAGCCACCTCAATGTGTACTCATTCCCTAGGTGTCATTCATGTATATGTAATATATATGTTAATACACTTCTGCTTGTTTTTCATTTGTGAATCTGTCTTTTGTTACATGGGTTTGTTTCAACTAAGAACCTGTGTGAGGTGGGAATTGAAGGGAAAATTATTCTGCCCTTTCTCCACCTTCATTTCCTACTGTCCCCTGCTCATTCCCCATAGTCACCATGGTGCCTCAGGAGTCTCCCTCCTTTTCTCCCTGAACACATCCGCACAGGTTGCTTCCTCACCTTTCAGCTCTTTGCTGAAATATTATCTTCTTAGTGGGGTCTTCATTGGTTGCCTTATCTAAATTTCAGCTTCCCATGACACTCCTTAGTCTTGCTCTATTTTTTTTTCCTTCTCACCATCTAACATATTACATAAACATATCTAGTTTATTTTCTGTCTATTCCAGACTCAAATGTAAATTCCATGAAAGCAAAAATTTTGTGTTTTGTTCTCTGGGTGTATTTCCAATGCACAGACCAGCATCTGGTACATTGTAAATTCTCAACCAGTGTTGTTTGCAGTAAATAAAAATCAATGTTGAAGAAATATGTCAACCAAAATGGATCATATTAAATTTTTAAAAAAGAAATACTATTTGTTATAAAAGTAATGATGGCATCATAATTTATTTTTGTTTTTATTTTTGAGATGGAGTCTCGCTCTGTCACCAGGCTGGAGTGTAGTGGCATGATCTTGGCTCACTACAACCTCCGCCTCCCAGGTTCAAGAGATTTTCCTACCTCAGCCTCCCCAGTAGCTGGGATTACAGGCGTGCACCACCAGGCCCGGTCCAGCTAATTTTTATATTTTTAGTAGAGATGGGGTTTCACCAAGTTGGCCAGGTTTGTCAAGAATTAACCTCATGTGATCCTCCCACATCGGCCTCCCAAAGTGCTGGGATTACAGGAGTGAGCCAAGGCACCTGGTCCATAATAAGGTGTTAAATAGCAGATAACATATATAAAATAGATGAAATGATATTGAAATTGTCATTGCAACATTGTAACTGAGACAAAGAGATCTGACCTAACCAACTCCATCTTGCTTCTAACCTTCAAGCTGTCCTTGTTCACTCCTGGGTGTAGGCTGAACTACCTTTGGGAGGAACTTAGTTTATAGTTTAAAACTAATATGATAACAGCCCTTTCCCAAAACAAACCTCCTTGCCTGGGGACTAGACTGCCTTTGTAGGACTAACAAATTACTCACAAGATTAGAAATTATGGTTTAGGGGTAGGTCGTAATGGCTCACGCCTGTAATCCCAACATTTTGGGAGGCGAAAGCGGGTGGATCACTTGAGGTCCAGAGTTCGAGACCAGCCTGGCCAATATGAGGAAACCTCGTCTCTACTAAAACTACAAAAATTGGCTGGGCATGGTGGCGCGCGCCTGTAATCCCAGCTGCTTGGGAGGCTGAACAGGAGAATCGCTCGAACCTGGGAGGCAGAGTTTACAGTCTCCATCCTGGGCAACGCAGTGAGACTGTCTCAAAGAAAAAAAAAAACACACACATTATGGTTTAGGAGTCCTGCAGCTGGAACCTACAAGATTCTGACCCCACGTAAACTGCTCCTAAGATCAGTGCTTGAGATATTTTGCAGACCTGATGGATCAGTTGGCCCCACCCAGATTGGTAAACTGACTCATCCGATCTTGTGGCCTCCACCCAGAAACTGACTCAGCCCAAGGAGACACCTTCAGCTCCCTATAATGACATCTCTGACCTGACCAATCAGGACTCCTGGTTCATCGGCTTCCCCCCCATCTGGAATGCTGGGGAGACTGATTTGAGTAACAATAAAACTACGGTCTCCCGCACAGCTGGCTCGGCGTGAATTACTTTCTCTATTGCAATTCCCTGCCTAGATAAATCAGCTTTGTCTAGGCAGTGGGCAAGGTGAACCCATTAGGCAGTTTCATTATTTGCTTTACAAAAATCAATAGATAAAACACTTAGCCAATGTTGTTATTGAAGCTGGATGAGAGGAACATAGGTTTTATTAAACTATTATCTCCTTTCCCATATATTCTGGAATGTCAAATAAGTTTTTAAAATAAAAGCAATATGTGAAAAAAAATGACAAGTTGCTAAATTAATAAAGATCATAAAGAAGGATCTGCTGAATACCCAAACAGGGCCTTGTGCTAATCTGTAAAGGAAGGGTTCTATATGAAAACATATCTTGGTTGTATGCCAAGCAGCCCAGGATGGTATGTGTTCCTCCTTGTAACATCCCTAAAAACCTGATACTTCCAATCACTAAAAGGACCTCGGTGGTTCAAAAAAACAAAAAACAAAACAAAACAAAAAAGAAAAAACTTACATTAGTGTTGCCCTAAGAAATTCTTATAAAAGCCAGGTGTTGAAAGATAGTCAAGCAAGCCAGAAAGTCTTTAGAGACCAGTATATTCTCTCTGAAGGCAAACTACAAGGAAACTGATTCAATTAGAAAACTGCTAAGCCTAGAGTCAAACCAGAGCTAATAAGAGTATTAAAATTTATGTAGCAAGGAGTCTCAGCCCCAGCTGTTAGAAGCACCTGAATTTTAATAATTACCATTCCCTGGGCCCACTCTAGATTGCTATTAGTCTCATTGAACCCCAGGTAAAGATTTTTCTAAAGCCTTCCCATGTGACTGTAATGTTACATTGAGAAAACTGATCTGTAAAGAAATCAAACTATTTTAGGGGATTGTTCTGTGCACTTGCTTTAGAGAACATTTCATAGAATATTTCATTCTGTAACATAAATAAACATGCATTTTGCAAAAGCTCACTCCTTGTAAGAGTTCACAGGCAGGATGCCTTTACTGATGAGACCAAAACCAACAACCTAGGCTTCCTAAATCAGTGTTCATGAGAATCATCTGAGGTATATGCAGATTGACTCCAGCCCTAGATGGGGATTGAAACAAGCTCCCATGTAATGCCCTGGGAGCTTCTAACAAGTTCCCACGTAATGCCCATGCTGCCAGTAATGTAGAGGCCAATCTGGCTTTCGTTTCTGCCGCCAATTTCTAATATTGAATTAAAAAATGGATCATTTCACAGAAAAACCAAGAACTGTTTAAAAAAAGGGGGAATTGTGGAAATAGCTGCTTCAGACACGAAAAAGCAGCAACCAAGGATATCCCTACCTACTCTCAACTGCCAATGCTCATACCTGTAAAGTTTTAAAAGGGATTAACCAGAAATACACAACGAAAAAAAATCCCATCTATAATGGGTGTAAGTAGACAACGCGACTAACGCTTGAGACAATGTATATAAACGCCCCCAGGTGGCCCCTTCCACTACCAAATCGAAGCTCCAAACCCCTAAAAGCCAGTTTAGAAAAGGACGCTGACAATCTGGCACTTTCGGGAAAAAGCACGGGAACAAATATAGCAAGCTTACCATTAACTTTAGCCAATCAAATGAGGACTTAAGTACTAAAACCAATGTTTAGTTTCAAAGATTTGATTAGTTAATCACAGCTATTTTCGGGTGAAAGTAGGCGGCTCTTAAAAGAGCCTTTTTAAGTTGGATAGAATTACTGCCCGGAAACCTCTACGCTCTCTCCCCACGAATGCGGCGAGCGAGCTGAATGTCCTTGGGCATGATAGTCACTCGCTTAGCATGGATGGCACACAGGTTGGTATCCTCAAAGAGCCCCACCAAGTAGGCCTCGCAGGCCTCCTGCAGGGCCATCACCGCGGAACTCTGAAAGCGCAGATCTGTCTTGAAGTCCTGAGCGATTTCTCGCACCAGGCGTTGGAAAGGCAACTTGCGGATCAGCAGCTCAGTCGACTTCTGATAGCGGCGAATCTCGCGCAGAGCCACGGTGCCGGGACGGTAGCGATGAGGTTTCTTCACGCCGCCGGTGGCCGGCGCGCTTTTCCGAGCCGCCTTAGTGGCCAGCTGCTTGCGCGGCGCTTTGCCACCGGTGGACTTGCGTGCAGTCTGCTTGGTGCGGGCCATCTCAGACTACCTGAAAGAAAAACTCAGCCACTTGGCAGAGTGGAAACTGCCCTTATATATACTCAGAAACATTCTAATTGGCCTTGTTGATTTTCAAAAGACCCGCGCAACAAAACCATTGGCTGAAGAGTCCAACGATGTGATTGGTGAATTACTGGAAAATCTGATTGGATGAATCACTTCATTTTTGAATCCTCTCTTCTCGGTTAGTCTGCGATCCAAGAACGTTAACTTCTTAAAGTTCTAATTCTGCGCTTCTCAAGCTGTAGTCCGTAAACGACTACTTTAAGACTTGGAAGACGCTAATTCTCATTCAGTAGATGTGTTGTGGGGCCAGATTCGGAGGACCACGTTTTGAGAAGTTTATCTTGTGCCGTTTTCTTGAGTCACCTGGACTGCTGCTAGCTGGAAACCTTTGACCATTATAAGGCAGGATTCCTGGGTGATGTACCTGGGAAATCACGAGCCAAGAAGTCACCGACATACAACAGTGAGCAACAAATGTTAACTGAATTCTATTTTGTCCCAAATGGTGTTTTGCTTCGGTTGAGAATTTTTAAGGCACAGGCTAATTTTAGGTTTTCCAACGACTCTTATCATTTACTTTTCGTTGGGTCCTATTGATGATATTCCAGGATACCACCCCCACTAGCCTCTTCTGCAGGATAACTTGAACACTGCAGTGGCCCTGTCCATCTAAACTTTACAAGGTTTTGTAAACGTTACTGAACTTGCTTCTTCCCGACTACATTAAAGCACTTACTTGAGATATTAAACATTTTCTCATTAGTCCTGTTTGCCTAGTCAGTCACTTGTATAGACAGGGCAACAGCACGGCCTGAATATTGGGCAGGACACCGCCCTGCGCGATAGTAACTTTGCCCAACAGCTTGTTGAGCTTCTCGTCGTGGATGGCGAGCTGCAGGCGTCGGGGGGTGACGCGGGTCTTCTTGTCTCGGGCCGCGTTGCCCGCCAACTCCAGGATCTTGGCGGTCAGGTACTCCAGCACCGCCTCCAGGTACACCGGCGCACCGGCCCGGACCCGCTTGGCGTAGTTGCCCTTGCGGAGGAGGCGGTGCACTCGGCCCACAGAAAACTGGAGACCAGCCCTGGAAGAGTGCGTTTTAGCCTTGGCGCGAGCTTTGCTGCCCTGCATTCCACATCCAGACGCAGTGAAGTATTTAAATACTTGTTTAGAAGAAGGAAAGTGATTGATTCTAGTAAAACGCAAGAGCTAAACTCTTATAATCTATATTCGGCAAAGTAGACTGTGCTATCTCCTGAACACAGATTTCAGCCAATCGAAAAGCAGGTGTTTAAAAAAATTTAAAAAAAAAAAAAAAAAAAAAACCACTTCTGACTTACATACTTATAGTTGAAAGGTCAAATTATGCAAGGTTGAGCTTCTGGGAGAGCCGATGAGATTTAGGAGTTCAGAAATGGCCTATCATATATTCAGACACTAAAAGAACCAATGAGAAACCGAAACTCAGCCAGCCTCATTTGCATATACACGAGGTAAATAATGAGGGCGTTTGGGCTCACCAGCATTTTCCTGTGGTCATTTGACGGTATCACTTCGGCTGCGAACATGCCTGAACCAGCTAAGTCAGCTCCCGCCCCGAAGAAGGGCTCCAAGAAGGCGGTGACCAAGGCACAGAAGAAGGATGGCAAGAAGCGCAAGCGCAGCCGCAAGGAGAGCTATTCCGTGTACGTGTACAAGGTGCTGAAGCAGGTCCACCCCGACACCGGCATCTCGTCCAAGGCTATGGGGATTATGAACTCCTTCGTCAACGACATTTTCGAGCGCATTGCAGGCGAGGCTTCCCGCCTGGCGCATTATAACAAGCGCTCGACCATCACTTCCAGGGAGATCCAAACGGCTGTGCGCCTGCTGCTACCCGGGGAGCTGGCCAAACACGCGGTGTCGGAGGGCACCAAGGCGGTCACCAAGTACACCAGCTCCAAGTAAACTAGTTACCTGGGTAAAAGCGCTAACGACCCAAAGGCTCTTCTAAGAGCCACCCATGTTGTCATTTAAAGATCTGTAATTTTCCAGACTTGGCATTGGCAAGGTAAAATGGCTAAGCAACACATGGGATAGTAAGGGTTTACTGAAACATCCAAGTTCGGCCGGGCGCAGTGGCTCACGCCTGTAATCCCAGCACTTTGGGAGGCCGAGGCGGTCGCGTCACCTGAGGTCAGGAGTTCGAGACCAGCCTCGCCAACATGGTGAAACCCTGTCTCTACTAAAATATACAAAAATTAGCCGGGAGTGGTGGCAGGCAACTTAATCCCAGCTACTTGGGAGGCAGAGGTAGGAGAATCGTTTGAACCCAGGAGGCGGAGGTTGCAGTGAGCCCAGATAGAGCCATTGCACTCAAACCTGGGGTATAAGAGCGAGACATCTCAAAAAAAAATCCAGGTTCGTTGTTTTTTCCCCTATAGATTGTAAGCGTCACCAAGGAGTAAGCTCGTATGCAGCTTAATATGACACATTTCACTCAGCAGCTAAGGAAAAATCGTGTTCTAGATTGATCCCCACTTTTCTTCTCCCCGCACACCACCATCTTAAAATTTTGTTTTCGTTTTTAGTTTCACTTTATCATCCTATTGCCCTTGATTTGGAGTAGCCGGGTGGAAATCAAGTTTGGGGTAGTCTTAAATCTAAAATAAGGTCTGAGAAAGCGAAACTCGTCTTTTAGTTCGTTGTTAGCTTGCAAATGGTTGGAGCGGCATATGATGGAGGAAATCACCTCTGTTGGTTGCATTTCTAAACCATGGCAGATCGCTACCAGACGTTCTCATATCCCCCTTGCAAGTCCACTGATTTCTCTACAAATTTTACTGAGTTTATAATTACTGGATTACTTCACGTAGCTATACATATTACCTCTTGGCAAGATCAGGAACTCTACCATCTTCTTAGCTGAACATATTGAGGTTTAAGACAAAGAACAGGCAACAGGATAGCCTGAAGTTGGAGCAAAGAAATGAAAATTCCCGGTGCTACATTCAGACGCTTTTATCTGTAAGCCTTTTTAAGGCTCCAAGGACTGTGTTCTCCCTAAACCTCCTCCTCCGTGTCCTGGAACGACTTTGTCCACAGCTACTCCCTTTCTTGAAAATTCATTTTAAGAGAGGAGGGTTACAAGGAATTAACATTTGTGTGGTAGTCCTTAGAATGCATTATTTCATTCATTGATTTTTTTTTTCCTACAGTCAGCTGTGAAATGGAAGCTCCTCTTTTACAGGTGAATGACCTCAAGAATTAAGGTTAAGTAACTAGCCCCTTACACATAAATAAAACTGAGATTTGAATCTACTCTGATTCTAAGGATTACTTCCCACTGTTTGTTAGAGACCATCCCAAGCAGGAGCCTAGTTGCTGTCAGAGGAGTCAGGAAATTTAGGCTCAATTGTAATAAAAGAAAACTGGTCAGGAGATACACATATTCTTTGTTGCACAGCAAAGTCCTTACACCAGCAAAAGTTTCTTTTAAAAATAAAATAATATTAATGGTGACCTTTGGGCCCTAAAGATCACCTGGCAGCAAGTTTAACTTTTCTGAGCACTGTATTGTGGTGGGGAAAACATGGGCATTGTCAGTGTAAATGTGAGCTCTAAGATCTTATTTTCTATCTATTACCTACATGTCATTATCTGCAAATACCCACATAGCAGCTTACTGTGAACATTAAGTGACCAAAATTTGCTTTAAATTTTTTGTTTTGAGACAGGGTCTCACTTTGTCATCCAGACTGAGGTGTAGTGACACAACCACAGCTCACTGCATTCAACCTCCCTGGCTAGTGTTCCCACCTGTCTCCCAAGGAGCTGGCACTACAGGCACGCACCATCACACCCACTGAATTTTTTTTTTTTTTTAATGATTTTTGTAGAGCCAGGGTCCCACTGTGTTGCCCAGGCTAGTCTCAAAGTAAATTTGTAATGGAATTTGTGAAGAAAATTCTCTAAGCCCCAAATATAACTAAGGCATTCATTTCTTGCTCCCCAAAGCTAATTTTGAATACATTTTAAATTATATATTCATGAAATATTCAAGCATGGATTAAGGGGGACATCACTCAGGAAGTGATACAGTCCTGACTGATTGTTTCAATCCTAAGTTTGGGCAATTTATCTAATTCTTTTGTAAGCGCTTCCTTACCTGTTTATTCCAAACAGGAATAATAATTAGTAACTACTGCATGACATTGCTGGAGTGACGAATCAAAGAACACAGCTAAAGCACTTAGGACCGTGTCTGCACAGAGAATGACCCCCTAAATATTAGCTGTGGCTAAGCCTCTGGTTGAAGTGATAGGGAAGGTGCCTTTGGTCCTGCCCACATTTAAAGCCCAGAGTCCTAAGGCCTGGAATAATTAGCATTTGATGTGAAATGGGCTTCTTTGTCTGGCAGTGTAAATAATACTCTTTGAACAGTTCAATCCCATCTTTAAAGCCATTGTTTTCCTCTGAAGCATTTTGAAGACATCCTACTGCCTGTGGCTGTTTGATTTCCCTATCGTTGCTTGCCAGTTCAAGCAACGTGTCTCATATTTTCCAGGGACTGTCTCATGCCCTCACTGGAACTAGGAGTGCCCCATTTAATGGTCAGATGTGTTGAGTTGTAAGGAAACCTAGAAATTCACATGAGAAGTGCTTAGTACTTTTTTACTCTTTTTTCTTCCCAAGTTTCCTATTAACTTTGCTAACCTTGCTACATTTATTTTCCATCCATTTGTTGACTAGGTTTCCCTCATATACCTCCAAATCACAGCCCTGTTTTCAGATGAACTTCTGCACCTTGATAAGTATGTTCTTTAATTGGAACATAGGAAATTGGCTGGCTAACGAGGGCCACACTTTCCTGAATCCATTGTATCCCTGAGACATAGGTCACTTCAAAGGAAACTGATTGGTGTAAATTCCTGGCCTGAAAAGCTGAAGAACACCACCTCACCACTAGAGAAGTAACATCATTTTTAGGCTCTGATTTGAGTAGCTGCTACTATTGTATTTGTCACTCCTGCAGTAAATAATTTCTGAAAAGAACCAAGAAGTTACTATCTCCCATCTACCCTCAGCAGTGTGTATCTTGATGGCATTCAGAACATACTATCTCAAAATATGGCCCCTTGACATACTGAATATTTTAAGGTGAAAGAATATGAGAAGCATCGTGGGCAGGAAGGTCTCTCTGATTTTTCCCAACTCTTCTCCCCTGAAACAGGTCATAGGACCCTCATGGGTGAAAGAATATGAGAAGCATCGTGGGCAGGAAGGTCTCTCTGATTTTTCCCAACTCTTCTCCCCTGAAACAGGTCATAGGACCCTCATGAGTCCTAGAGAGTCTGAGAGAAATCTGAACAAAAAGACCTTGCTAGGTTTCTGTTTTACCCTTAGCTGACAGTCTTCTTTTTGTCCTATTATATTTCTGCATGACTCTCCACTCTTCATCAAACCTAGTGTAAAAATACTCAGGTTTACCCCTTCTCCAGGTCTTCATTTCCTTACGAAGCCTCCCATGTCATGTGAAATTTATATTAAATAAATGTTGTATTGTCCATTCTCACACTGCTATAAAGAAATAACTGAGACTGGGTAATTATAAAGAGAAGAGGTTTAATTGGCTCATAAAACCACAGGCTGTACAGGAAGCATAGCAGCTTCTGCTTCTGGGGAGACCTCAGGGAGATTTTACTCATGGCGGAAGGCAAATGGGAAGCAAGGCATCTTACATGGTGGTGCAGAAGCAAGGAGAGAGGTGGAGGTACCATACTCTTTTAAACAACCAGATCACAAAACTCACTATCCCAACAGCTCCAAGGGAGTGGTATTAAACCTTGAGAAACACCCCTGTGATCCAATGACCTCCTACCAGACCCCACCTCCAACACTGGGGATTGCAACTGAATGAGATTTGGGTGGGAACACAGATCCAAACCATATCAAATGTATATGCTTTTCTCTCGTTAATCTGTCTTTTGTTACAGGGCCCCAGCCAATGAATTTCAGATGGGTAGAAGGGAAAGCTGTTTTCTTCCCTACAGCACACAGTAGGTGTGGGCAGGCATCTGTGTTCTGTATGTCTGTCTTGCTAGGGTAGAGAAGCAGACGTAACACTGAAAAAATGCAGAGAAAAATAATCCCAGAATGAAAATGTTTGAGATGTGTATTCGTTTGCTAGGGCTGCCATAACAAAGTACCACAGACTGAGTGGCTTAAACATTTATTTTTTCACAATTCTGGAGGCTACGACTCTTAAGATTAACCCTGTGGGCAAGGTTGATTTCTTCTGAGGTCTCTCTCCATGGTGTGTCGATAACTGTCTTCTCCCTGTGTCTTCACATTATCTTTTCTCTGTGTGTGTGTCCAGTCTTCTTTACTTATAAGGACACCAGTCAGATTGGATTCAGACCCACCTCAATAACTTCATTTTATATCTTTAACGACCCTAACTCTAAATGCAGTCATATTTTCAAGGACTTCAACATATGCAGCAGGGAGGAGGGTAAATCAGTCTATAACAAGAAGTGCAGTAATTAGTCTTCCAAATACTATATGAACTAAGTATTCCACAGGTGGCTCAAACCCAGCAGGACCAAGACTGGCCTCATTATCCTCATAGCTCTGCTTATCCAAGTTTGAAATTTGGTCCTCATCCTAGATTACCACCATTCATTTTCATCATATATTTAATAATATACAAAATCCTATTCTATTGATTCTATTTTAACATATTTTTGTTTATTGTGGCTAAAAATTGGAAATATGTAGAAGAGCAAGAGTTTCACTAAAAATAGGTTTTATCAGGCCCGGCACAGTAGCTCATGCCTATAATCCCAGCACTTTGGGAGGCCGTGGTAGGCAGATCACTTGAGCCCAAGAGTTTAAGACAGCCTGGGTAACATGGTTAAACCCCATCTCTACAGAAAATACAAAAATTACTCCGGTGTGGTGGTGTGCACCTGTAGTCCCAGCTACTCAAGAGACTGAGACAGGAGGATCACTTTAGCCAGGGAGGCAGAGGTTGCAGTGAGCCATGATCCCGTTACGGCACTCCAGCCTGAGCAACAGAGAGAGACACTGTCTTAAGAGAAGAAAAAAGACAAAAATGGTTTATGCATAATGAAATACTGTGCAGCTATTAAAACTAACGTCAAAAAAATAAACATAAAATATGCTTGAAGGATAGTACTTTGGGAAAGGTGCCAAATCATATATTCTCATTTATATTAATATATCATATACATGTGTAGTATAGTTAGTTACAGGAAAAAAAACTGACTAGAAGGCTCAATGCCAAAATGTAAACAATTCTGTTGCATTCTTTGGGATGAAAGGATCAGCTCCTCTGGAGAGAACTTTCTCTATTTGGCTGTCTCTAAAACTCCCAATAGTGTAGTTAGGAAAAAGGAAGTTCTCCATTAAGCCCTTTCCTTTTCCAAGTTTCTCTGTCCTGTGTTAAGAAAAATAAAAGTATTTTTTTCTTTTTTCTACTGCCTCCATATTTGCAGGAAAAAAAATTAATTAATTATTGGACACCAACTATGTATACAGTATTATTCTAGGTTTGGTATATAAAAAATTAATAAGATAATTGTAAGATACAATTGCACACTAAGGAAATTGAAAAACAAGGCAAGAGACAAGTATCCTAACATTACAGGAAAGAATAGAATAAGATTAGTGAACCACTTAATAATCCATGTGACTCTAAGTATATGTTCTTGTTTATAAAATAATGCACTAGTGACCTCAAAGAGGATCAAATGGGAAAGTCAAGCAAAACTTGCAGTATTAGTGTAAGGACCAGAAAAGCATAAGGAATTTTAATGCCAAGCAAGCAACATTTCAAGGCAATGGCTACCTCCAGGGGAAGTAGTGGGAGGATGAGAGATGAGGTCAAAGTTGTTATTTGTAGTATTTGTTATACCTGGTTGGCAACTGGGTTCAAGCATGGTCATCATATTATCCTTTATAACTTGGATGTGGATTTAATACTTTTTTTTTTTTTCAGACGGAGACTTGCTCTGTCATCTAGGCTAGAATGTAGTCGCAATCTCAGTTCACTACAACCTCCACTTCCTGGGTTCAAGCAATTCTCCCACCTCAGCCTCCAGAGTACCTGGGACTACAGGCACGCACCACCATGCCTGGCTAATTTTTGTGTTTTTGGTAGAGATGGGGTTTCACTATGTTGGCTAAGCTAGTCCCGAACTCCTGACCTCAGGTGATCCACCTGCCTCAGCCTCCCAGAGTGCCAGCATTACAGACATGCACTACCATACCTGGCCTTACATTTTTTTTTTTTTTTTGATACGGAGTCTTGCTCTGTCACACAGGCTGGAGTGCAGTGGCACAATCTCAGCTCACTGCAAGCTCCGCCTCCCAGGTTCACACCATTCTCCTGCCTCAGCCTCCCGAGTAGCTGGGACTACAGGCACCCGCCACTACACCTGGCTAATTTTTTGTTTTTAGTAGAGACGGGGTTTCACCATGGTCTCGATCTCCTGACCTTGTGATCCGCCCACCTCGACCTCCCAAAGTGCTGGGATTACAGGCGTAAGCCACTGCGCCCGGCCTACATTCTTTTATATATATCTAGAATTATAAATTTTAAAGCAAATAAAGAAACAATAATGAACAAATGTATTCACGGAAAAGTCATCTCACCTTCCATAAAAATACAGAACCTCCATAAATATTTCTGGTATTAGAAATTTGGTTATACAAAAGGCAATCTCCCCTTATACTCAAAGTCTGTAGATACTCAAAAGACCAGGCACTTTACAAAAATCACTGCTAATATACAAGACTTGCTGTGTAAAGGATAATTCTTGAAATATCTTCCTTTTCTGCCAGAAGGACATAACCTAAAATGTACACTAAAGTATATCATTTTGTCAATTGTAAATTTAGATTTATGTACACTAAAGTATATCATTTTGTCAATTGTAAATTTAGATTTATATTCATTTTATTTATATTCATCTAGGCACTTATTAAGATAAACACATAATTTGAGTCTAATATGCTCAGTGCAAAAACTAGTTTCATGAAAGATGCTAGAATTGTGACATAATCAGAACCAAAGCAGGGAGGGGAGATTTTGTATGGTTCTCTGCTGTCCAGAATAAAGTCTACATTCCTGTCATTGGCCCAACAGGCCTCCAACATCTGGCACCAAGCCAGGAACTATCACTTCTGATACTGACTTGAATTACACTCATCTGACATTCCATATAATATTCCATTCCTGCTTTCCTTTTCATAAGGATATGTTTTCACTCTCCAAATAGACTGCAGGATCCTTAGGAGCAGGGAAAAATATAGTGGGAAGGCCGTGAGGAAGGGAGCAGGATTGTAATGCCAGTGGGGTCACAACCAGCCTCACACAGAGGGTGTTATTTGAAAGAAGTGAGGCAGCAACACTTAAATCTAGAAGCTGAGTTGCCCACACAAAGGGAACTGTCAATATATAGTCCCTGAAAGATACATACTTACAGCAAGTTTGAGGCTAGCGGAGCTGCGCGAGGAAGGAAAGGAGTAGTGGGATTTGAGGCCAAAGAGATAACAAGAGCCAGAGTGTGGGGCCTTGCAAGGTACTGAAAGGACTTTGGGTTTTCTTTTTAGCGAAATGAGAGCCATTGGAGGGTTTTCAGCAGAAGAGTGACCTGATTTTATTCACCTTTTATTGGAAATCTGTGGGACAGAACTAGGCAATGAGGGTGCTACAATAATAAAGGTGAGTGTTGGCAGTGGCTTGACCAGAGCAGAAGTGGGAATGAAACAGTTGGATTCTGTTTGTTTTCAAAGAAGAGCTCATAGAACTTACTGATGGATTGTTATGTAGGATGTGAAAGAAAACCACAGAAATGACTCCAACTAAAACAGTAAAATGCCATTCACTAATTTCAAGATGATGAGAGAAGCTGTTTTGCAGAGATAATGAAAGAAATTCTGTTTGAAGCCTATTAAAGTTTGAAGTGCATATTAATTGGACTTTCAAGTTGAGATGTCAAGTAAGTAGCAGGGTCTCTGAGTATGGAATACAAGGCTGTGGGCTAGTGACTTAACGTCTGCAACATCAACATATAGGCAGCATCTCCATAGCAACAAACATCAGTTCAAAATAATCAGACAGATTTTCATCCTCCACGTCCATCTTCTCAGATCCATCAGGAGCCACAGAACTAAGGGAAGAAAAAAGGCAGCATCAAATACAGAGCTTTCAAGCTGAGATCCACAAATACGTTTCAGGAGGCCTGAGAACTCCTGGAATTGCAAGCAAAATATATGGGGAAAGTGGGCACATTTTGAAAAAGGTGTGAATATCTATCACTGGGTCTCCAAAGTAACCCCTTCATGGCTCTAACTTTAATAGGTTATTTGAATGAAAATTGCAATATTATTGCATACCCTTATTACCAAGGGCATTTTTCCACATTTGTAAAATAGGGATAACTTTTTCTGTTTGTTCCAAAAATTACAGAAACAGAATTACTAAATAAAGCACTTGTAAAACTGTAAGTTAGGAATCCAGATGTCGTATGTACAAAGCAAACATTCCTTACTTCCTTAACCCAGGGCCCAGTCCTTGCACTGCTTCTTCTTCATTATCAATCCTCTTTTCCTAACAGATATCATTTCACCTTCTGGCTTTTTTACCCTCATGGGAGTAAAAACTCAATCTATGTTTTCAGCCCAGACCTCTTTTCTGAAATCCAGATTTATATATCAAACTGTTTACTTTGTATCTTCCTCTTAGATATGTGTAATAAGCATCTGACACTCTCTCTGGATGTCCAAAACTAAGATATGGAATTCTTTCCAAAACTTGTTCCTTCAGTATTCTTCCCCATTTTAGCAATTGATACCTCCATTTCAGTTGCTGTCAATGAAATCACTGGAATCATCCATAAATTTTCTTTCTCTCATACTCTACACATTCAGTGACTCAGAAACGAACTATCAACCTTCTTTCAAAATAAACAAAGAATCCAACAACTTTTCACAGCCTCTACCACTAATACACTGGTCCAAGCCACTGCCATCTAAACTCCTTTATTTTAGTACCCTCCTAACTGGTCTCTGCTCCTATCCAGGTTCCATCACAGTTTATTCTTCATCAGGCATCCAGACAGCTCATTCTAAAATATAAATCAGATCAACTCAGTCCTCTGCTCAAAACCCTGAGTGGCTCCCACCTCACTAGGAATAAAAGCCAAAGTAGTTACACCGCCCATATAGGAACTGCTCGCCTCCATTTGCCTTTCAGACCTCATCTCCTTTCCTCTGCACCCTTCTCGCCTCCATTTGCCTTTCAGACCTCATCTCCATTCCTCTGCACCTCTTCTGCCCTTTTGCCCAGACACAATAACTCTCTGCTATCTCCAGGCTTTGCTACTTGGTCGTCTATTTGGAATATTCTCTCGTCTTTTTTTCTGCAACCATCGCTCTATCAGTAAAGCTTTCCATGACTCTATCATTTAAAATTATCACGTTCTCGACTGGGCGCGGTGGCTCACACCTGTAATCCCAGCACTTTGGGAGGCCGAGGTGGGCGGATCACATGAGGCAGGAATTCAGGACCAGCCTAACCCCATAAGTACTAAAAATACAAAAATTAGCTGCGTGTGGTAGCGCATGCTTGTAATCCCAGCTACTCGGGAGGCTGAGACACTAGAATTGCTTGAACCCAAGCGAGGCGGAGGTGGAATGTGCCGAGATCGCGCCACTGCACTGCAGCCTGGGCAACAGAGCAAGACCCTATCTCAAAAAAAATAACTAATTAAACATCACCTCCTCCCTCCACACGTCTTTAGCCTGTTTCAGTGATAGCACTTAGCACCATCTGATAGTTTCACTTACTTTGCGTGTGAAAGCACACCCAACAGACGCCATGCATACAGAAAATACTGTTTTGTTCACTGTCATTCACTCCTATACTTCTCAGAGCCATGAACAGTACCTGGCATACGTTATGTGCTCAATTTTTGTTGTTAAATTTATATCCTCATACAAACCAGTGCCTTAGCTCTGATAACATCGTTCTTTTCATATTAATGTACAAGTGCATATCTTTAAAAAAGATGAAACCCTAACTCCATTGATTTTCTCGATTTCAAAGTTATAACCCTACAATTTGCTTGCTGACCACAAAGAGGAAAAATCTGATTTTACAATGGAACTATCATCCTAAAGCAGCAATTGTCCTATTATCTTCAACGTAGATAAACCAGACATATGTCTCTGTATAAACTGACAAGCATATTAACCTGATTTCAACTAAGTATATAAAAGTCACTTCTGCTCAGGACAGAGTATAGAAGCCAAGTAAAATGATGCCGTAAGAAAAGCCAATCCAGGCCGGGCGCGGTGGCTCACGCCTGTAATCCCAACACTTTGGGAAGCCGAGGCGGGCGGATCACGAGCTCAAGAGATGGAGACCATTCTGGCCAACATGGTGAAACCCCACCTATACTTAAAAATACCAAAATTAGCTGGGCGTGGTGGCGCGAGCCTGTAGTCACTTGGGAGGCTAAGGCAGTAGAATCGCTTGAACTCGGGAGGCAGAAGTTCCAGTGAGCCGAGATCACGCCACTTCACTCCAGCATGGCGAAGGTGAGACTCCGCCTCAAAAAAGGAAAAAAAAAGCCAATCCAAATCTCCTACAAGTTTGGTCTCTAGCAAATCATTGTCCTGATGCCTGAATGTGTACTTTTTCAAAAGGCGATCATTGCTGGTTAAGAATTTAAGTTTTCGTGGCCGGGCGCAGTGCCTCATGCCTGTAATCCCAACACTTTTGGGAGGTCGAGGCGGGTGGATCACGAGATCAGGAGTTCGAGACCAGCCTGGCCAACATGGTGAAACCCCATCTCTACTAAAAACACAAAAATTAGGCGGGCGGCTGTAATACCAGCTATTCAGGAGGCTGAGGCAGGAGAATCGCTTGAAACTGTAAGGCGGAGGTTGCGGTGAGCCGAAATCGCGCCACTGCACTCCAGCCTGGATGAAAGAGCAAAACTCCGTCTCAACAACAACAAAATAAGTTATGGTGATGTTTCTATATTGCTCACTAAGCGGTACCCTACCTTTTAATATTTTCGTAATATTCAAAAACACATTTTAAGTCTATTGGAAACAATACTTGCAAGCTCTCAAGTGAACATTTATATTGTTACCCCACACTGCCTTTTGTAGACGAGTTTTGTCACCAAGTCAAAAGCAGCAGCGCGCACGCCGCCTGGACTTGGGTCTGCGATCCTACTCACGCAGATGTGTTGCGCTCACGGATTCGCCTTGGTTTAAGGCCCGCCGTCTGGGTGCGAGCTTTCTTTGTTTTTAGCCCTTCCCGCCATTTTGGAAAGGGTAACTTGCAGTCTCTCCGCGAAGTTTCCAACTTCTGTAGTCTTTGAGAACCTTACGAACGCTTCAAGCTTAAACTGAAGGAGGAAGGCCCACGGGAATTATAAACTGTCACAATCCAGCTTACTCACTGATATCTAGTGTTAAAATGCCACAAGAAAGCTAAACATATTCAACATACCAACTTCCCTCAAGCAGAAAACAGTGGCTTTAAGTACTTTATGCCCAAATCCTAAACATGCGAGATTAAGCACGAGTAATTAAACGTTACCTGCAAATCTACACATGTGCACAGTAACTACTTCTCAGCAAAAATCTGGAACAAAGCAGGATAACAAGATGTCTGCTCTTTTATGAAAAAAGTGGGCGGCCCTGAAAAGGGCCTTTGGTTGAAAATGAAAATAAGAGTGCAGCAAGCAGGAGCCTTAGCCACCGAAGCCGTAAAGAGTGCGTCCCTGTCGCTTCAGCGCGTAGACCACATCCATTGCTGTCACGGTCTTGCGTTTGGCGTGCTCTGTGTAAGTGACAGCGTCACGAATCACGTTCTCCAGGAACACCTTCAGAACACCACGAGTCTCCTCATAGATAAGGCCAGAAATTCGCTTGACACCGCCGCGACGAGCAAGGCGCCGGATAGCTGGCTTAGTGATGCCCTGGATGTTATCGCGCAAAACCTTGCGATGACGCTTAGCTCCTCCCTTACCCAAACCTTTTCCACCTTTACCACGGCCAGACATGACTAAGCAACTTCTAAAACCAACTTAAGAAACCTAAACGCCAAGGCAAAGCAACGCCCTTATATGCCGGGAATTCGGACCTAATTGAAGACTGAAAGCGCGCATACCGGAACTTTGGTCCTGCTTCTTGGCCCCACCCCGCATAGCCCAGCCCTGGATGACGTCACCAACGACTCCAGCCTTTGGCATCTGAGCGCCGGCTCCGCGGAGGCGTCTCTTGCAATTGCTGGGAAATAGGAATGAGAGTTTTAAGGCTGTTTTAACAACCAAATCAGATTAAATAAATTAACATGTTTAAATTGTTATCAATTGTTCCTTCAGTTGCTTTAGGACGATTGGAGAGGAGCCTCGGTCCACAAGACCGGAAGCCTGAGGAGTGCAGCTTTGTCCCCAAGGTCACAGTGACTGGCTTTCTGCTGCCGGCTGTAAAGCACATGCGGACCGAAACCCCCCTTCGGAAGTGTTTGAAAACTGCAAGATTTCACCCTCTCCATCACCAAGCCAAGGGAAACATAACCAAAAGGGTTTTCTTCCCGATGGCGAAGGCATGATAGGTTAGTGATTCGTGGTAGAATTATTGCCCTCCGCGCGGAGGCCTGATTCTATTCCCAGTTTGTTCTCTTCTTTCCCTGCTTATTAAAATTTGTAATTGCCATTTAAATATCTAACTGCCCCTCACAACTGCACCCAGTGTGTAGGTTTCGGGGTGGGGGTTTTTTTTTTTCCTTTTTTTAATTTTATTGAGACAGGGTCTCGCTATGTTGCCTGCCTGGGTCTTCCAAAGTGCAGTGACTACAGGCGTGAGCTACCGCGCCTAGCCCACCAGTGTATTGATATTTATTTTTCTATCCCTAGTTTTGTTTTCTGTTTGATTCTGGTGATTCCTTTTTCCAAAGTGAGTTGGCAACCTGTGGTAGCCAAAGAAGTAGGCAACTGCTCGTAGGTTTTTTCTTAAATTACGAGGTAGTCTGAACGCATCTCCTGTAAGTAGTTAAGAGTACTGTGAGACCGTGTGCCTGGCAGAACAGCAGAGTGGCGCAGCGGAAGCGTGCTGGGCCCATAACCCAGAGGTCGATGGATCGAAACCATCCTCTGCTAGGTCCTTTTTTTTTCTCCCCCCCCGTCTATTTTCCTGAGGATCCCTTTTTTTTAAGTTACAGTTTTTTAGGTTAAACAATGACGAAAGAAAACAAAATGAACCCGAGTATTTCTTTAATTCCAGAATTACAAGCATTTCCGGGAAATAATGTGAAACTACAATCTCTGCATGTACAATTTTGATTTTCATGGACACCCAAGTGTCATTAATCAATATGTCATCTGTAAACAAAGCAAATTTCTCTTGTTTAGAGGCTATACCACTGTTGCAGCCAGTTATGACAGTTGTAAGTTAACCTGCCAAGCAAGGAGAATGCTTACATAAACTGAGTGCCAAGGGTGGGGTGGGGTGGGAGCCCAGGAATGGAGTTTTATATCTTTTGATACATAATTCAGAAAGCACTATTTGCCAAGTAGTTAAGGCAATCGACTAGGAATTCCTAAATCCCCACACAGATTCTTTTCACCTACAAGGATCTTAATCTCGGAAAATGAGTTGCATTTTGAGGTGGGTGTGGAGTCTTCATAGCACTGATTGAACTCTGACCTGAGAAAAACATTTTTGCGGACCCTACTGGTAAATGTGTCTCTACTCTCTACCATCCTTTAATATCTCAAATAGAACTATTCGCTGTGCTTATTTTTTAAACATATGTGTGGACTGCTTTATGCTTCTCTCTCTCAGAAAGGATTCCTATTCAGATATTTATGTGTCACATACTGTATTAGGAACTAAGAAAAAAAAAAAACCTTAAGTAGTCTACAGTCTAGATATGCTTTTGTTGTTTTTGTTTTTTGTTTTTTGTTTGTTTATTTGTTTTTGAGATGAAGTCTCACTCTTGTTGCCCAGGCTGGAGTGCAGTGGCACGATCTTGGCTCATTGCAACCTCCACCTCCTGGGCTCAAGAGATTCTCCTGCCTCAGCCTCCCAAGTAGCTGGGATTACAGGTGCCTGCCATCACACTCAGCTAATTTTTGTATTTTTAATAAAGGCAGGGTTTTACCATGTTGGCCAAGCTAGTCTTGAACTCCTAACCTCAGGCAATCCGCCAGCCTTGGCCTCCCAAACTGCTGGGATTACAGGCTTAAGCCAACGCACCTGGCCCATATGCTTTTAAACAAGTAAATATGTAGAGTGCAATACAGTAATTCTGTGAAAGGATTGTACACTAAGTGCACTGGGAATAAGGAAAATAGTGCTTGTAATCCCATGACCACCCACTAATTCAGTAATTCACCAGAAGTAATCACATGACTCAGCATACTCTCAGTTAAGATTTATTATATCTATTGACCATTTTTTGTTTGGGTTAAAGAACATGTTTTAAAAATAAAAACAAAAAAGATTCATTACAGCACAGGATACAATGCAAGAAAAGCAGAAAAAATATGTATATACACAGGTAAATGTGGCTGTTACTATAGGACTGAATGAAGGAGGATGAACACAGAAATGAAGACAAAGACAAAAGGATTTGTTTAAAAGAAGGGGTCAAGGGGCTCCTAGCTTCTAGAGAACAAGGGCCCTGAGCTTCTACAGCCCTTCGTATTTATTAGGTAGAGTGAACAAGGAGGAAGGGGTAACTGTCGGTCAGCTACTGGATTTATCACAGGCTGACGATTGCTTTCTTTGTTCAACAGACTCTAGATATTCCTATAGATAACCTTAAGGAACACGGTGCCTGGGACGTGATTGCTCTCAGCATTCCTTCTAGTGGCAGATGCACTTGTCAGTTTGCCAGCATGCTGCTTTCATGAGAACAGTTTGCTGTTTGCTCATATACCCTCCAGTGGTATATTGAGTTGGTCACGTCCCTCATTCCTTTGGCCTCCAACATCTCCCCCTTTTTGTTTTTGCATTAATTGAATAAAGGCAATTCCAGACTGCAGCTTTCAATTGCCAGTTGGTGGTCCAGCCGATTTTACAGACCATAAACAGAAAACAGAGACACAATAACATTATTCCTATAATTATAAAAGAGACATTGAGGTGCTGTTTAAAGTAGATCCAAGGGTTAAGCTTCTCTAAACCTTGCTGGAATTAGCTCCAAGCTTCTAAAGAGGGCTGATACTCTTAAGTTTGCCTATTCAGATCAAGAATTTTACTCTGTAAATCATTAATATCAAAAGTAACATTGGATGTAAAAGCCCCCTGCAAATGGGCCTTTACAAGTCTCCATGGATATTCACTTTGATTATATTACACAAATTAGTTACACAAATATAAGTATGGTTAAAATGACAATGCAATTGCTGCTGCAACTGCAAACATTGTATTTGTTCTCCTAGCCACAGGACAGTAGTCTTTAACATTGCCACCTCTGTTTGTATTTTGGTGTTAATTTTATTTTGAAGCATCCGTGCCTGGTTGGCCATATGCGTCCAATTTTTCACATATTCAGCTGTTTGAATAGAGCTGTGCAGTGCTACTGAGGACACTACAATAGAGGTTATTAGTGTAACTAGGGAGACTGTACCAAAAATTACCATGCCTAAGGCTCTACAAGCACAGTGAGTGAGCTGAGTAAGAAGGAGTTGTACAAAATATAAAGCCGGGATAGCCACCCAAGGCTCAAACAAATTGACAGGAATCCATAATCTGGGAATGCAACCCGGAATTATTAAGGTGGATATGTTGTGTGTTTGTATCGTGCTATGATTTATGCAGTGATACAGTTGACAGGAGTCACAAGTCAAATGGGAGACGTTTACCTGGAGTTGGTCCTTTTTAGCCGCCAGAAAGATACAGGGATTAAAAACACAAATTGTAAATTGAGTGATAATATTTCTTACAAAGGTAACATTAAAACTGTGTTGAGTCCTATTACTATTATTGGATAGTGTCCTGACCCAGATGCTGCCATTCATAAATGGGAGTGCTAACTTCCATATCGACTGCTGAATTGGGCCCCTCTTTCCTTGATGACGCCGCTGAGGCAAAGGCGGACTAAAGCCTGTTCCGTGCCAAGCCAGTTGCGTGGCAGATTAGGATTGAATCCCAATGCGATATAGCGAAGAAATGTTAAATGTTCACCACCAGTGGCAGCGAAGTTTGTTCCATGAGGTCTGATTCTCATCTCTCCCAAATGACCACAGGGACCCCAGTCAATAATGTCTCCCATTAACATAGACTTGTCTAGCTAAGGGGTCAAGACACTGGATCCAAGGAGGGGGGTGAGAATTATTGAAGGGAGCCCATTCTGTATAATCAATACAATTTGGACGATGGGGCTGGGAGAGATTAGTAAATCCACCAGTAATATTATTAGAGCTAAGGCCTAATAGGTACATAATGTTTCCATGGTGACTCAACCATGCCTGGGATTGGACTGCAAGGCAACTGCCATTGAGCGATGTATCCTTGGTGATGCATAAAGGGAGTCCCTCCAATGGGGCAGTGTAATTGATACTATTGTTCTGACAGTCTAATAGTTCTGTGTCAGGGGGAGTTAGGGGTCCTGGGGTCCATGCTCCCTGATCACGATATACCTCAGGAGGAGTGTCACTCCAGAGTACAGGTCGCACTACTCAGGGGTTAGGAACATATGCCCGACATGTTTTTGCTTCTACACAGGGGAAACATACCACACAGGACACTACAGCTAGTATGGCCAAGAACATTGATTCAGGGGTTTTTGCCTGACCCTGGCACTCCAGCATTTTCTCAGCTTCCTGCATGGTTTTCTTGATCTGTCCCCATGTTATGAGGGTGGATGTCAATGTGACTCCAGTCGGCCCTTGTTCCATCTTTGCATTCAGATTCAACTGGCCTATGGCTTGTACTGGGGGAACCGGGCCCATGGTTGCGATCCACGGATCCCTCCAGTCTCCCGTTCCATGGTTGCACGTACCTGGAGGGCACCTACACAGTTTGTCCATCTCCTGTAAAAACACAAGCATACCCTCATCCCCACATCAGCAAATCCACTGGGCCTTTCCTTTGTCCTTCTTCTGGGGATTTCCATAACACCTTTGGATAAACTTGCCTCTTTCCCTCTAACACTTGCCAATGTTGTTCTGCTAGAGTCTTACCATCCATACCAGGCATCAAAAAATTTAAAGTAAACAAGACTAAATGTAATTTTGTTTAAGGTGGTAGCTGGTCTCCTATTCCCCCTTTTTTTCTCAACATACGCTGTAGTGTTTGATGTGCCCGCTCTATAATGCCTTGTCCTTGGGGATTGTAAGGAATTCCTGTTTTATGAATGATTGCCCATAACTGTAAAAAATTTTGAAAAGCATGACTAACATAAGCAGGTCCATTGTCAGTTTTTAATTGTTTAGAGACCCCCATATGGGCAAATGACGACAAACAATGCCATTGGACATGGCCAGCAGTTTCCCCTGTTTGACATGTGGCATGTAACATATTGGAGTAGGTGTCTATAGTCACATGAACATAGCTAAGTTTGCCAAAGGCTGCTGTATGTGCAACATCCATCTGCCAGATTTCATTTGGAGCCAAGCCTCGTGGGTCGCATCCTTCCACGGGTGCAACACCAGGGACATGCTGACAAGTGGAGCAGGCTTGCACAATAGCTTGAGCTTGACTGCAAGGCAGATGAAACATATGAGTAAGGGCAGAGGTGTTTTGATGCAGTAATGCATGGGAAGCTTGGGCTTGTTGGAATACAGAACCAATTAATTTATCTGCTTTATCATTACCTTGAGATAGTGGTCCAGGAAGTTGCGTATGAGAGCGAATAGGAGCAGCACAAGAGAGAATAGCTTGCTGAAGTCTTAGAAACAAATTAAGCAGCTCTGGTTCTAGGGTGCCCTTAATAGTGGCAGTCTCAATGCAACTAGCTGCATTTACAACATAGGCTGAATCACAAACAATATTAATAGGAGATAAAGCCGTGAGCTCTAAAACCTGAATAACTGCGATTAACTCTGAGCATTGAGCTGAAACTCCAGAGATCTTTATTGTTTGAGTATGTTTAGTTGCATAAATAGCTGTGCGGCCTTTGTAAGAGCCATTGGTAAAATATGTCTTTCCACCTGGAATGGGCTTGTGATGGGTAATTACAGGGAGGATAAAAGGGTGAACTTTATAAAATTGCAAAATCTTGTCTGATGGATAATGGTTATCTATTATTCCCACAAAATCTGCAAAAGCAATTTGCCATGCAGTCGACATTTCCCATGCTGCGGCCTGTTGTTGGGAATCCAAGGGAACAATAATTTTATCAGGATCATATCCCGTAAGCATTTTTTACCTGTGCCTACCTATTGTTATAAGTTGAGTAATTAAAGAAAGATAAACTTGCAAAGATTTCACTGTCAGATTGAATAAAAAAAAAAAAAGCCTTTATATTACCATTACAGATTTGTCTATGAATTGGCCTAAAAATCCTGATGGAGAATGGGGGGTAGGAAGAATAAACAAAAGCAAAGGCTTTTGTGGCTGTAGCCGGGAGGCATGTTGTTGCTGAAGGATCTGTTCTACACGCTGTCACTCAGCTTCTGCCTCGTTAGTAAGTTGCCGAGGAGAATCTAATGAAGAATCTCTTTGGAGGGTTTGATAAAGGTGTGTGAGTTGGTAGATGGCAATACCTAGCATCAGGCACAGCCAATTGATATCCCCTAATAATTGTTGGAAGTCATTCAGAGTTTGTACCCTCTCCCTACAGAGAGTTACTTTCTGAGGCCGAACACTTCTTCCAGTAACAATAGTACCTAAGTACTGGTATGGGGAGGTTGTTTGCACCTTTTCAGGAGCTATTTTGAGATTCCATGCAGTCAAGACTCATTTTATTTCCCTGAATAACTGATGTAACATTTGATCTGTAGGAGCGGCCAAAAGAATATCATCCATATAATGAATGATGTAGGCATTGGGAAATATATTGCGAGGCTCCTTTAAAGCTTTTCCTACAAAATGCTGACATAACATAGGACTGTTGAGCATGCCTTGGGCTAAAACTTTCCACTGAGAGCGAGAGACAGGCTCTCTTTGATTAATAGAAGGCACAGAGAAGGCAAATTGAGGCTTATCCTTTTTGTGTAATGGTATATTAAAAAAAAAACTCTTTAAGACCTATTACTACAAGAGTCCAATCTCTTGGAATGGCTGCTGAGGATGACAGACCTTGCTGTAATGCACCCACTGGTTTAATCTGTGCATTTAATAGCTCTCAAATCATGTAGCAGTTGCCATTTTCCTGACATTTTTGGATCACAAATACAGGTGAATTCCAGGGGCTGACTATTCTGTATGTTCTGCTTCCAGTTGCTCTCTCACTAGCTGATGGAGTTGCATCAGTTTCTCCTGTGATAGGGGCCATTGATCCACCCACACAGGTTTGTCAGTCAGCCACTCTAGCGGCAAAGCAGTGGGTGGAGGAGAAATACCAATGACCCCCACCAAAAATCCTGATGACCTAGCCCTTTTCTGTTTTGTCCAGTTATTGATATTGGATCAGGGTTTCCCTGCAGGGGCTTTCCTAAGCCTTTTCCACTCTGAATCCCATTTTCTTTAACATTTTAAATCCTGGATTATCAATAGTTTCCTTTTTAAGTCTCATGTCCCATGCTGTCAGTAAATCTCGGCCCCATAGATTAACAGCTATATTTGCAACATAAGGTTGAAAAGTACATGACTGTCCATGTGGTCTGAGACAGGATAAAATCTCAGCACTCCACTGAACACTTTGAGCTTTCCTAGTCCCACTAAGGATGTAGAAGTTAATTGCAGGGGTCAAGATGGTGGGCCAATAGTGTTTGGATATTACTAACACATCAGCTCCCGTATCCATAAGCCCATAGAACTTCTTTCCTTTAATTTGCACTGTACAGGTGGGTCGATTAAATGCTATGGGTTGTGATAGATAAATTTACCGCCTAGTTGTACTTCCAAATCCTTGATTCCCTCGTTTTTCCTTTCATGGGGAAGGGTGCAACTTGCAGGGAATAAGCAATAGTTGAGCAGTATATTCTCCCAGTTCAAAAACCCAAAGATCTTGTGACATTACTACTACTTGAATTTCTCCTTCATAATCACAGTGAACAACTCCGGGGACCATGGTAATGCCCTGTAAGTTAAGACGGCTTTTGCCCAAAATTAATCCCATATATCCTGTTGGCAAAGGTCCCCAAATACCAGTGGGAATCTTCGTGGGTTTGTCTCCTCCAACAAATGTAACCCGTTCTCTGACTGGAAGATCTAATCCTGTGCTTCTGGGTGTTCCTGGGGAGAGGGAATCAATGTTCTTCTGGGAACCCATCCCTGAAATGGGGCTGTGGCCTGGATGGGGAATGCCCTCATTGTTTGAGGGGCCCGGATCCAGGCCCCCTTCTCGTTTCCCGACAGGGGGGTGCTATTCTGATGAAATTTTGAGCGGCATTGATTAACCCAATGATTTCCTTTATTACAACGAGTGAAAAGTCCTGGCATTTTTTCTGTCTGGGGGAACTGCATTATAAGATCCTCTCTGCCCAGAGGTCTGATGGCATTCTTTTTTGAAATGTCCAATTTTTCCACAATTATAACATTTTCCTACTTTAGGGCTTGACCCTTGGCCCTTTCTAGATTTGTTACTACTAAATTAGCCATTGCTTGAGCCAACATTGTAGAATGATGGAGTTCAGTTCCCACATCCTGACAGGCTTTGAGAAATTTTCCTAAGATCTTTGCAGACCTCACAGGTGCCAGAGCACGTTTACAATCTGCACTTGCATTTTCAAAAGCTAGAGTCAAAGTAAGCATTTCTGCAGCAGCGGTATGAGGAATCTGATGCCTCACTGCCTCTTGTAATTGTACAACAAAATGTGCATAGGACTCCTGCGACCCTTGCATAACTTGTAGAAAAGATTGTACTGGGACTCCTTGCTCTGGAATGGTGTCCCAGGCGCGTTTAGCAGCCAAGGCAGACTGCTTGTAAGCAGTGCCTGGGAGTGTCAATTGTCGCAGCAGATCTGAATAAGGGCCATTACCCAGTTGCATATCCTCTGTAATGTCCCCGTGTCCAGCAGCACGATTCTGTCTAGTCTGGTCTGCACACAGTTCTAGCCAGTTTAAATTCCATGTCAGATATGCACTACCAGACAAACAAGTGTGAGCCAAATGCTTTATATCAAAGGCTGGAAGGCACATAGCACCGAGTACAGATTCTAGCAATCCTAAAGTAAATGGGCTCTGTATTCCATTATTAACTACACTAGCTTTTAATTCCTTCAACAACTTAAACTCTACCGGGGTGTGTTCATAAGTAAACTGCTGTGGATTATTCAGATTGGGCCTTACGGAAATAGGAAAAGCGCAAGGTCCTAGGGGCTCTCCAGCTATGGCAGCAGCGCAGAGAATTCTTTGTGTTGGGGTCTCTTTCTGCTACTGAAGGAGGCGGTATAGATGTTTCTGCTATTGGGGGGATGGTACAGGCCAATTTTCGTCCTTTCCTGTTTATCATTTTCTTTTCTTTTCTTTTTTTTTTTTTTTTGAGACAGAGTCTCGCTCTGTCACCCAGGTTGGAGTGCAGTGGCACGATCTCAGCTCACTGCAAGCTCCGCCTCCCGGGTTCACGCCATTCTCCTGCCTCAGCCTCCCAAGTAGCTGGGACTACAGGCACCCACCACCACGCCTGGCTAATTTCCTTGCATTTTTAGTAGAGATGGGGTTTCACTGTGTTAGCCAGGATGGTCTCAAATCTCCTGACCTCACGATGCGCCCACCTCGGCCTCCCAAAGTACTGGGATTACAGGCGTGAGCCACTGTGCCTGGCCTCCTGTTTATCATTTTCAATGCATGCTGTGGGTGAGACAAAAGATTCTTTCAATTTTTGAGATTCAGAACATGGCTCCTGTGGTCCAGCAGAATAAGAAGGGGACAATGGCAGAAGGACAGTACAGACTAAACCCCAGAGAAAACAGAAGGATCAACTTTGAGACCTTTTTGATGAGCCCGTTTTAATCTGTCTCCTACTGGGTCCCAATTTTCCACATTGAGGGTGCCTGTCTGTGGAAACCATGGGTTATGCATAATAAACTCCTGCAGAAGCTTAGTTAGTGTTTGAGAGCTAACCTGAGCATTAAGCAACTGCACATAATGTTGCTCCTCCATAGACAAATTCTGCCCCATGTTACCCTGATTCAGAAACTTCCCGCTCCCAGTACCTCCTCAGGGCACTGACTTTATATCCTCCTCTGGCTGACTCGTCCTGGGGTTCCTCGTTCATCTGATCAGTTTCACTTTCTCTGCTCCAGCAGACCTTCTTCATTCAAGTCTCTGTTTGGGTGCCATTGTGGCTGTTACTGTAGGACTAAACGAAGGAGGACAAATGCAGAAATGAAGACAAAGACAAAAGAATTTGTTTAAAAGAAGGGGTCAGAGGGCTCCTTGCTTCTAGAGAACAAGGGCCCTGAGCTTCTACAGCCCTTCATATTTATTACGTGGAGTGAACAGGGAGGAAGGGGTAACTGTTGGTCAGCTACTTGATTTATCACAGGCTCACATGATTGCTTTCTTTGTTCAACAGACTCCAGATGTTCCTATAGATAACCTTAAGGAACACGGTGCCTGGGACGTGGTTGCCCTCAGCATTCCTTCTGGTGACAGATGCAGTTGTCAGTTTGCCAACATCCTGCTTTCATGAGAACAGTTTGCTGTTTGCTCATATACCCTCCAGTGGTATATTGAGTTGGTCACGTCCCTCATTCCTTTGGCCTCCAACAGGTGAAGGCTAAAGAAGGCTTTCTCATCCAACGTCTTCACTGAGGATAGGAAAGCCCTTTCTCTCCAATTGTGAACTGCACGCATGTGTGTAAGCTATGCTTGCATAGCAAAGTCCACTTGGGCATTAGAGTCAAAGTTGTTAAGGGGAGCTAGTCATAGCTACCACGTGGCCAGGCATGTGGAACCAGACACCAGGCACACATCATGAATCATCATATTTACTTTAAATAATGCTGACAACCTAGTTCATAGTGACACACTACTTGAGATATATAGAATAACATTATTACCCAGTAAGTATGTGAACATTCCGATATTTTAGTAAGGGTCATCACCATGGCACTTATCTACAGAGATAAATGAAAACTAAAACAGGGTTGCTGCATTAATTTTGCCCTGGCAATTGTCTGATTCTGAAATGGTGGCAGGTTTTGAGCCAAAACTTGAATGAGTAAGAACTTGCCATATAGCCGAGAAGAGCACTCTAGCAAAAAGAAATAAATATAAGGAAGCATAATAGTTAAAGGTTTTTAAGGAACTACAAATAATTCAGTGTGATGAAGTATGGAGGTGAGGTCATGTGAGGGAGAGGGATTTGGAGAGAAAAGTGGCTGTGTTCCGATCACCTCCTGTGCACCTGTTGAAAGACAATAAATTCTCCTGCCCTAAATAGTAAGAAGGCTGGACACATGACCTCAACACTGAATAAATGAGACTGGCAGAAATTTATTAGTCATATGTACTCACAGCCTGGAAAAAAGAGGGCACTGCATACCGTGCAAGGCCACAGAAGGTTTGCACTCAGGAACAGAATGAACCATTAGGGGCTGTGAGAGGTAGGCTTTGTAGTCATCAGAGGGTTGGGTGACTCCTGGTTCCCTCCAGAGAATGTAGTTGGCTTGCTTTAACAGTTTTAGGGACTGGCAGTGAGACGAAACCCATTAGGTTGAGGCCTGAGTGAGATGCAGCTGGTCTGTCAGATAAGGGAACTGGACAAGTAGGGAACCTTTCCTGCTTGTGGGAGTCATAGCTATCAAGACAGGGGAATTTGTGGATAAGCATTTTTGGGGAGCTCTGTGAGGGTCAAAAATCTCAAGGCAGCAGTTGAAATTTTAGGTCTTACAATACCTAAAATTGGTTTGGAGTTATGGCAGAACAAAAAGGGAAAGAACAGGTCATAAGGGCGTGAGTATACAAGGCAAACACTTGGATTTTATTTTTCAGTGGGCAATAGGAAACCACTGACCAATTGTGAGCAAAGAATATTATTCCAGTTCTCTTCTGAGAAAAAAAAGTCTCTGTCCCATTCCAGGAGGTGCAGCAATCAATCAATCAATCAATAAGGGGGGAAATAAAGGAAAAAAGTCTTTAGAGTTTTCATGTTTATGATCTGGTCCTTGATTGGTTTATTTTTCAGCAAGTCACTTCTTTTCTAACTTGGGAAAGGGAAAGTTTGGGACTGTATATATTTATTTAAATCTGACCACTCCACACTAGTCATCTCCACTTGAATGTTCAATACACAACTTGAAGTAAATGCTGAAACAGATTCTAGATCCCCACCACACACATACACACTCCACTCTCAAAATGCTCTTTCTGAAGTCATTCCTGTCTCAGTAAATGCAAACTGTGTTGTTACAGCAAAAGAAACTGGAGATATATATGACTTTTCTATTTATTTCACACCAATTTAATCACAAACCCTTTAAAACATACCCAGAATTCAACCACTCCTTGATACTTCTACAAACACTACCCATAATGGTTTATGGGTCATCCAGATATTATAATAGCCTTTCAATCAATCTTCTCCAGGAAGGAGAAAGAGAGAGCAACAAAGATTTTTGCAGAATAGAAGAATATTGTTAAATAATTATCACATTGGCCGGGCGTGGTGGCTCACGCCTGTAATCCCAGTACTTTGAGAGGTCAAGGTGGGAGGATCAGCTCAGGTCAGGAGTTCGAGACCAACCTGGCCAACATAGTGAAACCCCGTCTCTACTAAAAATACAAAAATTAGCCAGGCATTGGTGGTGGGCGCCTGTAATCCCAGCTACTTGGGAGGCTGAGGCAGGAGAATCGCTTGAACCTGGAAGGCAGAGGTTTCGGTGAGCTGAGATGGTGCCACTGCACTCCAGCCTAGGCCACAGAGTGAGACTCTGTCTCAAAAATAATAATAATAATAATAATAATAATAATAATAATTCTCACATTGAAGATGATTGCAGAATTCGAAAATAAATGAGAAATTCGGCATATTTTTATTGAGCTCCTACTATTTGTCAGATGTTATTCTATGGATAGGGAAAGAAAGACTATGTAAAAGGCCCAATTTCTATGCACCAGAAGCCGCTATATTTGCTAACCAAGAGAAACCAAGACTTATCACAAATGAGCCAGGAGAGCCATTATTCCCAGTATCTGGGGTTTAGGAAAATTAAGGAAATGTCTTATATGTAGGCTGTTGACATTATCTTCAAATGAAGTACTTGACTTCACAGAGATTCACTGACAGGCTTGAAAGAAGCCACACAAAATAGAACTTTATATGCCATGATGGGGCCAAGAGCGCTACGGAACATTATAAATTCTATAAATATCTTCTCCATAGTATGATGCTAATGCATTACATTTTCGTGTTGATTCATCTATTAAATGTAAAAATTGTTAATAATAAAAATTTTTGCATTTCTATTTCGTGTTCCTTCACTTCTTAATATATGGGAACCTCAAAAACTGGTAATGGCTCTAGTCCGCTCGGCACTCCTGAGAAACCCCAAGGAAAGTATTTTCTTTCCTTTCTAAACAGAACCATACCACGAAAAGTGCTCTGATATCACATTATCACAATCAGAGAAAGTACCAGAACAGCATGGAGAGGGGGTAATTGTCTCCGGGGTCTGCAGATATCCATGCAGGATGGCGAGAAAGACCACGGTACAGATGTTGCCTTGTGGTAAAACTGCCTTCCAGGTACAGTTTTCTTAACAACTATCTGGGCAGACCCTGCAAGAACCTAGTCTGTAAATGGTGAATGTGGATGAGCATCATAGGGAAGAAACCTTGAGTAAGCTTATTTTAACATATCCTTCGATGCAGACAATATGCAGAATTTTAGCATCTTTTAGATGCCATAAACTCCGCTTCTTCTGCCTTGGGAGTCAGAACAAACGACTTTTCTCTCCAAGGAGTAGTTATATTACCACAAGACTAAAATAATTGTCGATACCAACCGTTTATAAATCCCGATTCTGTGGCCCCAAATATCCCACCTAATCTAAAGTTTTCATTTTCTCATTGGCGAAAACACGGGCGCTGTAGATGCCAACACGGGGGGTTGGAGGGGGCGGGTGGGGGGAAGCTCGTTTTATTTTCTAAGTATTGCAGCAACAACGGAACTGCGGGGGACCACGTGGCCTAATGGATAAGGCGTCTGACTTCGGATCAGAAGATTGAGGGTTCGAATCCCTTCGTGGTTAAGTGGGGTTCGTTTTCGGGCATGAAAATTTTATTACCCATTTCATTCCAAGAAAAAAATAAATCATACACTCTCTGGGTTTTCTGAATCCTTTTTTTCTTCCATCTCCTCTCCTTTAAAGGGAAGAAGGAGACATTCTCAAAGGCCTTAGGAGAACAAGTGACAGAGTGAAGAAAGACTGGAAAGTCAAAACTGAAATACAGCCATCTACTACTTTGGAGCTGTCAGGTTCTCCCCAAGTTTGGATTTTAAGCACCTGCGTTTCGGTTTTGTAGGCTTAGATTCAATTCAAGGATTCAATTCCTTGAAAAAAAGAAATTCAGATCTATAAGCCAAGCTGTCTCAAACTGTAGCGTCTCAGACTAATGCCAGGCCCCAGTGGCTAGCACAGTAGGAAACCTGTTGCTTCTTCTGATTTAGCACTAGGCCAAAAACTCTTCACATTTCTTTTTTAGTCTACATCCGCGTGTACCAAGGAGTTTTGGCAGCTGCTGAAGCCTATGTTACTAGTTCTTACTCTCCATTTTAACTTTTTTGTTGTGGGTGTGTTGCCATCAAAAGGATGAGAATACCTAATATTGAATTTTATATTGCAAAGCAAAAATATAAAGGTAATTAAAATAGTCCAACTGGTTACAGTGTGTGTGTGCAAACAGGAAAAGACAGGGAACACAGCTGTGCAAAATATATAAAAAACATTTTGTATTCCTAAATAACATTTTGTGTGCCTGAATTTAATAATAATTTAGGATTAAGGAAAAGTAATTTCCAATTGCTGACATCATGATGAAACATAAGACATTTGACTCCATCCAGATGAGATCATTGATTCAAATCACATGGAGTCCATAAGTGTGTTTCTAGATCAAAGCAAAGAATATTAAAATTAGTAATAATTACCTCTCCCTGTCCCCAGCTTCTTCCATAGCTCTGTTTGATTCTGGTTTCCTCTAGTCATCTGTAGATTCCAAGTTGTATAAAAAATGTGGGGATTGAGCATTGGTTTCCAGACTTTGAAATTTATTGGATTAGAAAGTGTCAATGTCCTAATGTCATGCAAAACCATGTTCTGCCTTGTTAATGGCAAAACCCACCATTTGCACTGAGCATCCTTTTATAAACTAGAAAAAGGATATAACCTCAAAAGAAGAGTAACCTTTTAAAATGAATACAGTGATACTTGAGAATTACATAGCCCACCTTTTTTCTTGATTCTAAGAACAGGAAAAAGCTTCCTCCTCTCTCTCTGATCAGTATGTAACCCTGTGTACCAGAGGATGAACAAGACTTTTTCCAGGGGCCCCACAGCCTCCCTCAAGCATTTAATGAAAGTGGAAATTCTGATGCAAGAATATAAAAATTTGCCTGTCATAACCCTTTCTCTCTTCTTTTTCTTTCTTTCTCTACTGCACTGATAGCAAAGAATGCCAAAAGGAGGAGAGAGACTTTCCAGACTGGGAAGTGCCAAAAGGGAGAAAACTGAAAAAGATAGGGAAATCTGTGGACATCCTGAGTCTTAAATGGTCACCGTGATTTAGGAACTTGTCCCAAATCCACCAAATAAAAATATATGCACCCTTTGATGAATGTGTAAGCCTTTCTGCTTTGAGAGTGGGATTCAGAAAATAAATAAATAAATAACATGAAAAACATCTTTTGGAGCTGGATTAAAAAAAAGCAACTGGAAGAAAATAAATCAAGAAGAAAGATTTCTAGATGTGTATCACAAACACTGGGAGTTGGGTCCAGTTGCACAGGGGATTAAGAGATTCATGAATTTAATAGAGTAGCCCCCCTTATTTACAGGAGTTATGTTCCAAGACCCCAGTGGATGCCTGAAACCTTGGATAGTGCTGAACTCTATATACACCATGTTTTTTCCTATACATACACACATATGATAAAGTTTAATTTATAAATTAGGCATTTTAAGAGATTAACAACAATAACTAATAAAACAATTATAACAATCTACATACAGTAATAAAAGTTATATGAATGTGATCTCTCTGTCTCTCAAAATACTTTATTGTACATTACTCACCTATTTTCAGACCTCAGTTGACTATGGGTAACTGAAACCACACAAAGTGAAACCTCAGATAGAAAGGGGACTACTGTAAATGTTTATGGAGCACCTACCCTGTGCCTGCTTCTCTCCCCAGCCACTGTGCTAGGTACTGGGATTCTAGAATATAGGATCTAGCAATCTAGGAACACAGTAACAAAAGTACACAAAAACCCATGTCCTCAAGAGGTTTGGAGTTGAAGGAAGAGAGGAGGAGACAACACAGAAAACACAAAATGAATAAGTAGATTATATAAGTAAATTATACTTTATATTAGAAGAGATATATTCTGAAGGAGTTAAAAACTATGCCCCTCTGGCATAGTGACTATTTTGAGTTAAAGGCACTTGAAAAATAGCAGATGCAAGAATATCACTCTGACTCTCATTCTGTTTCTTAAAAGCAGAATATTAAATTCCTCTGTGAAATAAGTCCTCCCTAAACTAGAATGACAGTATCATTCATTCTAGTTTCTAAGGTAACTGAGGCTGAGGGAAATCTGTGTAAACAAATCTTGTTAAATGAGAATTTATCCTCTCAGCCACTTCTCTACCCAAGTAACTACCCAAGCCCAAGCCCCTTTGCCTTGTTACATTTACATAGTTTACCACTTTCTGTCTAATTCAGCATGTAAGTGTTCCACTCTCACTGCACTGTAGTATCTTCATTTTCCAATGAAGCCTCTTGTGCCACAGAAAACTATTAAATGAATTTGTATGGTCTTTTTGTATTAATCTGCCTTACATCAATTTAATTCTCAGGTTCAGCTGGAGAAATTGTAGTAAGAATAGAGGTAAAATTTTGCCTCCACTACAGTTCAAAAACATAAAGATTATATTATATATTTTTAAGACATAGGGTCTCACTTTGTCACCCAGGCTGGAATGCAGTGGTGTAATCATGGCTCACTGCAGCCTCAACCACCAATCCTCCTGCCTCAGCCTCCCAAGTAACTAGAACTACAGGTGTGTGCCACCACATCTAGCTGATTTATTTTTTGTAGAGACAGGGTCTCGCTATGTTGCTCAGGCTTATCTTGAACTCTTGGCCTCAAGCAATCCTCCTGCCTCAATTCCCAAAGTACTGGGTTACAGATGTGAGCCACCATGCCCAGCCAAAACCATAAAGATTTTTATTATGACTTGCAAGGAGCAAAGACTATGTGTTTCAGTCAGCTATTGCTCCATTAAAACACACACACACACACACACACACACACAAATGCTTAAAAACATACAATAAGCATCTGTGTGTGTCAGTTGAAGGTCAATAGTTCTAGGCCAAATTATATGAATGGCTGTACCTTAAGATGTAAGTACACTTCAGCTTACCTGCTTTGCGCTTCACAGTAGGAACTCTAGTTAGTTCAAAGCATGTTCTTTCTGGGGCCAAGGGTGAAAAGACAGCAGCTACCCAAGGGAAAATTTTTCTCATGAAGATGGCAGAGGTGCATATGGACACCCAACTATGCAGGCATATTCAAAGGCCCTAATTGACTCATGCCTGCTAACTACACATTGACCAAAGTCATTGTCATGCCCAAGGCCAAAGTCAAAGTGATATGGAAATATACCACATGTCTTTGGGAGGAATTGCAGAGTTGTTAGGCAAAGGGCTTAGATATGGAAAGAAATGAAGAATTTACCAAAACTTACAAATTAACCTATATCTTGAGGAAGAGAAAAACAGCCCCAGTAGCCAGAACATTAACAGCTAGGACTTGGAGTTGCTGGGAGCTGGCCTGGCTCTCACAGCAAAGCTCTGGTCAACTCCTATTGGATATAACCAATCTCAAAAAACACCAACAGGCAAGGACACTTTGTGGCCATTATGACTTGAGATAAAACAACACAATTCATAATCATGGTGAGTAAAAATAAAAAACAAGGACATCGTCAAATAACAAAAGTAACCAAACATCTCCTCCTTTCTGGCTAATATGTCTACTGCTTCTTTACCAGTTATAGTGAGAATCCTGCTTTATCCTCTTGGTTTGTTTGTTTGTTTGTTTTTGAGACAGAATCTCACTCTGTCACCCAGGCCAGAGTGCAGTGACACAATCGAGAGTCACTGCAACTTCCTTGATTCAAGCGATCTAGGCTCACCCACCTCCTAGGTTCAAGCAATTCTTGTGCCTCAGCCTCCTGAGTAGCTGGAATTACAGGCATGTGCCACCAAAACCCAGCTAATTTTTGTATTTTTAGTAGAGACGGAGTTTCACCATGCAGGCTCAAACCCTGACCTCATGTGTCTGCCCGCCTCTGCCTCCCAAAGTGCTGGGATTACAGGCATGAGCCACCACACCCAGCCTATTCTCTCACTTTCTAGATAAAAATTATTAGGATATACAATCACAAAATTACGGTCAGCTAATGGTTCACCATGGCATTTTGTCTCCCTCTTTGCAACAAACCAACAAATCCAATTTTGCTTGTCTACAGGTGTGTCTCTGGTGGTCTTTGTCAGGAATTTACCAACAGTCTTGAATTCTGAAACATTAAACATCACAGACATAGAGGCAGCTAACTTTTATGTAACACCTCCCCTTTGTCCACCACTAAACCAGATTAAGGGGAGATGTGTTAAACGTGGAAGACAACAGAGCCTCTGATAAACCACATGAATAAAAAAAAAAAAAGAAAGATTTTTTTTTAAGTTGAAAAGTTTTGCATGGCATAAGCATAACCAATTTTTCATGTTTTTTGTTTAGATATGGGATGTTTAGATATGGGCCAAATGGCAGTTTCAAATATTTATTTAGCAAGTTTAGCAGTCTTTTTTGTGTGTGATTTTTATATAACATAAATTTTAATGGTCCTGTGGGCTTCATTATTTAGGAATGACATAGCATATGTAACCAATTCCTTTTTTCTTTCTTTCTCTCTCTCTCTTTTGTTTTTGTTTTTGTTTTTGTTTTTGTTTTAATGCGGGGAGGTTGGGGTTGTGGGGGGGTGGCGGTCTTGATATATTGCTCAGGTTGGTCTCGAACTCCTGGACTCAAGTGATCCTCCAGTCTCAACCTTCCAAAGTGCAAGGATTGCAGGCGTGTGCCACTGCGCCAGGCCCAATTCCTTATGATTACACATTCATGATGAAAACTGCCGAAACAGCGAAACCAAAACTAAGAAGGAAGTGAGGACAGTGATGGTTCTTAACCCGGGAGACCCAAGGCACTTGCAAAACGACCACTAGACTCCACCCCTCTAAAGATTTCGATTTAACTGGTTCTAGGGGAGAGGAGGAGACACGAGCATTTTGAGAAATCTCCCCAGTTATGTATAATTAACAACCACCGGATCACAGCTAGATAAGGAGAAATGCTAGGCGCTACTCAGGGGGTTAAGCAAAAAATCAGAGGGTCGGAAATCAGTTTTCAACTACAAGAGTCTTGCGGATCTGGAGCAGCGGTGGATACACCTCTGCCTGCGCGGAGGGAGCGGAGCTAAAATACTGTAATTTTTCGGACCTTTATAAAATAGAATCAGTAATCATGTTACCAACAGAAGGTTGTTAGTGCCAGCACACGTTAGTGTGCTAATACATACTGAAGAATACCTCTCTTAAAGGGAGCTAAAAACACCTAATTCTCAGTGAGCAAACGGGGAGGTATAGCAGACGATACCTTACTGAGGGGAAACCTTTAAAAAAGCCCAGTTAGCAGGGAAAGCCGAGCGACGAGGATGGGATTCGAACCCACGCGTGCAGAGCACAATGGATTAGCAGTCCATCGCCTTAACCACTCGGCCAGGCCTCTCCTGATATGTGTAATGTTTCTCTTCTCAACAGTTTCATTTGGCAATTCCTATTCTTTTGTTAAATGTTTTCAGTGACGGAAATAATGGATAAATGGCCCTCTTACTCTCATAAAGGAAGAAAAACTAAAGAGGAGACTGGGAGGGAGGAATAGACCCTAATAAAGATGACAAAGTACACTTTCTAAGGGAAAAATAAGAGAAATTAAAAAGGAAAAACGAATTAGTGACTGCTCCTGTTTTTTAAATCAAATTGGATTTTGTCTTTTTTCTTAGGTCATGTATATGAACACCATCATTAAACCAGGTATGTCTGTTGTTGCATTCCTGGACACTCCCTGGTAGGATTCCCAGAGGGATGCCTGCCATATGATGGCACTAACGCATCTGAGAAATAACCATTGTCTCTCCTAGAAGCCCAAGTGGGTGACTGGTAAAGTGTTGAAGTGATGGGTTACAGTCAAATTGTGATTGGTTCTGAGTGTCAGACCCTAGAGTTTGGACTGTATCTTAAAGAATCGTGGGGCCATCTGAGGGATTTTTGTTTTGTTTTTGCTTATTTTGCACAAAGAAATGTGATGAAAATGATACTTAGTGTTGTCATTTTTATTATCTGTTTGTATTTCATTTAAATTCTAAATTAAAAAAATAAATTTATTTTTATAGAGACAGGGTCTCACTATGTCACTCTGTTGCACAGGCTAGCCTCAAACTCCTAGGCTCAAGCAATCCACCCACCTTGGTTTACCCAAAGTACTGGGATTACAGGCATGAGCCACCATGTCCAACCTTTCTTTGGTTGTTTCTGACTCATTTCATCACAATCAGAGAAGTCAGTCTGATGCTAATGTTCTGTGAAATTAGGCAAAACAGAAGAACCCCATGACTTAGCAGTGACTGCCTGGCCGATTCCTGACAATATGCAGGCCTAGTGAATACGGTCAGACCAGTTCCTGGATACCAGGGGCTGTTTTCTCACCTATACCCAATAAAATTACAAAAACAATAATATTGTGTATGTGTGTGTTTTGACATGATGTAGCATTAAAAAAATAAGGCCGGGCACAGTGGCTCACACCTGTAATCCCAGCACTTTGGGAGGCCAAGGCTGGAGGATCGCTTAGGCAACATGACGAAACCCCGACTCCACAAAATATACAAAAAATTAACCGAGTGTGGTGGCTGGTGCCTGTAGTCCCAGCTACTTGGAAGGCTGTGTTGAGAGGATCAGCTGAGCCTGGGAGGGCGAGGCTGCATCAAGCCATAATCACACTACTGCACTCCAGCCTGGGTAACAGAGTGACAGAGTAAGACCCTGTCTCAAAAGCAAAGCAAAGCAAAGCAAAGCAATTAAGAATATGATCAAGATTCAAACTGTATCCCCTAGGGAGTTACCAAGGAATTACCTAACAAATATCAGACATATTAGGTATCAAATCACCATCAAAACATAGCAGGCCAGGAAATGTACGAATTTTCATTTTTTTAAAGCTTCAGTTAGCAACAAATTCTAAAGTGTTCTGAAAAGAAAAACTATTGCTTGGTCTTGATTGTGTTTGGATTAGAAATTATAAAGCATGATAAACAAACCTGGACCTGAAGGGTTCATTAGTTCTTTGATTCATTCAATGTTTTGATGAATATTTATTGAGCATTGCGTATGTTCCAGGCATTGTTCTAAGAACAAATGTATATGCCACACACAAAATTCCCTGCCCTGGTGAAACCTAATTATGTAGAAATAAGCAATAAACAACTTATAAAGCAAAATATAGGCCAAGCACAGTGGCTCACACCTATAATCATAGCACTTTGGAAAGCCAAGGCAGGCAGATTCCTTGAACTCAGGAGTTTGAGACCAGCCTAGGCAACATGGTGAAACCTCATCTCTACAAAAAATACCAAAATTAGCTGGGCGTGGCGGTGCACATCTGTAGTCCCAGCTACTCAGGAGGCTGAGGAGGGAGGATCGCTTGAACCCAGGAGGTCGAAGTTCAGTGAGCCAAGATTGCACCACTGCACTCCAGCCTGGATGGCAAAGTGAGACCTTGTCTCACCAAAAAAAAAAAAGCAAAATACACAGTATGTCAGAGGATGGTATATGCATAGGAGTGGTGGCAAGTTAAATAGGGTGGTCAGGGGAAAATTAGCTCAGTGGTTTTCCATGCTGCACATTTGAATCCATAGGGAACTTTTGAGAAGGATTCATGTCAGGGCATTATCCCTATAGATTCTAATTCACTTGTTCAGTCATGATATTAAAAGAGAGTAGCAGTCAAGCTCTTCAATACTGGCTTGATCATAAAGGAAGATACACAATGGAAAACTAGTTTTAAAAAGGTGAGGCAAGAGATAATTTTCCCAATCCAAAAGGTACCAGGAATTGCTCCCAATACAGCACTTCCTGACCAAGCAAAAGAAGGTGTCTGCAAAATATCAGTCATAGCATTAGACCAGCTCCAATTAGGGCTTATTCTGCCCTGAGGTCTTTACAGTGTTTAACAGTGTGGTGGCCACACTTCCTGTGTAAACTCCTCCCTTTGAATGTTGGCTGGATCTAGTGACCTGCTCCTAACCTACAGAATATAAAAAATGTGATAGGATATTACTTTCATGATATCTCATGTGAGATATGTGTCTGTTGTTTTAAGCTGCCAATTTGGGTGCAATTTGTTATACAACAGATAACTAATACATGCAGGAAGGCCTGATCAGCCAGAGAGCAGTGGATCCTATGGCTGAAAGGGAGTATAGTTGAGAATGTAAAAATACAAGACATCATTGCCATAAATTTGCCAAGTCTGAGTTCAGATGCTAATCATTACATCATAGACCCTTTCCATAAGATTCTCCTATTGAAAGACTTGTGTATAAGCTTGGTGTAAATCTATACATTATCTTTTTTAAAAAAGCCATGACCAATAGATTAAATCTAAAGAGCATTAACAAATGCCTGCTATTTATTAATAAAGGGTATGGTAGGCTAAATAATGACCCCCAAAATAGGTCCACAACCAATCACCAGAACCTGTGAATAAGTTACCTTATGTTACCTTAAGTGGTCAAAGGAATTTTGCAGATGGGATTTCATTGAAGATTTTGAGATGGGGAGATTATCTTGGATTATCTAAGTGGGTCCAATGTAATCAAGAGGGTCCTATAAAAGGAAGGCAGGAGGTTCAGAGTCAGGAAAAGAAAATGTGACTACAGAAGCAAGAAGTGATGCAAGGAAGGGGCCACTAGAAGCTGAAAACGCCAGGAAAATGAATTATCTCATGATGTCTCCAGAAGATACACAGCCCTGCTAATACTTTTATTGTAGACTTCTGATATCCAAAACTGCAAAAAAACATTTAATTCACGTTGTCTTAGCCAGGGATGGTGGTGTGCACCTGCAGTCCTAGCTACTTGGGAGGCTGACAGGGAACGATTACTTGAACCCAGGAGTTTGAGGCTGCAATGAGCTATGATTGTGCCACTACAGTCCAGCCTGAGTGATAGTGTAAGACCCTATTTTAAAAAATAAATAGGCCGGATGCGGTGGCTCACGCCTGTAACCCCAGCACTTTGGGAGGTTGAGGCGGTCAGATCAAGGTCAGGAGGTCGAGACAAGCCTGGCCAACATAGTGAAACCCCGTCCCTACTAAAAGTACAAAAAATTAGCCGGGCTTTGTGGCGGGTGCCTGTAATCCCAGCTACTCAGGAGGCTGAGGCAGGAGAATGTCTTGAACCCGGGAGGTGGAGGTTGCAGTGAGATGAGATTGTGCCATTGCACTCCAGCCTGGGCGACAGAGCAAGACTCTGTCTCAAAAACAAATAAATAAATAACAAAAAATAAATTCATATTGTCTTAAACCACCAAATTTGTGGTAAGCAATAGGAAGCTAATAAAAAGCCACTAAGATAGTACCATGAATAGGGCTAAACAGGCAGAAAGAAGTCTACAGGGCTTTTTTCTGGAACAATTTTTAGAGGCCAGAGGAGTTCATGGAGCTCACTTTTGTTGTCATTGAGAGCCCTGGAGGATATGTTTTGAACTGTAGAGAGAGTCAACAGAAGGAATTTAGAGTCCCACCAACAGTTGGGATTTCTGTATTTGGAGTCCAGAGTGTTAACCGTTATACCATGGTATCTTTGTATAACAAAGGTTCTAGGGAAGACTTGTATACTATTGCATCTGGTCAGTTAACCTTTAAAATGGGCATAGATTCAATGTAAGGAACACTAATAGCTTCTCATAGGGAGAAAAATGCAGGTTCTCAGATGACTCAATTTGTGGTTTGCACATATTCATGCCCGAGTCCAGAGATAGCATAGAGAGCATTCGGAGTGAGCTCTGAAGAAGAAAAAAGTCATAGGTGGGGCCTCTGACACATGAACCTTTACTCATCCCAGCAGATGATTAACTTACAGTGGTCTAACTGACTTCAGGCTCCAGCAAAGCAAAGCAAAGCTTTCAAAAGAAGAGCTTCTAGGATACATGAGGGTGATGGGCAGTGGACAACTTTCAGTAGCCAGAGAAAAGAGCAAGAAGCGGGATGTTGCTCCAGAAAAGAAGTGCAAATATGTGAGACTATCTATACATGCCCAAGTGTGCTTCTCCATTTGGGTAAACTCAAGAGCAAGGTCACCAAAACTGAGACAGGTCCACTGAAATTTGAAGCCTAGGTGCTAGCCATTAAGTCACCAGGACATGGAAATTGAATCCCTACTGAAAGACTGATGTGTACTTTTAACATACCAGCTAATCTTTCAAATAATGTGGACAATGCATTAGCTTAAGGAGTTTGGATGGCGCCCCAACTGAGTACAAACGGCAGAGGCTCTAAGATGTGTACAACTGCAGTGCTGTGCAGTCCAAACATTTTAAGGACAGTGTTAGTGCTTAGAAGCAGATGGGACGCTTTAAATAGGCTCTAGAAAAGGAAGAAACTGAGATTGGGGGCTGTAAAACAAACTCTTAATCACTGGGGCCAAGATTCTAACTTACCAGAATCTGAGAAACTCTGGGCAAAAAGGCAAAAAGAGACATCAAGTAAAATAGGAGTAGGGCTAAAATTTCAGAGGTCAGTAGATAGAGACAGTTTTCTCTAGGACAGAGTGCCATGATGATTGGCAGCGCTTGCAGCCAAGTGGGTACACCTCGAAGGTGGGCTAATGATTTAAGAGAACCACAGAGGAACATTGACCAAGATGTTGCTAAAATCCCAAAGAGATTTGGACTCAAATTCCTGGATTCAGCATCCCGAGTGCTAACCGATATACTATGGGACCCTTACATGGGGCACTTGCTACTATAATTCTTATGTAAATCCTTGCATTTTGAGGGGCTTCCAAAGAAGAAAACATTCGCGGGAGGGACCTCTGACACATAAACCATTAAGCACCCTGAGCACTCAAATAACACCCTGGCTGCCTTTGGGAACTCAGGGAAGTGTGGATGCTAAGAGAAAAGACCAAGAATGTACAAGGACATGATACTACTCAGAAGCTAGAAATGACAGTCAGGAGTTACATGACACTTGCTAATCCGAAGAAGAAACCGTGAATGAGAAAGTAAATCCACAGATCGCTGTGTGTTGATGATTTAAGAGACGAACGAAGGATGGGTCACAAAAAGCAGGACAGGTCCCACCGAGATTTGAACTCGGATCGCTGGATTCAAAGTCCAGAGTGCTAACCATTACACCATGGGGCCGCCTTCCGCCACCAATTTCATGAATTTATAAAAATACTGATTACAGAGCATGTCTATTCGATGCAGTATTCTATTAATATTTATTAAATTAATACTATCTGCATCCCATGTAGCAGAAGCTCCAAGAGACTCACATGCACTACAAACCTATCTGGACCAAGTCCGTCTTAGAAACTGAAAAAACTTGAACCCGTTTGAGTATTGTTCAAAAAAGGAAAGAACTGAGGTCTGGTAGGTGAAAGACGTATCCTTAAACTTGCGTATGATAATTTAAATCCGAGGAACTCGCATCCAACAAGAGAGGAGGGGCAAGAGAGAACAGATGTGAAATTCCAGGTGAAAGATTAGAGGATGCTGTTCTGCAGGAAAGCATCGTGCTGCCGACTGGGATGGGATGTTAAGGTGCTTAAGTGATCAGGTGTACGCTCCTCTGGGTACAATGGTAATTTGAGAGAAAGAAAGAGCACTAAAAGTTTGGTAGGTCCCACCGAGATTTGAACTCGGATCGCTGGATTCAAAGTCCAGAGTGCTAACCATTACACCATGGGGCCAACAACACAGTAATCTCCTGACATATTTTTGATAACATGAATGTAGTACGTGGAATTGGTCTATTGAGAGTGCTGTTTACTTTGGCCTCTCAAAATAGGTGCATAGTCCCAGATTCCGAGAAAGTAACAAAACTGCTCCAGCAGGCAGAAAGCAAGAACAGAACTCACCTTTCCAAAAACTTGTTCTGATCTGCCCACGGAGATTATGAATAGGAGCGTTCCTTGATTAATCAGAACTTCGCATTTGCTGAAATTTTAGGTCACGATACTTTTTTCTACGTAAGGGTTTATAAAAGAAAATATCAACACTTAGACATCTCTTAAAACATCTTAGCAACAGTTTTGGAGATTCTCTATCTGGTGTTTCCTCTGCAATTCCGGCCTCTGAAAGTAGGATGACACGAGGGGAACCAGAAAGGATCTGTTTGAGATATTTATTCCATAAGTTAAAGGCAAGCACGGTTTTGGAAGTCAGACGTGAGCTGGATTTCAGATAGGGAGACAGCATTTCAAGAAGACTGAAAGGCAAAACAACTTGAGCGTTTTTCCATCATTTTTATAGCAGTGTCAGAAATTACTTGTGTTTTCAAGTGCTTTCCAATGTAACACTTCAAAAAATCTCTAAGTCTTGTTACACAAAAGAACTAAAATTATCTGGTTCCACTTTTATGGAGAAAGATAATAACAGGAAAATAAAAAGTACTACTCCATGTTATTCTGTGTGATTGCACAGGTAGTGCACCGGATTTCCTCTACCCGAGAGTAAAAAAAGCACGCCGTAGTCGGCAGGATTCGAACCTGCGCGGGGAGACCCCAATGGATTTCAAGTCCATCGCCTTAACCACTCGGCCACGACTACGTACCTCCTTCAACAACCTGGATATATTCCCATGAGGAATATATGTTTCTTTTCACAGACATCTTTAAATTTGTTTATTTTGACAAGGTAACAACTCTGGAATGTCTCTCATCCTGGTTAAAAAACAAAATCAAAATTTTAAAGATTTAGATATTGGCTAAAAGAGATATTGCAAATTGCAAGACTTGTCTGATGTAGGAAGTACGAAAGACTTTACGAGGGGGCCACACGCCAACCCCTAAATGGTCTCCAAACCTACGAAACTGGCTGAAAGCTCTCCACACCTAATTAGTAGGATTACAGATATTGAAGCCTACAAATGCGCATTTCCACCAGGATACCTTGTGGATTCTTACACGGGTCAGGTCCGCTGACGTTTAGCACGCCTACTTTAAAACCTCTTTTCTGTAGGGTCCTAGTCTTCAAGTAAAATATATGCGGCCATATAGCAGAGGATGGTTTCGATCCATCGACCTCTGGGTTATGGGCCCAGCACGCTTCCGCTGCGCCACTCTGCTGTCTCGACAGTCCGCTCCGCCACTCTGCTGTTTCAACATTACTCTTGTCAAGTATGTATTAGAGGCTACAATTTTCGGCATCTTCCTAATTTTAAATGATTTGTTGTCGTTTGCCAAATTATCCTGGAGAATGAGAAGTGCACACTGGCCATCCATATGGGGCTGCACGCCACTTCCAAACACCAGCGGTTTAGAATTCTTCCTCGATAAATTCGAATCAGCTGAGGTTGAAGTTCTCTAAAACGGAAGCATGTTTCGAGTTATGGGAAAACAAAGTGCAGGCTAATTGGCATAATTTATAAAGGTGAAATTATAAATGCTTGGGCAAATTTCAGCCATTCCTGGATACCGGAGGGAGTCGTTATTACTTCCAAACATTTTTTACTTGAGATTTTCATCGAAAATGTTCACAGGAAAAAAAAAATTACAGTTGCAGCGAGGAGGCAACAGAACCTAGAACTCCGCGCGGCAGGTGAGAATTCAACCACTTAACCACCGGTGCTAAACGTAGTTACATGGATTTGTTTTCTTTTACATCTATCATCATATCTCCCTTAAAAAAAGTGACAATGTATGTTCTCTGTCTATAATGTTTTAAAAATCCAGTCAAATATTATGTCTAAATATTCTGAGTAAACGTTTGAACATAGAAGTAAGTAAATACGTAAGAATATTTTTCAGAACGTTTGAACGTAGAAGTAAGCAGAAAGTCTGCTGATACGTGACCCTTGGAGACTTTCAAAGTGAAAAAGACACTCAAGCCTGTAATCCCAGCATTTTGGGAGGCCGAGGCGGGTGGATAGCTTGAAGTCAGGGGTTCGAGACCAGCCTGGCCAACAGGGTGACACCCTGTCTCTACTAAAAATACAAAAATTAGCCGGGCGTGGTGGCACGCGCCTGTAATCCCAGCTACTCGGGAGGCTGAGGCACAAGAATCACTTGAACCCGGGAGGAGAAGGTTGCAGTGAGCCGAGATGGCCCATCAAATGCACTCCAGCCTGGGTGACAAAGGTGGGAGGAGAGGGGAGGGAAGGGAAGGGAGAAAATTTGAGTTTCAGGAAGGAAATTAAGCTCATTCACTTGGCTGTTAACTGGAAGCCTCAGTTATGGCTTTTTTTTTTTTTTTTTTTGACGGAGTCTCGCTCTGTCGCCCAGACTGGAGTGCAGTGGCGCGATCTCTGTTTACTGCAACCTCTGCCTCCCGGGTTCAAGCAATTCTCCTGCCTTAGCCTCCTGAGTAGCTGGAATTACAGGCGCCCACCACCACGCCTGGCTAATTTTTTGTATTTTTAGTAGACACGGGGTTTCACCATGTTGGCCTGACCTCAGATGATCCACACGCCTCGGCCTCCCAAAGTGCTGGGATTACAGGCGTGAGCCACCGCGCCTGGCCATGGCCTTCTATTAAGAAGTTAATATGTGTTTCAAGAACTTCCTGGAATAAACAATAGGGTCCTAGAATAAATAAAATTTATTTGCAACTTTAGCTTCCTGGGCAAAGGTCTCTGGGAATGGTAAAGGTATGTTGATGAAAATAGTGGAATAGTAAAGTCATGTTAATATAGACAGTAAATTGGGCTGTGGCTCATACCTGTAATCCCAGCAGTTTGGGAGGCCGAGGCAGGAGGATCCCTTGAGGCCAGGAGGATCCTCTGAGGCCAGGAGTTCAAGATCAGCTGATGAATTGCCCAAGGTTATTTTTAAAAGGTGACTTCTACGTGTTAACTCTGCATCGTGTTGCAAAAACTCAACAATTACAGTTGAACTATCCAGTGCATCTTTCCTGATACAGAGTAATCTAAGTTTTATCTGTCATATATGAAAACAAACAAAACTACGTCTACCTAGTTTGTAGATCAGTATATAGGTTCTTTTCTCTGTCCTCTCACTCTTTTTTAAAATCATAGATAACTCTTATAATAGTCCAAAATCCTGCTTTGGTGTAGATAGTCTGTGATTTCCCCCCTAAATCCCACATTCTGCACTCTTGGCACTCACATTATCCAGTCAGAGGCCATCACTCTTATATCAATGCACTATATCTGGGTCAAGCATAGGCTTATCCTTGTAAATTTCATCCTTTTTCTTTATTATGAGTTGATATTGTCTGTCTTTTCCACTGGACTACTATTTCCTCCAGAGCAAAAACTCTGTGTGATGTATCTTTCTATGGAGCTGGCACAGAGTATATGTGCAGCAATTTTTTTAACATAATTTGTATATTTTCTTTTTTCAAAGAAAAACTTTTCATCTTAAAATATTTTAAAAATACAAGTCAGCAAAAAGCAAGCAAATTAAAATAATGTCTAATCCCACACCCAGAAATATTTACTCTTATTATTGTAGTATAATCATTAGCCATACGGCTTATACTGTATAATCTGACTAATCTATAATCACACATGGCGATTAATTGCTTAATACATCATTTGTCTATTTCAAGTGTCTTAAGCATCTTTCTATATCAGATATTCTTCAATATCACGTTAAAGGCTACATAATATTCTGCCCTATTATAAATAATAAATTTATTTAACCAATTCTCTCCTGTTAGTGTTCTGAGTTTCTTATTTTTCACTTCTGTAACTGAATAATACTGCTACTATTGCTCCCCGATCAAACCGAGGGTCAGGCTGCTTATTCTTGCGGCCCAATAATGAGATGCAGATGAACTGGGAAATAAGGGAGTTTCTTTTTTCTTTCTTTCTTTCTTTTTTTTTTTTTTTTTGAGACTGAGTCTTGCTCTGTCACCCGGGCTAGAGTGCAGTGGCACGATCTTGTCTCACTGCAACCTCCACCTCCCGGGTTCAAGTGATTCTCATGTCTCAGCCTCCCGAGTAGCTAGGATTACAGGTGCGTGCCACCGCGCCCGGCTAATTTTTATATTTTTAGTAGAAATGGGGTTTCACCACGTTGGCCAGGCTGGTCTCAAACTCCTGACCTCAGGTGATATGACCACCTCGACCTCCCGAAGTGCAGGGATTACAGGCGTGAGCCACCGTGCCTGGCCAGGAGTTTATTTTTGTAACGGGGTACACAAAGAAGGCCTGGAAATTATGGCCAGACTAACTCAAAATCACAAAGTTTTCCAGAGCTTATATACCTTCTAAGCTGCATGTCTACATGTAAGTGTGCATGCATTTAAAGACATACCCTTGGTGGGCTTTGGTTACATTCCAGCCTTTGTATAAGGGCACTGGCTTTTTTTTTTTTTTGCTTTTAATATTTAACTTAACCACTCAGTCAGTGCTAAAACCGTTGTCATGGAGGCCTGCCTGTTCAGCCATTAGGGAGACCTGGCCTGCCGCACTATGTCTGCTATGTCAAATGTAAACGATTCTCTCCTTGACCAAACTCTAGCCAGGCTCCACTGTACATTCTTCTCAACTAGGCCTCAACTTTGACCTTTAAAGACTAAAGACACTAACATAGTTTCTAAGACCACATCCCTAGGATGACTTTAGTCCCCCTTAAAGTGCCTGCCTGAGAAAACTCAAGACTGCCAAAAGAATGCACTGTTGTTCCAAACAACACCTGAAGATAAAGCCCCTGTCTCCCACTTCTGTGGGAAGGTAGGAGCTTAACTTCTGTAAGCACCAGTTAGCAAATATAGATGGGTTTCATATGAACTAATCTCTTTCTGATTTTTGTAATTTTTCACTCCACTGAGCCCTGCTCACCCCCTTTTCTGTTCCTTCATTTTGCCTTTAAAATACTCAGTGACAAGCTGGGCGCGGTGGCTCATGCCTGTAATCAGCACATTGGGAGGCCGAGGTGGGCGGATCACCTGAAGTCAGGAGATCGAGACCAGCCTGGCCAACATGGTGAAAACCCGTCTCTACTAAAAATACAAAAATTAGCCAGGCATGGTAGCAGGTGCCTGTAATCCCAGCTACTCAGGAGGCTGAGGCAGGAGAATCCCTTGAACCTGGGAGGTGGAGGTTGCAATGAGTGGGATTGCGCCATTGCACTCCAGCCTGGGCGATAAGACCAAAATGCTCAGTCACTTCTGCACAAATTTAAGTTGAATTCATTTCATGCTCTACTCTTCTTTATTGGAATATTGTATGGATTAAAATCTGTACTGGGTGCAGGGGTCTCAGGATCAAGTGGCATCTCTTGATCTGCTGAAAAGCTAAATCTCAGAAATGTCTCAAATGCCACGTTTTCGTTTTGTTTTTATTTTTTGAGACGGAGTTTCGCTCTTGTTGCCCAGGCTGAAGTGCAGTGGCGTGGTCTCAGCTCACTGCAACCTCTGCCTCCCAGGTTCAAATGATTCTCCTGCCTCAGGCCTCCCGAGTAGCTGGGATTACAGGCGCTACCATGCCGGGTTAATTTTTTTGTATTTTTAGTAGAGACAGAGTTTCATCATGTTGGCCAGGTTGGTTTTGAACTCCTGACCTTAGGTGATCCACCCACCTCTGCCTCCCAAAGTGCAGGGATTGCAGGCATGAGCCACCGCTCTCCGCCGGAAAGTTATAAATCATGCAACCCCCAGTTAGTGACTGTGGGGCAGTAAAAAACTTACAGAAAAACAAGCTAAGCAGTGGCACGTTATTGTCTATGCTTATTCTTTAGCAAAGTTCAGGACCCTACCATAATTCTTACCTGTTCTTGTGAATGCAGCTTCAATCTCCACAAAAGAAGGTGGAGGTCAGTTTTCCTGCCTCAAAGTTTATCTGTAAACTGAATTCCTCTTGTAATTATCTTGGCCTCTGCTCTAGAATCAGCAAAAAAACAGTTTAGCCTGTGAGGTGAGAAGCAAGACGGAGTCAGTCAGTCATGTTAGATTTCTGTCATTAGCATCAGTGTGAGCAAATAAATTTCTGTCATTTAAGCCTCCCAGTCTATGGTATTTGTTATGGCAACCCTAGCAAACTAATATGATTACTAACAGTGAAATCTGGAGCAAGAAAATAATTACTGTGCAATAACAGTATAGAACTTTAACAGAACTCTAATTATACACCTTTTAGGAATACAGTAAAATAGAAAGTGCTTGCTTGTTAAAAAAAAAAAAAAAAAAAAAATGACAAGTGGGCAGGACATGGTAGCTCACACCTGTAATCCCAGCACTTTGGGAGGCCGAGGCAGGCAGATCACCTGAGGTCAGGAGTTCGAGACCAGCCTGGCCAACATAGAGAAACCCTGTCTCTACTAAAAATACAAAAATTAGCTGGGCGTGGTGGTGCATGCCTGTAGTCCCAGCTACTCGGGAGGCTGAGGCTGGAGGATTGCTTGAACCTGGGAGGCAGAGGTTGCAGTGAGCCAAGATCCCACCACTGCACCCCAAGCCTGGGTGACAAAGTGAGACTCCGTCTCAAAAAAAAAAAAGATTTATGTCAATATCCTTGGCAAGAGAGAAAAGATGGAAGCAAATAGGCCATTGTAATAATTGAGAGAAGTGGATAAACGGGATATGAAATACGAGGAGGTAAAACTCAGCACAACTTGGGACTCCTTTCAGAAGCGAAGAAGAAGTAATGTCCAGGATGGCTCCAAGTTCCTGACTCCAGGTCGAGTGGGGATGAAACTGAGAAGAAGGCATGAAGTGTTGCAGGCAGATAAGCAAAGGAAGAGTCAGGAAGCAAAGAGGGCAGGGCATGAGCATGGAAAAAGCGCCAATGTTTAGGGGTTTATGTGTAGGAAAAGTTATCTAATGCCAAAAGAGAGCGTTTAATCTCCCTTTAAAGAGGTGGCCAAAGATAGACTGTCCACGAGGGGAATTCTTCATTTTAGAGTCATAACAGCAAGCCAAGGGCAAAAGAGACAGATCTCACTTATCTGTGAATGCAGAAAACAAAACACGTCCTTTAATGTCAACGTCTTGAGTTCTTTTTCCCAGGTTGACTGACTAAATATCTCAGTACAGATACTTTTGCCCCCTTCCAAAACGCAACCACCCATGACCCCGACGTGATTTGAACACGCAACCTTCTGATCTGGAGTCAGACGCGCTACCGTTGCGCCACGAGGTCACGGAGACCCTCCATTTTCCTTTTAAGATAAGTATCTAATCTTATCCTCCTCCCAAACAATTTCTTTATTATTTGATTTGATCTCTTTTCACAGTTTTGCTAAGGCTTTTTTGAGAAAAATAAGGGAGTGGCTGGATTAAATATTAACCCCAAACCCAAATAAATGCTCCATATATGAAAAACAGTGGTTTCTCAAGTTCAATCTTTCTATTTCTCGAATTTCTCTGTTTCGAGAAAAAGTGTCTATGTGTTGGGTTTAGATTAGCAGTGAAACAGTAATAAGAACGGTTATGAAGTTTGTACTACTACTTTCTGTAAATGCGCTAGACTACTCCCTCTTCAGGAAGAGAATTCCAGCATTGCACTGCCCCGCAAGACCTGGCCTAGCTAGCACTTACTTCACTCAAACCCATCCGCACACCCGCCCCATCCTCAACCTAATGGGATTCGAAAGCCTAACATAAATAATATCTCTAGCCTAAACGTTCACTTCTCAGTCCAAATTCGCGGGCCCTCTGGTCTCTATTGTGTACACAAGCCATTCAGTTCACAACAATAACCCCAAAGAATCCGTTAACATTTACTGAACTCACCGTTTTCCACTAGCCCCATGGATTAACTTCCTCCAGCCTAGCTATTCTCAAGAAGTGCCTCACGGTCGGAAGCAGCAGGGAACCTAGGAAAAAGGGAACCCCACACCTACGAAAAAGGGAACCCCACACCTACTGAATCAGAAACTGGGCGTGGGGCCCACCAGTCTGTTTTAACTAGCCTTCCAGGAGATTGGGATGTAGGAAAAAGTTTGAGAATCACTGTTCCAGCCAAGAAACCCGATATTTTGCTCTTTCAAGAAAATAAGGCCGGGCGCGTTGGCTCTGGGAGGCCGAGGAGGGCGGATCACCTGAGGTCTGGAGTTCAAGACCAGCCTGACCAATATGGAGAAACCCCGTCTCTACTAAAAATACGAAATTAGCCGGGCTTGGTGGCGCATGCCTGTAATCCCGGCTACTCGGGAGGCTGAGGCAAGAGAATCGCTTGAACCCGGGAGGCAGGGGTTGCGGTGAGCCGAAATCGCACCACTGCACTCCAGCCTGGGCAATAAGAGCGAAACTCCGTCTCAAAAAAAAAAAAAAAAAAAGAAAAGAAAAAGAAAGAGAGAGAGAAAGAAAAAAAAAAAGAAAAGAAAAGTCCAGCCTTCTAAGATGGAGGAAGGACAGTGTATTAGTTAACTGTGCTCCTGTAACAAATACTACAGACTGGGTGGCTTAGACAAAAATCATTTTCTCACAGTTCTGGAGACTAGAAGTCCGAGATCAAAGTACTTGTCTGTTTGATTTTTTTTTCTCCCCTGAGGCCTTTTTTGTTGGCTTGCAGGTGACTATCTTCTCCCTCTGCCTTTAAATGATTTTTTCTCTGTGTGTCCGTGTTCTAATCTCTTCTTATAAGGACACCAGCCCTTATGATTTGGGCCCTACTTTCATGATCTCAAAATACCTTAATTACCCCCTTTAAAGACCCTATCTCCAAATACTGTCACATTCTTTTTCCCTTTATTTATAAACATTATTTCATTCATTTCTCCATTTTGCAGATGAAATACTGTCACATTCTGAAGTACTAGAGATTAGGGCTTCCACATATGAATTTAAGGGGGTTGGAGGAAGGCTAAATTCATTTCACACAGGTAGTTTCCAGACGAAGCTGTACTGACAATATCCGAGCCTGGCATAGGGAAAAGGGATAGGAATGGGGGCTCCATGGTGAACATCTACTGTCTCTTTGCTTTTCCCACTCCTGGTTTAGGATTTAGCTTTCTCAGGGCTCTCAAAATCAGCGACTCCTCAATCAGCTTTCCAGATGACAAAATTTTGTTTCTGTTATCTCCTCTCCCTATTTGGATGTATATTTTAGTGCTGTTTGAGTGAGATCTGCGGAGTATGCAAAAGTAAATTCTTGTGTTTAACCCTCGATCTTTACCTGGAAGCATCGTAAGGCAGCGGTGGTTCCCTGCATGTGGAAAGCAGTCTGGTTCTGCCTTTGCCTCTCCAGCTCTCAACTCAAACATTCCTTTCTCATCGTGGCCTTTCTCTCTGCCAATCAAAAGATAAAGCACTCGATCAGTAGTTATTGAAGTACCATATTCCTGCCCTTGGCAGTTATCTAGTTGAAATTTCACAGTTTTTTTATATAGTTTAATATATTTTAATAGCAAACTTACAGGAACAGCACAGAAGACAGACAACATTAAAAACATGTATTTCCATATAGGACAACTCAGAAAAGTATAGTGAATGGATGAAATCTCAGAAAAGTATAGTGAATGAATGATAAAGATGCTACAACACCATTTAGTTTCCGTCAATAAGAAATTTACTTGTTTAAAAAAAAAACAAATGCTGGCATTGTCCAGAAAAATTTAACAGATTTATTTATAATTATTATAAAGTTGAACCGCTGAAACTTGTTCACTGAAACATTTTAACTTGCATTAAGGCTGTACGTTTCCGCATTTATATTAAAAATTCACACCCAAATGAAAATGGAAAAACTGCCAATACCTGATTTCTGTCCCCTATTTTTCCACTCGCAATCATATACCTAGGTACCTTTTGACCCCATGGGAAAAAAAATAACGTTCAGAACTACCAATAACAGGAAGAAGATAATTTTTTTAATGAAATTTTTCCCATCATGGTGGATTCTTAAGCACGTTCTCCACGTATGCGGCGTGCTAGCTGGATGTCTTTTGGCATAATTGTTACACGTTTGGCATGGATAGCCCACAGGTTGTTGTCTTCAAAAAGGCCAACCAGATAGGCCTCACTTGCAAAGCAACTATAGCTGCTCTCTGGAAGCGCAGATCTGTTTTAAAAGTCCTGAGCAATTTCTCGCACCAGACGCTGGAAGGGAAGTTTGCGAATCAGAAGTTCAGCGGACTTCTGATAACGTCTAATTTCACGGAGTGCCACAGTACCAGGCCTGTAACGATGAGGTTTCTTCACCCCTCCAGTAGTGGGAGCACTCTTGCGAGAGGCTTTTGTAGCCAGTTGCTTCCCGGGTGCTTTGCCACCGGTCGATTTGCCGGTCGATTTGCGGGCAGTCGGCTTTCTACGAGCCGTGGTATAGAGACCTCCTTACTTACCCCGCTTCTCCTTTGGCTGGAGCTCGGCGAGCGAGAGGCGGCGCTGGGCTGGCGTTGGAGAGCGACGGCAGGACGGCTGCGGCTACGAACACAATTGCAGTATTTTTTTTTTTTGACAGAGTCTCGCACTGTAGCCCCGGCTGGAGTCTGGAGTGCAGCGGCACGCAGGCGCCCGCCACCACGCCCAGCTAATTTTTGTATTTTTAGTAGAGACGGGGGTTTCTCTGTTTTGGCCAGACTGGTCTCGAACTCCCGACCTCGTGATTCGCCTGCCTCGGCCTCCCAAAGTGCTGGGATTACAGGCGTGAGCCACCGCGCCCGGCCATTAGATTTTTTTTTACCATTAGATTAAACTTCGTCTTTCCCCAACCAGGCTGTAAGTTTTTTTCAGGGGTTGGAAATTCCTTGGTTTACAACAATGATTTCACTATACTTGGTACATTTACAGCTCATAGGGAGGAGATTATTTTCCATCAAAAAATAGTTCTGATTTGTAACCCGGGACCACGTGGCCTAATGGATAAGGCGTCTGACTTCGGATCAGAAGATTGAGGGTTCGAATCCCTCCGTGGTTATTTGAGATACTGACTAGTCTGGTGTTATTTTCCTTCCTCAAAGCTGGTAATCAGAAATGTACTTCTTTCCATTTACTTCACTAAGTTATCTTCATTGTAGATCCCTTCCTTCACATCCCTTGCCTTTGCTCTGTACTTAGTCTGTTTATCCTCTCTCTCTCCACCATAATGCCATACAGTCCATCTTCTGGGCCTGCGCTACTCAAAATTTGGTCCAGTCCCTGAACCAGTAACATAACCTGGGAGCTTCTTAAAAATGACAACTTTTCGAGGCCGACCTCCCTTGCTAGTCCGCACTACACTTGACCTACCTAGAATCGCTGTGTGTAGGCTCTAGGATTCTGGGTTTTAACCAAGCTATCCAAGTGGTTCGTTTGCACACTCGAATGTGAGAACCATTTACAGACCTTACAGGCTGTAGAATGCACTCTAGACCATAAAGCACGTCAGACCCAATTACAATTTAGCGCCAAGCTACGTGAGTTTTAAGGCTATTACGACAGGGGTAATGTGAAGCTCCCACGGGAACCTCTTGGAAAGACTGGGGTACGAAGGAAGGCAGAAAAGAGGTCCACACGTTTGACAAAAGTATCTTCTAACAAATACAGAAGACTGGTAGAATTAGAAGAATCACCATTTGCAACCCTTAGAAAAATAATAGACCAAAGCAACGAACGAGCTTAACGACCTTAATTAAAACCGTTAGGAAAAGGTGGTTGGGAAATAACATATGCTCATGGTGTTAAGTGCCACCCCAAAACTACTTGTCAATTGCAAAGAGAGAAATAAAGAACCTTGGGGGGCACCACTCGGTCTTCACCATCAACAGGATATCCCTACAAGTGCCTTCTGATGTGAAGTTAGTACAGTGTAAAGAACAGCGTCTGGGCAAAAATGTTTAACCTAAATCTAAGCACTCAAATTAATCACAAAAGCAAATTTATCTTCTAATTTAAAAGGAACAAAAATAAATTAAAAGATGCCATAAGGAAATAATGAGACAAATCCAGAATGTAGGACATTCTATGAGACAATTAGACTTTTTTGCTTATTTTGTTTTGTTTGCTTTGTTTTGAGACAGAGTCTCGCTCTGTCGCCCAGGGCTGGAGTGCAGTGGTGAAATCACGGCTCACTGCAGCCTCGACTTCCGGTGATCAAGTGATCCTCACCTCAGCCTCCCGAGTAGCTGGGACCACAGGCACACACCACCATGCCTGGCTAATTATTTTTCTGTTTTTTGTAGAGACAGGATCTCCCTGTGTTTCCCAGGCTGGGGGAAGGAAGGGAGGAAGGGAGGAAGGGAAGAAGGGAGGGAGGGAGGGGAAGATTAAAAGATGTCATGAGGAAATAACAATAAAAAGAAAAAGCTGGGAAACTGTTCTAATGTGAAAGAATAGGAAACATAAAAACTGACTCTAAAAATATATTAGATAAATAAATACTCAGATGTTTTTAGTCACTTATTTAGAGTTTCTTTCCGTCGCCCAGGCTGGAATGCAGTGGCGCGATCACTGTAACCTTGAACTCCTGAGCTCAAGCCATCCTCCCGCCTAAAATTCCGGAGTAGCTGGGATTACAGGAGCGCGCCACCAGGCCAGGCTGATTTTTTAAAATCTGTTTTGTACAGAGGCACAAGAGAAGGGCTTGTTTTGTTACAGGTGCTCTCAAACCCTGGGGTCACGAAATCCCGCGTCAGCATTCCAAAACGTTACAGGCATGAGCCACTGCACCCAACCAGATATGAGATATTTTTAAAGAATTGCTCGATTGTTTTAGTTTTGTTCATGATATTGTAGTTAAATAAAAGACGCATGTTTAGGCGACACATGTTTATGGATTTTGGTGTTCTATATCACAATGTCTGCAAGTGAGTTTCATATGATTCAGTAGAAATAGGTAGATGAGGCTAAGACGGCAAAATGTTAATTATTGAATGTGGGTGATGAGTATACAGATAATTGCCTATTCTTTCACATTCTTTATATGTTTGAAAGTTTTTACAATAAAAAATTTAATTTTTCAAGAAGGCTTGACAGAGGCTGTGCTATTTTTAAAAAGGCCTTGAAGGATGAGCTCTGGGGCTCCAAGCAAACATGGCAGAGGTCAGGGCGAAGAAACCCGCACCATCTGAGATAGGGCTGGTCCTTTCACTTCTCAGGAGTTCCAGGCCCCCTTGACAGAGTGACCAGAAGAGGAGCTGAAAAGGTCGGACAGATGCAGAAGATGAAGGCCTCCCATGTCATCTGCGATCTTCTCGCTAGGCCACAGGGTACCTTAAAGGCATTAAAGGAGGTAAGGGACACAGTCAGAAACACATTCTGGGTTAGTGCTAACTTAGCTCTACTTACATAATCTGCCCTCAACTACATTTCCGGTGTTATCTCTCATCAATGCCCTTCCCAGTACCCCTCCAAAAAGCAATGTTTCAACTAGAGGGAACTTTCTTCAGTTTCTCCCATATTCCTTGAGGTTTAGGTTTGGAACACTACCCTACCCCGTTTTCTCACCCCACACCAATTTGTCTCATTTTAACACATCCTTCAGATCCAGATCTGAGCTTAAGTATAATTCATTCCAAAAATACTTAATTAAGCACCTATGGAGGACTCAGAGGTAAAGAAGGTAAAACTAGAACCTTTCTTCGTGAAGCTTGGAGTCTAAGTGACCCTCCAGGCAACCACCTAAAACCTTTGTGGTTGAGATCCAGAACTCTTTCTGTGGGCTACTTACTGTGTTAGGGCTGCACTTCTCACTTGCACTCAGTTGTTTTATTGTTAACTTCTGTAATCCTTTAGAAATCTCGCTCTCCATTGAATGAGCAGTACCTAGCAAAGTGCTTGGCTTTTGCTATTTCACATAAAAAGAATTTGAAAAAAATAGGCAATTCTCTGTCTCACTACCCATATACAAAGTGCTTATTTTTATTCTAAAAAAATAAAATTTTTGGAAGAATGAATAAATGAATATATTATTTAAGGGATCAGGAACTGGAGGCCAAAAGACTAAGAAGTTGTTGCAATAACTTAATGAGAAGTTTCTCATGAGTACTTCTAAGTACCTAAACTAAGTACCTCATTTTAAAAAGTGGTCTGAGTAGCTGGGCATGGTGGCACGCGCACCTGTAATCCCAGCTACTAGGGAGGCTGAGGCAAGAGAATTGCTTGAACCCGGGAGGCGGAGGTTGCAGTGAGCCAAGATCGTGCCACTGCACTCCAGCCTGGATGACAGAGCGAGGCTCCGTCAAAAAAAAACAAAAAAAAAAGGTGGTCTGAGGGCTGGGGAAGAAGAGCCAGATTTGAGAGCTAATTAGAAGGTTGAATTGAGGGCCTGCTGGGAAGGGAATCAGAGAGACATAAAAGGACAAGGGTAGTCTTCGGTCTTGGTAGCCAGTCTTCGGTTTTGGTATCTCATCAAAAATTTGGATTGTTGGAGGAAATTTAAGTTTGAGGAAAATGATGGAACATTCCTTTGGGGTTGCATTGCTTTTGAGATGCCCATGGACATGCAAGAAAAAAAAATAGGACAACTGTATATTCTGGAGCCCAGAGGAGAGAGATCTGGAGTAGAGACGATTTTCAATCCATCCGCACATGAGCAGTAGTTCATCAATCATTCCTTACCCTTCTTCTGTTCATAGAGTTGGGCCATTGATGAAATACAGAATCCCTGACTTGCTCACTAATACTCACACACACACACACGCATAGTATTGTGGTAATGGTAGTGCAGTTTTAGAACCTGGGGTTCTGCTCTTCCTTTGGAAGTGGTCTTTGAATATAATTTCAAACTATTCACAGAATATCAGATGCAGTTGTTCTTCCCCTTGTGAGAGAAGGCCCCATAAACGAAAGAGGATTTGACCAGCAAAAATATTTTTTACTTTCTAGTTTCTTTCAGAAATGTTCTTTCAGCTGGTTAAAATATTCTGAGTTTTATGAAAAGACAGAAGCCTATCTTCACTGAAGAACCTTTTGATGAATCTAGATTCTGGGGTTTTACAATGATAGTTACAATTGTACTGACATTTGTTGAGCCGTTAGTATATCGCAGGCACTGGACTTTGTCAGAAAATATAGGGGATCTCTGTGGAACATCAGTGTTATTTACTGAGGATAATTTTCTTTCTTTTTATTTTTTTAATCTATTTTTTATTTTTTTTTTACCCCCGAGACGGAGTCTTGCTCTGTCGCCCTGGCTGGAGTGCAATGGCGCGATCTCGGCTCACTGTAAACTCCGCCTCCTGGGTTCAAGCGATTCTCCTGCCTCAGTCTCCCGAGTAGCTGAGATTACAGGCGTGCACCACCACCTTGGCTAATTTTTTTGTATTTTTAGTACAGACGGGGTTTCGCCATGTTGGGCAGTTTCAAACTCCTGACCTCATGATCTACCCGCCTTGGCCTTCCAAAGTGCTGGGATTACAGGCGTGAGCCACCGCGCCCGGCCTGAGGATAATTTTCTTACTAGGCAAAAATATGAGAATTGTAAAAGTTGTTGAAACATATTCCTGATTTGCATTATAAAAAAGACCCAAAGAACATTCTTAGCGTATCATGTATGTGCCTGAATTTGAAGTTTGTTGATTGCTTCCAAGTTTTATTCTTAAGATACGAATTCAGCTATTATTAAATCCCTAATAAAAGGAGTACAATATGTGATGTATGGAAACATGTAAGACATTTAATAAGGTTTTTGGTATCTGTAGTCGTGGCCGAGTGGTTAAGGCGATGGACTAGAAATCCATTGGGGTCTCCCCGCGCAGGTTCGAATCCTGCCGACTACGGCAGTGGGTTTTTGCATCTTCAAGCAGGTTTCATCCGACCGATCGATATTTCACGTGTAAAAAGGCTTTCGATCTTTTACAAGTTAACATCAAAATGGATTTCTTGGGGATTCAGGGCAGGACAATTTCAATTTATGTCTCAGAGGTCCTCAAAATGGATTTCTCATTGCCCAAAGTAAACCTTATCTCTGATCTTTTACAAGTTACATCATAATGGATATTTCATTGTTCAGGAAGGAATCATTGTGCACAAGGATGGATTTCTCATTACCCACGAAGGAATCATACTTCATGAGTAAAACAAGTCAAAGGAACAAATAAAACTATATTTTGTTTTAATTGGAGGGTTTTGGGTTCAAAATCCTTATGATCAGAAAGAAATAAAATTTCATATATTCATGTATAGGAGGACGCGGTAATCCCAAAACGTTTTTTTCTATAGGTATAACGCCTGTCTTCGTTCGTCAGAGGGCCAGTGGCGCAATGGATAACGCGTCTGACTACGGATCAGAAGATTCCAGGTTCGACTCCTGGCTGGCTCGTTCGACTTTAGTGGAAACTTTGAGGTTTACATAAATGCCCCTTCCCTGGGCACTCATATACATTTTATGTATTTTATCATTTTAATTTTTAAAAGAATTACACAAGATGACAAAAATTTTTATAATATAGACTCCAGCTTCAGTTCACTATTGTTTTACATACATAAGAGTTTTTTTTTTTTAAATCACATCACTAAATTGATAAGTTTCAGAACTGACCAATTTTCACATTGCTTGATAAAACTTAATACAGGGGAATTTTTTTTTCTTTTTTTGAGATGTATCACTGTGTCGCCCAGGCTGCAGAGCAGTGGCGCGATCTCAGCTCACCGCAACCTCTGCTTCCTGAGTTCAAGCGATTCTCCTAGCCTCAGCCTCCAGAGTAGCTGGGATTACAGGCATGTGCCACGACACCCAGCTAATTATTTTTGTATTTTTAATAGAGAGGAGGTTTCGCCATGTTGGCCAGGCTGGTCTGGAACTCCTGATCTCAAGTGATCAGCCCGCCTCGCCCTCCCAAAGTGCTAGATTACAGGCGTGAGCCACCACGTCCGTTTGGGAAAACCTTGTGTCATTCTGTGAGAGTTACGATTGAGAATTCACAAACAGAAAATTTCTAGATAGCAAACAATTTTGGTTTCTTTTCTATCCTTTTCGCATACTCATAATTTCAAGAATCACTTGAAACAAAAATCAAGTCTCTTCTCTGCTCCCTGTCCTCTAGCAATTTTTAAAGTTATTGAAACATATTCCTGATTTGCATTATAGAAAACACCCAAAGAACATTCTCAGCTTACCACATATGCGCCTGAACTTGAAGTTTGTTGATTCCTTCTAAGTTTTGTTGGCAGGACGTGAACTCAGCTATTAAATTCCTGGTAAAGCGAGAGGTACAATATGTGACATATAATAACATGTACGACGTTTAAGAAAACTTTTGGCACCTATAGTCGTGGCTGAGTGGTTAAGCCTACTTTTTAAACATTTAAATAGCTTATTTTAAAATTATTTACCTACATATCTCTAAATAATATGTTTGTATGGACCTTCTGTTGACTTTATATAAGAGGAGTAACTGGTTCACTTTCTTCTTCACACCCCAGGACCCCCGACACACACATGCTCCCTTTCTAAGTCTTCTCATATGGTTATAGCACAATACATGATACTTTAATATTTGTAGCTTAAAATATGACAACTTTATAAACATAATTCAACAAGTGGGCAAAGAAATACATTGTTAAGTTTTCCTTTCCTTGCAATTTTTATTTTTCCCCGGCATTAGTACATAACTGTCTTTTCTTGTTGTTTTACTGCTTAAGCTTCTAGACACTTTTCATTAATTCAACCCCAAGCATTTCGTCAGTTGTCTAAACATTTCTCCAAAAGTTCAAAAGCTTTGCACAGTCTGTAGATTTCATCCTACTTTAAACATGTCTCCTTATGCATCTGTATTAGTTTGAGTAAACAGAAAAATAAGAACAGGAAAAAAAGTGTCACCTACAGCCTGCTCAAATCTGGACATGTTACTATATGTCACATATGGTACCTCTCATTTTACTAGGGATTTAATAATACTAGGTGAGTTCATGTCCTACTAATAAAACTCGGAAGGAATAGCTGAAATAACTTTTGAAGTTTGCTGTAAATATTAGTGTTTGTAATTATGCAGAACGGCGGTTTAGAGTTTTATCTTTGCTCTACCATTTACTAGCTGCATGACTTTGGGCAAGTTAGTTAACCTCTGCAAACCCCAACTTGCAGACAAACCCCAATTTGTCTCATTTGTAAAGTAAGAGTAATAGCAAGTATTTACTTCGTAGAATTGCGAGGAATAAATGATTCAGAACTTGGAATAGTGCATGGTATCTATTAACTGTTCAAACAATCAAAGCTAAAACTACTGCTTTTGTTATTTTTAATCTAATTAGGATAGTAATGTATTGCAACCAGAGATATAGATCTCTGAGAGAGGTGCAAATCAAAATAAGTTCCCTTACGGTGTCCATGACAATTATACCAATTTCCTCCTCCTATGAGGTAGATCTATTTTTGGAAGGGGGAAAAACAAATCCACAAAACGCTCCCTAGCAGAGGATGGTTTCGATCCATCGACCTCTGGGTTATGGGCCCAGCACGCTTCCGCTGCGCCACTCTGCTACGCGAGTCACAGGTCCCAGAGTTAATAGTCACCTTTTTTCTAGCGTGTCAAGTTTCCAAATCTCAAAATTATGTCTTCTCTCTTTTTTTTTTTTCCAGAGCAGTAATCTGTTCGTAATATGGCCATAGGCTTAGACTACTACTAAGAAAAGAGTTAATAAGAAATAGGAAAAAGGTTATTTTAGGTACACTTCTCCGATGTAATGTTTGTCACTGTGTATTGTGTGAATGTGTACAGTAAATACATAAGAGAAAATCTGCTAATATTTCAAATGTCATGTTTTAAAGTCATTGTAAGTTATAAAAATTTAAACACTTCTGAAGAAATAAACGTACTTTTCCTTTTTTCCATGTTGTAATTTGCTAATTCATAATCTGTAGGGGGTCTTGAGCCACATGTGGGGAAAAAAACGGCACATTCATGCACATTTTCAGATAATACTATAAGGGGGTTCACGGAATAGCTAGCCTTCTCTGATGTAATGGTTCATTCCCTGTATGAATTTGAGAAAGTAACTGCATTCAGGTTTTCTGCCTCTGGAAATCAAGTGACTTCTTCCGTGATTTGCAGGGAGGGTTGAGGAAATCGCAGAGATCCAGGGAAGTTCAATGGAATCGCTTTAGCCTGGAACAGCTGATCCAAATATGAAGCAGGTAAGCTTAGGTCATCCACTCAAACCAGACTACGTCTCTGCGAAGATCTGCTAAGCTTCTGAAGGTTGGAGAGACAGACATGGATGAAAAGATAAGGCCGCGGGCGTGGGAGTGAGTATGGAGAGAAGTCCAGGAGGGTTTAACAATAGGGATGAGTTGCTGAAGAGTATAATTCAGAATGTTTGCAATAAAAGAGTGAAAACGTCTCTATAAACCCGGAAATAAGCCCCAAAATACCATAACATATTCCTGTATATATCTTCCTACTAAAAAAAGAGAAGGGGGTAGTTTTGAGGAGGCTAAAGTAACTGAGTATACAAGTGCCTAAGAGAAGCAGGAAAAGCAACTTTTTTCCCCCTGTAATATGTAATGTACTCCCCGCCATACAGTTATCTGAGCCAGCGAGCTAAAAACTGTTGACCCCGACGTGATTTGAACACGCAACCTTCTGATCTGGAGTCAGACGCGCTACCGTTGCGCCACGAGGTCTCCGGGACACCTACGTTTTATTTACCTGTCAATCTGATTCATGAAAATAATTTCGGTACTGGTGAAGACCAGGCAGCTATTAACAGATACAAAATAGTGCCTAGCTGCTTCCCTCTCGGTAAAATTGCTGTCCGCCCAATCACTGATTTTCTCTGCCTCTGAATTGCTTCATTTTCACCTGTTCTTGTTTATATTTCATTCCGTTTCTTACCTAGTTTTCCCTGTATATTCCAAATATAGACGTCTTGGGAGTTTCGTTGTTTTTATCTTTATAGAAATACATTCTGTTGAAGGTCAGTCGCTTTGGAATGGGGTTGTAGAGAGGAGGTAGCGAAGAGGGAATAATGAGGATCCTTCCTCTCCCAACTCCTCATTAAGGAACTCTGATCAAGGTGAGTTTTAAATTCGTTTCCAAAGTTCACTGCAGGTCACAACCAGTGTTTCCGTTAACGAATTCACGCGGGGGCTGGCAGGTTGTTTGTGCTGCATCTTTTCTGAGAGATAACGGCGCCTCCCTGTAGCCTCCGTTCTCAGCTGATGAGAGAGTTGATTTCACACCCCGATAATTCTTCAAAATCAGATCGCTGGACCTGAAACTGACCCTAAAAAGAACAAGAAATCCTGTCATCAGGAGTAAGTGGGTTATTCTGGCACTGTGCTTTGTTTGGCTGGTTAAAGAACCTGCCTTGGGTAACCAGAGATCGGAGTTTTCTAAAGTCAGCGGGGTTTGTCTGGGGACCCCGAATTTACATACAGACGATCTCCGCAAATAGTGCAGGGGCCGCTTTGAACTCTTAGGAAAAGATATTCCAAAAAGTGGTCCACTGCTATAAAACACTCATCTTTCTCTGAAAATTAAGGACCCCCCGCCTCGCCCCACCCCGCCCCACCTTTTCCCCCGCCTTGCTGTGGACTAGAGAAAGGTTTCCCTGTCTTAATTCTGAAAAACTGTCCAAAGCCCAAGGGCTCCAGCTGGCGATTGTTAAGGACCATAAATCCTAAATTGAAGGAGTTTGTGTTTGACCTGTAGATATCAGAGTAGCTTTGGTAGGTTGTGTGCTGTTATTTGGCTGTTAACAAGCTAAGGTCATTCTACGGGGTTGTGGAAAGAGATTAGGGGGCTTGGGTGAGGGGTGCGTTGGGAGTCAGAAGCAGTGGGCAACGAAATGAACGGGCGTTTCAGAATATAAATAACCGAGGGCTTAGGAGGATCTGCAGCAGCTTACAGAATGAAAGGATACTCCAGATTTGGTGTTACCAGAGAATCCTGTGTGATCTGCTGTTGACTGAAAGTTGAAATACATACTTTTCTCATCTATAAAATTGTGATAATAATATCCACCTCATAGGACTGTTGTGAGTTTATTTACGTATTGTGCGCTAAAAGAGTTTATACATGCTTAGAAAGATGCCTGGCACATCAATTGCTCTCAATAAATGTTAGTATCACTATAAAGTTTGGTGAAATTCTTACTTTGTTTTTTGTTTTTGTTTTGTTTTGTTTTTTGTTGTTTTTGTTTTCAGAGACAGGGTCTCTCTCTCTCTCTGTTACCGAGGCTGGAGTGCAGAGGCTCCAACACAGCTCACTGAAGCCTCAACCTTCAGGGTTCAAGCCATTCTCCTGCCTCAGGTTTCCTAGTAGATGGGACTACAGGGCCACCACTCACAGCTAAAGTTTGGTGACATTCTTAAATGCATTTGGTGTAGCCTCATTCAGCAGAGAGTGTAGTAAAATTTACATTTATCAATTCTTGATTTCTTCCATAAATTTACATTTTGGTGTTAGCAAACAATTAAATACATTTGCTCATTTTAGATGTTAGAATTTTTCTGTAATGAGGATAACAAAAAAAAAGTAGTAATAATGGACATCATCCCAGGTTGCAGCTAAAATTGGACAGGACATTGACAGCATCCAGCTGTGGAGAAACCTGGAAATGAACACAAATTCAGATCAGCAACTGGAATGAAAAACTCAGTGAAATACTTTAACTTATAGAAGTTTACTCACTCATTTTAATTGATATTTAAATCTGCTGTGATTCACAGCACAGCAGATTGTCTGGTTATTTATAATGAACTGTTTTTAACACAGAAGCTAGTCTGGGCCCAGCATGGTGGCTCAGCACTTTGGGAGGCTGAGGTGGGTGGATCACTTGAGGTCAGGAGTTCAAGACCAGGCTGGGCAACATGATAAAACCCCATCTCTACTAAAAAATACAAAAATTAGCCGGGTGTGCCTGTGATCCCAGCTACTTGGGTGGCTGGCTGAGACACAAGAATCACTTGAGCCCATGAGGTGGAGCTTGCAGCGAGTCAAGATCATGCAACTGCACTCCTGCCTGGGCGACAGAGTGAGATTCTGTCAAAAAAAAAAAAATATGAAGGTCTGTTTCTTTTCCCATCAGAAACACAGCCAATCTACATTTCCCAGCCTCCCTTGCAATTAGATGTAGCCATGTGGCTGAGATATGGCCAATGAAATGTGGGAAGAAGTCTTGGTTTAGGAAAACTTCTCATGAGTGTTCCTTTCTCTTTCTGTTGGTCAAATGCTGAAGATCCAGTGAAGAACTCCATGATCCTAGAGCCAAAGCCGCTCAATGATCTCTTGGTGATCACTGGTAAGACCAACCAGAAAACCTGCATTAGATGTTGCCTGAGGGGAAAAAAGACATTTATTGAGTTTAAAAACTGAGACTTATGGTTATAGCTGTGTTATAGCAACTCCATTATATAGTAACGCAAGTGTTAAAGCTAATGGTATCACTAGCTATTCATAACTAATATAACAATGCTTTATTTCTCCTTGCTCATTTGTCTCCCATGTTTTAGTGCATAAACTAATCTCATAATTACAGCATTCTCATAAAACACCATGTAATAAGGTAACTAGAATCATTAACACATACATGCTAAACATATGGCAGAAAATAGAATTTTCCAAAATTCTAAAAATTATTACCTCATTTAATAATGCATCATTGTTTCGTAAATTAATTAGGATATCTCCCGCACTTTACTTTCTCACCCTAAAAAACCAAGCTGAGCAGAAATATATAAATAGATAATACTCTTTAGTAAATGCAATACAAGGCTGGGCGTGGTGGCTCACACCTGTAATCCGAGCACTTTGGGAGGCCAAGGCATGCAGATCCCTTGAGCCCAGGAGTTTGAGACCAGCCTGGGCAACTTGGCAAAACCCTATCTTTACAAAAATTAGTAGGGCATGGTGGTGCACACCTGTAGTTCTAGCTACTCAGGAGGCGAGGTAGAAGGATTGCTTGAATCCAGGAGGTCAAGATTGCAGTGAACCAAAATCGTGCCACTGCACTCTAGCCTGGGTGACAAAGTAAGACCCTGTCTCAAAAAGAAAAAGAAAAAAAAGAAAGCTGGGTGCGGTGGCTCATGCCTGTAATCCCAGCACTTTAGGAGACTGAGGTGGGCGGATCATGAGGTCAGGAAATCGAGGCCATCCTGGCTAACATGGTGAAACCCCATCTCTACCAAAAATACAAAAAAAAAAAAATTAACCGGGTGTGGTGGCAAGTGCCTGTAATCCCAGCTACTCAGGAGGCTGAGGCAGGAGAATCACTTGAACCTGGCAGGCGGAGGTTGCAGTGAGCTGAGATCGCGCCATTGCACTCCAGCCTGGGTGACAGAGCGAGACTCCGCCTCAAAAAAAAAAAAAGTAAACGCAATACTACCCTAAAAATGTTATATTAATGTGAACTTCGTTCTAGGTATAATCTTATTTTAGCCTGACTCAGATTTCTTCCCACTCTCATCAAAGCAAAGATGTTTTTTAATTTATTTTTTAAGAAATTAGTAAATTTCAATCCCACATTTATATTTTGTTGAGCTCCTTACTGTCTTGGTCATTCCCAGATGGGTGTGCTGGTAAATGTTTAACAACCAGCTCTTGAGGGAAAGACACTATCTTAGCAAGTAGTGCTTGCAAATTCTCTCACCATAACTGATTCAAACTACAGATGCAGAGTCACTGAATGTGAAGTTGGGAAGAGATGTGCATAACGGGCTCCTGTGAGCCAGTACAAGGGGCTCTATTGTACCACCAAGGTCTAGTCTATAGTTTTCTCAACAGTAATGACACTTAGAAGAAACTAATTGTCTTAGTCTGTTTGTGTTGCTATAAAGGAATAACTGAGGCTGGGTAATCTTAAAGAAAAGAGGTGTATTTGGCTCATGGTTCTGCAGAATGTACAAGAAGTATGGCACCAGCATCTGCTTCTGATGAGGGCCTCAGGAAGCTTCCACTCATGGTGGAAGGTGAAGGGAAGCCAGGATGTGGAGGTCGCATGGTGAGAGAGAGAAAGTGAAAGAGGAGGAGATGCCAGGCTCTTTTTAACAACCAGTTCTGTGAGAACAAAGAGTCAGAACTCACTCCCTCCAGTGAGAATAGCACCAAACTATTCATGAAGCATCTGCCCCCGTGACCCAAACACCTCCCCCAAGGCCCTGCATCCAACATCGGGATCAAATCTCAGCATGAGATTTGGTGGGGTCTAACAAACCATATCCAAACCATAGCACTGACATTTATTAAGCATTTATGTGCCAATAATATTTCTCTGAATTTTTATATGCTGACATATAATATATTCCATCTTTACAATAAGTCTGTGAAGTTGGTGCTGAAAACATAAAAAATTGCCCAACATCTAGAAGCTAAAAGCTAGGACAATTGAACACACACAATTTTTACACACAAAAAAATTGTTTTTGTTTATCTTGTTGCATGGTATAAACAATGATCAGACAAGGCCGTTGTGTTACCTGAGATGGAACAAGATGAAGACAAGATCACTCCGTAACTATGTATGACACAGGAAAGAAATAAGGACACTCTACATCCATAAAAAAAAGTAAACACCCCTTTTGCAGGATAGTAGAGTGACTATGATTTCTTACCAATGACATCCCCAGCCCCACTTGAATTCTTCTCCTGCCTCCTAGATAAAAATTCAAAAAAGTGACTCACACTGTTACTGAATTGCTCCACTTCCTGACCACACCCAGTCCAGAGCTGATATTTGATTCCCTTACACTCTCCTTAGAATAGTAAGCTTCTCCAAACTCCCCCTTACCTAGATGCCTTACTGTTCCACTAGTGTTCATTCTCTCTTGCTGTAGCAAGTTTAATAAACCTAGCTTTGTTTGACCACAGGTGTGTTCCTAGAGGTCTTTGGTAGCAGACTTTAACAGTGTCAGTAGTTTCATTTTACAGAAAAGAAAATTAAAGTTTAAACTGAAGAGTTAGGGAGCCTGTTGTTTGAGATAAGATTTCATATAAGAGATCACTTTACCTTCCTGCAAGGAGCAGATGATCTAGGCTGAACTTATAAGACATTGTCACAAACAGCAAAATGAACTGGCTGCCAAGATAAGGATTCACAGATGGGTAACCCAGAGATTAGCCACAACAGGAAGCTATTATCACCCCTGAGGATGGAGGGGCAGTGGGAAGAGGCCATGTTAGAGCCCAGAGTGGGAGGTAGAAGGGTGACAGTGGTCTGCAGAAAATGACCATCAGGAGCTAGAATTCCAAAGGGAGAATCTCAGACCTTGGAATGGATGCAGCTATTGCAGGCAATGCTACAGGAAGCAGAAAGAAAGAATATCCTGGCCTCAGGGTTCCTCTTGAATTCCAACCTTTTGTCATTCTCCCATTGGCTAATCCTACCCAGAAGCCAGAAGGCAAGGATGTTCAAAGCAGAAGAAGGATGGGGAATGAATCTGACAACAAAAAGTCAACCTGATTTACAAGACAACTTGATTGACACCTCCCAATTATGATCAAAGTATTAAATCTACTGAAAACGTTTTAATGAGGTCGGGAGCATGCCTGTAATCCCTGCACTTCAGGAGGCCAAAGTGGGTGGATAACTTGAGGTCAGGAGTTCAAGACCATCCTGGCCAACATGGTAAAACCCCATCTCTACTAAAAATACAAAAATTAGCCAGACATGGTGGCACGTACCTATAGTCCCAGCTACTTTGGAGGCTGAGGCACAAGAATCACTTGAACCCAGGAGGTGGAGGCTGCAGTGAGCCAAGATCATGCCATTGCTCTGCAGCCTGTGCAACAGAGGGAGACTCAGTCTCAAAAATAATAATAATAATAATAATAAATTCATAGTAATAAAAATGTTTTAATGAATGTATAAATGAGTCTTCTCATTGGAGTTTGCTCTTTGAACTAATTGCTTCTAATATGCAGTTTCTAATCATAAGAACTCCAATATAACATAGGGTTATATTTAATATGTATTTATAGAAGTGCCTAAGTTTTATAGCATAAAAATCACAGGGAACAACAAATTACAAATATTCAATTTTAAAAAGTTTTCTTTTCTTTTCTTTTTTTAGACTGAGTCTTGCTTTGTTGCCCAGGCTGGAGTGCAGTGGCACAATCTCTGCTCACTGCAGCCTCCGCCTCCTGGGTTCAAGCAATTCTCCTGCCTCAGCCTACTGAGTAGCTGGGATTACAGGCGCACACCACCTCGCCCAGATAATTTTTGTATTTTTAGTAAAGATGGGGTTTCACCATGTTGGCCAGGCTGGTCTTAAACTCCTGACCTAGTGATCCACCCACCTCAGCCTCCCAAAGTGCTGGGATTACAGGTGTGAGCCACCATGCCCAACCAAAATGTTTTCTTTTCTAAGACATAATTATCAAGTATATAAAACATTCCATATCCCAGATACAAAAACAGTAGTAATTCACTTATGAAAGAGTGGCATTTTGATAGTAGGACAGTTTGATGGTTTGATAATAGGATTTTTGTTGGTTTGTATTCAATATAAAGCACTTTAACAAAAAAGCCAGGCCATGATAAGTTAAAGGTCAATTCTTTCACTAGATTTCCTTGCTTTGAGCAAAAAACGTTTAAAAACTTTTTTTTGTAGATTTGAAAAACCAGGCCACAGGAAACATCTCAAATGTCCAACAGTCCTTAGGGTAGATCAAGGGTCAGGAAACATGCCTGCAGGCCAAATGTGGCCTGCTACCTGTTTTTGTATTGCCTACAGCTGTTTTTACATTTTTAGATTGCTGAATATAAATTAAAAGCAGAATAATCATCTGTGCCACATCAACATTATATGAAATTCCAATTTCATTGTCCATAAATAAGGTTTTATCGGGACACAGCCATGTCCATTCATCTATGGCTGCACTACAAGAGCAGTTATGAAAGACACAGGAGGACCTGCAAAGCCAAAAATGTAGCAGAAAATATACAGAAAAAAAGAGTTCAGGCCCCTGCACCACAGAAAGGTGTTTTCTTGCAGACAGAGGCAGCTGTTCCCCTCAGCATCAGACGCATCTCCAGAATTTCTTTCTTATGGGGTTAGCACAGGTATCGGTAAGCAGAAAGATTCAGAAACTTCCAACACATACTGTTGCCCAAGGCCACAGCCTGTGGGAGACTTGAACTTGGGGTGGCCCCTAGTTCCAGCTGACTCCTCTGCTTGTCAGCTTCACTCCCTCTGCTCAGGTTCCCAGCTGTGACTGGAGGCCCAGCTGGAGCTCTGTGCTTGGGCTCCACAGTCCCCATTGTATCCTTATAATAGTATGATACATTCCTTTTTTGTTTTCCTTAATTAAGTTTGAGTTGCATTGTTAGAAACCAAGTGTTAGGATATGAAAGCTCAACTCTTGTGTATGTGTATGTGTATGTTACTTTAGAAAAAACATTCTTTCCATTTTGCAGGGAGGGTAGGCCACCATGTTCTTAATCAGCAGGAAAGTAAACAGGCTCTTTTGTGGTTCTAGATGAGTGATCCATCCATCCATTCATTTATTCATTCAACAAATATTTATTGTTGGCCTAATGTGTGTGAAGCACTTTTCTAGACCCAGGGGATACTACAGTTAACAAACCAATTAAAACAAATTCCTCTGTTCGATGTTACTCTGCCTGGATATGATCCTAGGGACAATCGTAGCCATCTTGTGAGCATGAAGGGAGCTAAGCTGATGCATTGCATTAACCTTGCAAAATGTAAAGATGGAAAAAACCTGGGTCCTTAATGAGGATATATTGGAATTGTCCTCTGTGTTGGTCAGGATTAAAATGCAAACACTCAAACACACTTTAGATTGTTTAAACAGGAAAACATTTTTTACAAGAAATGTTGTAACATTTCTATGTTGAGCATTCAGATTGACTTCCAGTGCCACACTGCAGAATTGAACCACCGAGGGATCTGCTGACTCTTCTAAAATCACTACAGTGTCACTACCACAGCACTACAGCATCACTGCCACAACCAAGAAAACCACCACCATCAGAAAGCTCCTGCCTGCTGCCAGCTCCAGAACCATGCAGCACCTGCATCAACACCAGTAAAACAGATGACTTATGGCCTGCCTCTCAAGTCTTAAAAATCCATTATGGGTCACTGGAGACTCTGCTAACAACACTATACAGGAGAACCAAACAACAGTTAAAACTGCAGAAATGTAGCCTCATTTCTAGCCTCCAAATTCCATGTGACTACATCTAATTTGCTAGATATAGTTTGTTTAAGCTACATTTTTTTTTCCAAATCATGACTGCCTGAGAACCTGAGAGATGTAGTGTTTTGTTTTCCTGCCTCTACAGTACAGAAAAGATCACTAGGAGGAGAGAGAATGACTGTGGCATGCCACCTTACTAGAGCCTCTCCATGTCCTACCTGAGAACTTCTTGTTAATTGAGAAAACTCTTCTTTATTGTTTAAGCCAATAAATCAATCTGACACTCCAGGGTGTGGAATCAGTTCATGCCAGAATTTAGGCCTTCTAAGCCCAACCCTGTTCTCCCACACCTACCACCCCTCACTAACTTTGGTTTTCACACCTCTCCCTTCTCTCATGTGTGGTAGTCACAATATTCAACTAAAGAGCTCAGAGATGAGACTTTCCAGAGAAGAGGGTATCACAGCCAAGTTAAATCTATAGAGGTCTTTCTTAACAGATAACTGAAACAGAATTTCTGAGATCTGGTGAACTCAGCAAGAAACATAGGACTGACTTAGTTTCTTTCTCCATGGGTGAAGATAGGAAGACAAGTTTCTCAGAGAGTGAAGAGGGATGCTTTAAGAAAGAAACTAAGACCTTCTCCGTCTGCTGAACTATCCTTGACAATACCCTTATTTTGGGTTCCTTCTTAGTTACTCTTCCAAAGAAAATGACTTCCCCATTTCCATCCCCAAGTAACTAAAATGTCTACATTTCCTATAGAAACAATGGCATATTTCAGCAACTACCATATGCTGATCACTGTTTAGGAATGCAAAAAATATATCATTCTTGTAGAAGATGTTTATTTTCAGTCTTTAAATGAAATCTCTCTTAATAGCAGGCTCAATTCAAAATCATCTTCTAGTTTTTAAAAATTCGTAGATACGTGGACTTTTGGAACATGTTTTCTAAAAGGACCCCAACCACCTTTTTATGGATTCAGTTTTGTGTCCCCCAAAATTCATATGTTGAAATCCTAATCCTAGTACCTCAGAATGTAACCTTATTTGGATATAGCTTTGGGAGGACCTGAGGCAGAGCTGTAGGGTGTAGGGGAAGCTGTGGATGCTTCCTGGTTCCTCTGGGTGTGAATGTGGCTGACGGGTTCAGAGGCTGAGGATACCTCGCCAGGATGCTGAGGAAAGAAGCCAGGATTTTAGTGGTTCTGCACTCAGAAACCAGGGCACAAGAACGCAGAGGCAGATGCCCTAGTGGACAGACGACCAGGGAGGGCCAGCGGTTCTTCTCCATGCGTGGACACAGGAGCGGTCTTCTCTTCATGTCCAAACTGAGATACCATCTGAGGAAAAGGAGAGGCCCAAAATTAATTAATAAAGCCCTGAATTGACTAGGACGAAGACCATTATTGACTCAGGAGTAGCCTGGTTTGACTAAGATGAAGGATATGCCATTAAGCGGGAAGGGGCAGAGGATGGAAATAAAGCTCAGTTTGCATTCATATAAACGTACAGGCGCGCACCATCATGCCCGGCTAATTTTTGTGTTTTTATTGGTCAGGCTGATCTCGAACTCCTGAGCTCGCGATCAGCCCGCCTCGGCCTCCCAAAGTGTTGGGATTACAGGCGTGAGCCACCACGCCTGGCAACGCCTCTAGGAGCAAAACGTGCATTTCAGCTTTTGAGGTTCCCTGCTGTGCACAGCCCTCAGCTTGCCATCTATAGGCCGCTCCATTGACAGGGGTTGAGAGGGTGAGACTTTCTCAGGCCCACGGCACAGGCAGTGATGCATATCCGCCATGAGGGGGCGGCGAAGCCTAGAGAAAGAGAGAGACACCTGAGACGAGTTCGAAGAGGCGGGAGGAGGGAAAAAGCTGGGGCGGGAGGAAAGGGGACGGGCAGGGAGGGATGGAGAGGAAGAGAGAGAAGGAGGGATGGAGAGGAAGAGAGAGAAGGAGGGAGGGAGAGGAAGAGATGATAGAGTGAGGGAACGAGGAGGAGACGAGGAGGACTTGTGGGAGGAAAGAGAGAGCAGAGAAAAGGTGAGGAGTGGGAGGAGGGAGAGGAGAGAGGGAGGAACGGGAAGGAGGAGAAGAGTGGAGTACGAGGGAAAGAAGGAGGAATGAGAGGTGAAAGGAGCAGGGGAGGAGGGAAAGCAAGTTACTGAAGGGGAAAAACAGTTCTCTGGACAGCAGTTAGCGACAGTTGTAGAGTACTTTACATTTTACAGTGTGTCACAGATACTGGCTCATGTTTCCCTCACAGTAACAACCCAATTAAGCGGTAAGCAGTAATTGCTGTCCACGTATTATTTTCAACCTGAAATGTTATTTTTAACAAAACATACTTTATATATGACAAAATAAAGAGAAACATTGGGGCAAGTGTACAGACTAATGAACATTTACTACGTTTTAGTTTAGTGGTTTTTTGTTTTGTTTTGGTTTGGTTTTGACACAGAGTTTCACTCCTGTCACCCAGGCTGAAGTGCAATGGTGCTGTCTTGGCTCACTGTAACCTCTGCCTCCCCAGTTCAAGCGATTCTCGTGCCTCAGCCTCCTAAGTAGCTGGGATTGCAAGCATGCGTCACCATGCCTGGCTAATTTTTTATATTTTTAGTAAAGACAGGGTTTCACCATGTTGGCCAAGTTGGTCTTGAACTCCTGGCCTCAAGTGATCCAGCCACCTCGGTCCCTCAAAGTGCTGGGATTACAGGCATGAGCCACCAAGCCCGGCCTTGTTTTTTGAGACAGAGTCTCAAAAACCAAGGCTCTGTTGCCCAGGCTGGAATGCGGTGACACAATCACAGCTCACTGCAGCTCCAACCTCCCGGGCTCAAGTGGTTCCTCCCACCTCAGCCTCTATAGTAGCTGGGACTACAGGCATGAGCCACCATGTGTGAGCTACATTTCATGGTCTCTTTAAATCCATTTCTATGTTAATTCTCAGATCTCTGAATAGCATGTCACCAAAAAGCATGCTGTCTGAGCATGTCAGAGCTCAGACACAGAGGCAAAGGGACAGAGCAGCACACAAAACTTAACAGAAGTGCGTTCTCAAGGAGTCGGCTTGCTAATGGTACAGAGAGAAAATAAGTAACACGTAATGTCAGATGATGACTTAAATGTTATGGAGAAAAATTAAGCATAGGCATGGAAGTAGGATAAAGAGGGGCAGGGGACAGGGAAGTGGTTAGGGAGGGTTTTAAGCAGCCTTCTCATCTGTCAAATGGGGACAATAGCCCCTACCTGCAGGCAACACACCCTCTTTCCACCAATCATCCTTGGACTCCTCTCAGGGAGTCAGCCGGGACAGTACCCAGGGTAAGTCATCTTACCTCTCCCCTCCAGCAGGTCTCCAATAGGGAAGGAGGGATGGTTACTGTACATGTGCCCTTCACAATTTCAGATCCTTATAACTGGAAGGCTCATTCTAAATGACTAGAAAGAGATCCTGAGGGGGTCTTATTTCCAGCCCCTCCAAACAAATTTCAGATCAGAATACCATGCTAGTCTTCAACTTCTTAGCAGAAAGGGAAGTTATAAGGTCTCCCAGGGAAAAGCACAGATTTATCAGCAGCAGGTTACCTATTTGGGGTCCCTCCTAGAAGGAGAACAACGTTTGTTCCAAGACAGATGGGAGGTAATATGCCAACTATAAGCACCAGGGACCCAGAAGCAACTCTGAGAGTTCCTGGGAATGGCCTGGTTCTGCCACCTCTGGATTCCTAATTTTGGCCTCATTGCCCACCCCTCATATAAACAATCAAAAGGAAAGGACATGGGCCCTTTTAAATGGATGGTAGAATGCAACCAAGCAGTCCAAGTGGTTAAGACCCAGCTTATGAGAGCCCCAGCATCAGCCCTATCAGCTGTAAGCAAACCCTTCCATCCTTATATCCATGAGAAGAGAAGGAATATCCCTAGGGGTATTAAACACTAGCCTCTCTGCCTCGAGTCTACTTTTCTAAGCAACTGGACCTGGTTGCTAAAGGCAAGCCATCTTGCCTCTGGTCAGTGGCAGCTACAGCCCTCCTCCTGAAGGAGACAGAGAAGCTAACCTTTGGACAGCCCTTAACCATCTGGACTCCTCACCATACCCAAACTCTCATAAAAGAAAGGGAGGCAGAATGGCAATCCCCGGGCAGGACCCTCTAGTTACAGGTAATGCTTATTGATAACTCCCATATAATTTTAAAGGTGTGTAATAATTAGAACCCTACCACCCTCTTTCCATCTAAGGATGGGCATTTATTCCACAACTGTCTAGAAGTGATGGAAGAAGTATACTCCAGTAGACTAGCCCATTGAAGATGCAGAAGCCAGCCGGGCGCGGTGGCTCATACCTGTAATCCCAGCACTTTGGGAGGCTGAGGCAGGCGGATCACAAGGTCAGGAGTTCAAGACCAGCCTGGACAATATGGTGAAACCCGATCTCTACTAAAAATACAAAAAAATTCGCTGGGTGTGGTGGTGGGCACCTGTAGTCCCAGCCACTTGGGAGGCTGAGGCAGGAGAATTGCTTGAACCCGAGAGGTGGAGGTTGCAGTGAGCCAAGATCATGCCACTGCGCTCCAGCCTGGGTGACAGAGCGAGACTCCGTCTAAAAAAAAAAAAAAAAAGAAAAGAAAAAAGAAAATGCAGAAGCCGAATGGTTGACTGAAGAGAGTAGCTGTATGCAAGGAGGACAAAGGAGGACAAGTTATGCTATCTCCTATCTCACTAAAGTTATAGAGGCCCATGCCCTCGCTATGGGATGCTCTTCACAAAGCAGAACTTATTGCACTAACCCGGCTGCTGGAGTTGGGGGAAGGAAAAATTATCAGCGTATACACAGATTCCAAGTATGCCTACTGTATGCTACACACATGGAGCTGTTTGGAAGGAAAGGGGCATGTTAACATCTGATAACAAGCAGGTCAGAATGGTGCTGTCATTTTTAAAGCTATTGGACTTTAAATAAGAGAACCAGCCCATAAGAGAACAAGCCAGGTGGCGATTGTTCACTGCAGGGGCCACCAAAAGCAGAAGCACAAATACAATTATTAATGATTGTTTTTCAGGGCATGTCCTCAAATGTTGACCCCAGGATGCATGGGACCCTGAAATAGAACTGGGGTCCATAGGGTTACATGCCTCCCACTTCCATGCCTGGTTACAAGGGCTTACCACTGCAACATCTGTTCTTTCTCCCCTTCCTTCCTTCCTTCCTTCCTTTCTTTTCTTCCGTTTCTCCTCTCTCTCTTTTTCTTTCCTAAGATAGAGATGGAGTCTTACTATGTTGCCCAGGCTGGTCTTTAACTGCTGAGCTCAAGTGATCCTCCTGCCTCGGCCTCCCAAAGTGCTGAGATTACAGGCATGAGCCACCACCCGCAACCTGCAGTGTCTTTAAAAGGAACTGGAAACCTTCGGTCATGTGGCATAACCCTCTTTATTACTATCTCTCGTTGTTAGAAGGGAGTTTGCATCAATACATCTCATCTAGGGTCCTCAGGGAAAGTATTTAACCTTAGGGTATTCCTTTCCACTGCTTTAAATATCACAGGATCCAAGGCTGTGGAGAAAGGAGCCTATATGATCCAGACCAACTCCACTTTGGGCCCTTAGCTACCTCTAATCTAATTATTAGTAGAAGTGGTATAGGGCACTCCCTATAGCATTTTCTGGTGTCTAGGGATAGGTGACCTAAAGAAGTCCATTAAAAACATCTCAATCCTTATTCAACAACCACAGAAAGCTACAGTCAATACTCTGGATGCTCAACAGACAGCCTTGAACTCCCTACTTCAGTGCTGCAAAACCGAACGACCCTAGATGTACTCACAGCAGAGGCAGGGGCACATGTACCATGTTAAGAGAGGAATATTGCTTCTATATAAATACCTCAGGCCAAGTTGAAGAAAACTTAGAAATCTGTTATCAAAATATAGCTATACTGGACAAGACAAAGGGAGACCCCTCTTCACCCATCCTAGGCAGGATAGCTAATGATTAATTAGGGTGGTTGGGACCATGACTAAGCCCCATTGTCTCAGTAATTGTTCACAGCAGTAACCCTTTTAATTTTTGGTCCCTGACTTCTGAACTCTGTCACCAAGTTTGTTGCAAAAAGCCTAAAAGCCATAAACATTCAAATGTTGGGCTACTCAGGGGTACCAACAGCTAAGCCTATAGCCAGGAGAGAATCAAACCTATCTGAAAATGACCAGGAAGAGTTTCACTCCTTTAACAGGATGCTTGCCTATGCCCAAACTCAGCATAAAGAAGCTACAGAAAATAGACTTTGCCCTTCAGCACCCCTCAAGAATGAGGCGTGAACATTTAAAAAGGGAATTTGTTGCCCTTGCAATGCCTACATGACTTAGCTGGACCCCTATTCTGCTTTTGTTGCCCAATGCAAGGCATATGTGATATACGAAGTAAATTCCTACTCAGCTTAACTCTGCTTAATTTTGGGAAACAGGATGTCTGTGATCATAGATTTCTTCTTAGGCAGCTTATTCATCCCCTGAAAAACCTCTAGCTTCATTCTAATCCAGTTTCCATGCTAAATGACATTCGCACTTGCACCATGACAGTTGACAATCACCATGATAATGACTGGAAGAGACTGAAAAAGGACAAAAAAGAGGAGGCTCCTTGATTCCAAGAAAATCTTCGTCCCTTCTCAAGAAAAAGCAGGAATATTCCTTCCCTTGCTCTTAATGCCCACCCCTTTACTAAGTAAGATACCGTACATCTGTGACTTCCCAGTTCTCAGGGGCTGGAAAGTTATTTGCAAGCTATACTCCCACTTCTCCAACTCCACGGTCATTAGATAAAGCCTACACTGCTTGACACTTGGTTTTGTGTATTGGTTTCTGGACACCACACAGAAAAGAGCCCCTTTAGGAGTAACTGGGACCCCCAGTAACAATATAGCAGAAAGGAAGACTAAAGTCTGTCCAGAAATCTGAACAGATTTTTGTCAAAAACCATTGTCCACTCTGCGGGCCCAACAGACTTTGCCCCACACCACTGTATGTTCTTCAAACCCATTGGATTCTCCCTAGAAATTATTTATTGCCCCTCAACAGAATTCCTCTTCATCCTGCTTCCACAACCTGTTTTGCCAGGATCCTAGCCCCCATTCTTTCTGTAACCTCAAGATGATATACAAGTCTCTATACTCATTGAGGGGTTGAGCCTTCATTCTGAAGGCTCCTGTACATACACATTAAGTAAATTTGTATGCCTTTTCTCCAACTAATTTGCCTTTTGTGAGTCACTTTTTCAGTGAAACTTCAGAGGGCCAAAAGAAAAGCCTTGGTCCCCACACTCGCAAATAGCAAGCGGCATAACTCCTTCCAGCATTACTTTCATAAAGTCAAAATGTTTTTCTTCATGAAGTATTTATTTTATAATTTCTATAGTCTGAGAAGTAGTTCACTATTTTCTCTATTATCGTGCACAACACAGCAGTTATGAACAGAAACTTCAGTATGAGACACATCTGGCTTTAAATATCAGCAATCTGTTCATCTCTAAGTGACCTGGGCCGGATACTTAATTTCTCTGAGCCTCATCTGTGGGATAAGTGTAACCCAGGATCCCCAGGTCACTGCAGAAAAACTACCCACTTGTAACTGTTGCACCTTGAGTTTTTGTTATTTCAAAAAGTTTCCAGGAACAACCCCAGCCCCTGCAAAACAAAAACCAATTGGATCCAGAGATGCCTGAGTTGGAGAAGAACTTTTTTGAACTTTCCATATTACCATACTAAAACCAAGACGGGAGCCTATTCGTCATTTTTTGTATATGTGATGTATGAAGAAACATGATCAACGGCTGCACCTGCGCTGACTTTATCCCACTTTTACATACAATGACTCAGCTGAACAGCACAATAAAGGCCCCACTTTCACCTTTGTTCCAGGAGGCACTGCTTTGGGAACTACTCCAATGTTCTCTTTACTTGTTGCAAGTAATCAAATACCTTTGTTAAATCCTCCGTGGTTGCAGTCATTGGACTGACACCTGCCAAGCGATGGAACCTGTCGTGTGGGTAATGTAAGCTCAGCACTAACTGTTTAAAAGTGATGTTCTGAGGATTAAATGAGATCATGCATATATAAAACACAAGTATAGTGGCTGTAAAAAAGCCAATAATTAGCAGTTGATAAAAATTAGTTTCATTCTCATCCCCTACACCGTCTGTTACCTGCATTAAATTGCAATGATCTGCCTGTATTAAGGCCCTCATTTGAACAAATCAATTATAAAAATACATTTTTGAGACAATTGGGGAAACTTGTGTAAGACTGGGTTTAGACGATTTGAAGAAAATGCAGTATTAATTTTACTAAACATGATAAAAGCACTGTGGTTATGAAAAAAAGCTTACCAGAGATTCATTCTAAAATGCTTATGTGTGAGGCTGGGCACAATGGCTCACACCTGTAATCTCAATGTTTCTGGAGGCCAAGGCAGAGGCCTCTTGAGGCCAGGAGTTCAAGACAAGCCTGGGCAAGACCCTGTCTCTACAAAATAAAAATAAAAATTAGCCGGGTTGGTGGTGTGCCTTGTAGTCCCAACTACTTAGGAGGCTGAGAAGATTGCTTGAGCCCAAGAGTTCGGGGCTGCAGTAACCTATGATTGTGCCACTGTACTACAGCCTGGGTGACAGACAGAGCAAGACCCTGTCACAAAAACAAACAACAAACACACACACACACACAAATGCACAGAAAATGCTTAGAGGTGAAAATGTATGGCATGTGGGAAGAAAAGGGAGGTTACAGAGACAGAACACTTTCCATCTGGCAAAATGTTAAAATTGCTGAAGTTGTGAATGGGCACATGAGGGCTTCTTTTGTTTTTTGTTTGTTTGTTTGTTTTGCTTATTTATTTTTCTTTTTGTATTAGGGCTTCTTTATACTGTTTTTTTTTTTTTTTTTTTTTTTGAGATGGAGTCTCACTTTGTCACCCAGGCTGGAGTGCAGTGGCGCGATCTTGGCTCACTACAACCTCAGCCTCTCCGGCTCAAGCAATTCTCCTGCCTCAGCCTCCCAAGTAGCTAGGATTACAGGTGCATGCCACCACACCGGGCTAATTTTTTTATTTTTAGTAGAGACGGGGTTTCGCCATGTTGGCCAGGCTGGTCTCAAACTCCTGAGCTCAGGTGATCCGCCTACCTCCGCCTCCCAAAGTGTTGGGATTACAGGCGTGAGCCACTGCACCACTGAGCCTGGCCTTTTTTTTTTTTTTTTTTTTTTTTTAGATGGAGTCTGACTCTGTTGCCCAGGTGGGAGTGTAGTGGCACGATCTCGGCTCACTGCAACCTCTGCCTCCCGGTTCAAGCAATTCTTCCTGCCTCAGCCTCCTGAGTAGCTGAGATTACAGGCACTCGCAACCACACCCAGCTAATTTTTTTTGTATTTTTAGTAGAGACGGGGTTCCACCATGTTGGCCAAGCTGGTCTTGAACTCCTGACCTCAGGTGATCCGCCTGCCTCGGCCTCCCAAAGTGCTGGGATTACAGGCATGAGCCACCGTGCTCGGCCTGGTCTTTTTTTTTTGAAATAGGGTCTCGCTCTGTTGCCCAGGCTGGAGTGCAGTGATGCCATCTGGGCTCACTGCAACCTCTGCCTCCCAAGTAGTGAGATTACAGGCATGCGCCATCATGCCTAGCTAATTTTTGTATTTTTGGTAGAAATGGGGTTTCACTATCTTGGCCAGGCTGGTCTGGAACTCCTGACCTCAGGTGATCCACCCACCTCAGCCTCCCAAAGTGCTGAGATTACAAGCGTGAGCCACCACACTCGGCCTTATACTATATTCTCTACTTCTGTGTTTCTCGAAAATTTCCATAATATAAAGTTTTAAAATCGAATTTTAAAATGACATGAAAACGCTCTTAGTACATTGTTGAACCATACAAAGACAGGTCACAAAGTATTAAGAATTCATTTAGGAATAAAAGTACATCATTCACAAATCCATTCCACAAGTATTTACCAAATGCCTACTATGTGTCAGGCACTGTTCAAAGAGAACGGTGTTCAGACTGGGTGCAGTGGCTCACATCTGTAATCCTAACACTTTGGGAGGCCGAGGTGGGAGGATCACCTGAGCCCAGGCATTTGAGATCAGCCTGGGCAACACAGTGGGACCCTGTCTCTACAAAAAAGAAAAAAGAAAAAAGGCCAGGGGTTGTGGCGCATGCCTGTAGTCCCAGCTTACTCAGGAAGCTGAGGTGGGAGGATCGCTTGAGCACAGGAGGTCAAGGCTACAGTGAGCCGTGATGGAGCCACAACATTGCAGCCTGGGCAACAGAACAAGACTCTATTTCAAAAAAAATATTGGGGGTTGGGGGAGAAAGACGATTGTTCTGCAGAAATGTCAGTCTCAGCTCCCAGGATGTTAATTTTCAACCGACAGGGAAAGTTAGAGCACTTCTGAAAGCTCATGCATCCATCAAATGTGGAACGTCTTTAAACTCCATTTATATTTGTTTCAAAAATAGACTGTACCTGAGGCCAATTTGTGGAATTTGAGAAGTTTGACTTCACGATATCCAGTCTCCTCTTGGTACTCAGTTTCACATACCCAGGACCTGCTGACTTTTTAACACTATCCCTTATCAGATAAATTCTGCAAGGCAAGGCCCTTATCTGTTTCACATTTGCATACTTGAAGTAATGAAGTTCATGCCTGAAAGACAAGCTGTAGACGACCAAACCATTGGTTGCATAAGGAGAGAAAGAGAGAGAAGAGAGGAAGAAATTATCATTATTGTTTACCTTTGACTTAAAAATTCATTTGCTCTAACTCATTTTACATTGCATCTGATGTCTTTCATTTCTAATTGTGGAATAAAAGGCTATCTCCCTCATTAAATAGACTTCAGGCAATAGCAAGCAGGTTAGAAACATATTTTCGGGTATAAGGGAGTCTCCTCTCTCCTAAACCATGCCTTAGAGTTAATAATGATTTTTAACATTTTCTCTGGGGTGTGGAGAGCAATATCTGTTTCTCTCCATGTCCTTCCCCACCTTCATAGTCAGCAAGATGATTAAGCTGTTCTGATCCACAAAATGCGGAACCTCAGACCTAACTAATAGAGTCCTCCCTCTGATCAGTGGCAAAGAGTAGCCATTATCATTTTTTAATGGTAATAATATTTATTACTTTTTAAACTTATTTTTTAATGGTAATAACATTTATATTATACTGGGTGTCTGTATATTGAGTTGCCATTCCAAAGGACTATATAAAAAATATATATCTAAATGCTTGACAAAAAAAAAATGCAATTTTTTTGGAAAGGAATATATTTGGTGGCTGCCTCATGCAGCTTAAGTGTCCAAAATCTGATAGATTGGTGTATCCCAGTGGTAGTTTTCTGTTGCCACAAACTCCAATCAGCAGGAATGGGGGTTGTAACTCCTGTACAATAGTTCTACCTTATCCACAGTTCTGTTTTCTGCAGTTTGAGTTGCTCCTGGTCAACCTTGGTCTGAAAATATTAAATGAAAAACTTCAGAAATAAACATTTCATATGTTTTAAGTTGCAACTGACTCTGGGTAGGATAATGAAATACCACCCTGTCCAGGATATGAATCATCCCTTTGTCCTGCTTATCCAAGCTGTGTATGCTAACTGCCCATTAGTCATTGACATCATCTGCCCCTGACATCCAACCACAGACGTTATCATGGCTCAGTGATCCAGGATCACCCAGGCAGATGATCCTCCTTCTGATGTATCATGAGGTCAACAGTAGCCTAACGTTCCATCACAGTGCCTACTTCACTCATCTCGCTTCATCTCACCACTTAGGCATTTTATCACCTCATCATCATAAGAAGAAGGGGGAGTACAGCACAAGACGATATTTTGAGAGAGAGACCCCATTCACATAACTTTTATTACAGTGTATTGTTATAATTGTTCTATTTTAAGCTAGTGTTGTTAATCTCTTACTATGCTTAATTTATAAATTCAACTTTACCATAGGTATGTCTGTGATAAACATTGTATATATAGTGTTTGACACATCCATAGTTTCAGGCATCCACTGAGGGTCTTGGAACATGTCCCCCAAGGATAAGTGGGGACTACTCTAGTGCCATCAGGCTAGCAGGCTGTAAAGGTTTTAATGGCAGTCCCTGGACCATGGCTTATTTAATTGCTTCCAAGGCCCACTGCTACAAAGGGCCTCATTCAAAGCTGGTGGCTTTGTTGGTCACCCTGACTTAGGGGACCAAAAGAACACTCAGGTGGGGTACATGTTGCCTCCAATGCCCAAGTACCCAAAGAGGCCTTCCAGCTGTTGGGCCTCCTTTTTATTAGTGGATGTCTCCAAAATTAAATTTTTTTGCTTGGTTGTATCTAGAATACTTTTCTGGCTTACTGCCCATGTGGCCTTCGCATTTAGCCCAGGGACAGTCCACTGTTAGTCTCCACATCCGAAAGCCTTTTTGACTAGCCAAACTGAGCTGTTACATTATGACAGGGTAGTTTGTAGCATTTCCATTTGTAACAATAATTAACACAATAATGTCCTGTTCTTCAGTTAGTATGCAGTACTGTTTTTTTGAATAACCCACTGGGACTTGGGTGGCTTAGGTGGCAGACAGGCATGGATATGCCCCGCCGTAACGGCTGGAATTCTTAGCTGTGAGCGGGCGCACCCCTCAGGCAGTGATGATGTGCTGAGCCCCAAGCAGCCAAAATGTCAATGACTATAAGACATTCAGCCACAGGAACCAAAGTCACCGGCACCTCAAATGGCCAGAGGCACCCCACAGCAGATAAGCACCATAGGTCACTGCTTTTGTCCCCAAGCCTCTTAATGTCACCAGTTTAATTTTTCCCTTAAGGAGACCTGGAAATATTGTCACATGGGTTCCAATATCTAAGAACACCAGAAAAATATGAATTCCTTTTTCCCCCTTTTTATCTTTTAAAGGAATATTATTAATTTTAAAAGCAGGGACCATGCTAATCATCTCTATATCATTCCAATTTCAGTATATGTGCTGCTGAAGCAAGCATGTCTTTTTTTTTTTAATTTTTAAATTTTAAATTTTATGAGCACATAGTAAGTGGATATATTTAATAGGTACGTGAGACATTTTGGTACAGGACGCAATCTGTAATAATCACATCATGGAAAATGGGGTATCCATCCTTTCAAGCATTTATCCTTTGTGTTAAAAACAATCCAATTATACTCTTAGTTATTTTAAAATGTACAATTAAGATATTATTGACTATAGTCTTCCTGTTGTGCTGTCAAACATTAGGTCTTTTTCATTCTTCTGTTTTTTTTTGTTTTTTTTTTTGTTTTTTTCTTTTTTCAGATGGAGTTTTGCTCTTGTTGCCCTGGCTGGAGTGCAATGGCATGGTCTCGGCTCACTGCAACCTGCGCCTCCCGGGTTCAAGTGATTCTCCTGTCTCAGCCTCCTGAGTAGCTGGGATTATAGGCACACACCACCATGCCTGGCTAACTTTTGTATTTTTAGAAGAGACAGGGTTTCACCATGTTGGCCAGGCTGATCTTCAACTACTGACCTCAGGTGATCCACCCGCCTCAGCCTCTCAAAGTATTGGGATTACAGGCACGAGCCACCACATCCGGCCCTTTTTCATTAACCATCCCCACCTCCTCTCCCGCTTCCTCCCACTTCCACTACCCTTCCAAGCCTCTGGTAACCATCCTTATATTCTCTTATCTCCATGAGTTCAATTGTTTTGATTTTTAGATCCTGCAAATAACTGAGAACATCCAAAGTTTGTCTTTCTGTTCCTGGCTTATTATAAGAACTCCTGTTTTATCTTGACAGGAATATAGAGTGACTGACCTCCAGTGGGGAGGAAACCAGAGACCGTGGCCCCATTCCCAACTGGGCCATTCAGCCTGAGACATTTGGATTTGATAGAACCTCTTTGATAGAACCATGGCTTATTGATGAAGTGGAAGGAGTGATACCCGAAGTACCCAGCCCACGGTGTAGACATCAACCTACAGGGGTGCGGAAGCTGGACACACCACCCAGCCTGCACAAGATTTAGCTGGCTATTCTCCATTTTTATTCTTTGGATAATGAGTTTCTGCTCTGTAAATGCCCTTATGAACTGTGTTTGGTTCCCTCTCAGATGCCTCAGGGACCACCAGAGGACCTCTTCCTCTTCCCTCTCAGGGTTCTCAGGGATCAACTGAGTATCCATTTCCTGAGTTCTCTAGCTCTCGGGAATGAACAACCATACAAGTGTCCAACAATCAGAGGGTGGCTTGCCACTGTCCTATTCTATATTTCTTTCTCTCTGCCCCAGTCAGTGCAGCCAGCTCACTCATATCCGCAGGGTTGGGGGTGACCTATGTCCTGTTTACAAAAAGAGTCAAACTGTAAAACATTTGAAGAGATTTATTCTCAGCCAAATATGAGTGACCAATGGCCTGTGACACAGCCCTCAGGAGATCCTGAAAACATGTGCCCAAGGTGATCGGGGCACAGCCAGGTTTTATAGAGTTTAGGGAGGCATGAGACATCAATCAAACACATGTAAAAAATTCATTGGTTGGGTCTGGAAAGGCAGGACAACTCGAAGCTGAGAAAGGGTGGTGGGGTGAGGGTGTGGCTTCCTGGTTATAGGTAGATTTAAAATTTTGTGATTGGCAACTGGTTGAAAGAGTTATTATCAATAGGAAGGAATGTCTGGGTTATAATGATAAGGGGTTGTGGAGAACAAAGCTTTATTATGCAGATGAAGCCTTCAGGTAGCAGGCTTCAGAGAGAATAGATTGTAAATATTTCTTGTCAGACTTGAGGTATGTGTTGATGTTAATGCTGGTCAGCTTTTCCTGAAAGCCAAACTTGAGTGGGGTATAATTGGCCCTTCTTTCCTGTCATGACCTGAACCAGATAATCAGGTAAACTTTGGAATGCCCTGGCCAAGAGGAAAGGTCCATTCAGATGGTGAGAAGGCCTTCAAATTTTATTGTTGGCTTATAATCTCACCTCTCATTCTTCCTTTTATAAATCATCTGGCTGCTTGTCCAGCTCCTGCACACCTCTAGGTTGATGTCTACACCCTGGGCTGGGTACTTCGGGGTATCATTCCTTCCACTTCATCAATAAGCCATGGTTCTATCAAAGAGGGCCCTGCTCACTTCACCAATTTTGTGAACCAGATTCACCATGCACTGGTGAATTTTGTGAACCTGCCTGAGCCTGGTGAGACAGAAGACACTCACATGCAACAAGTTACATGAAGCAAATGTATTACTTACAGATAGGAAGCAAGAGACAACAGAAGACTAGAATTCATTATGTGCCAGTTTCCCAAGGCTTATGAAAGCTGCCTTGGGTGGATGGAGCTTCAATTGCACATGGCCTACTGTTGTTGCAGCTGAGGGGCCCCAAAAGCAGCTTACCCCAGGCTCAGTACCTCAGGGGCCACAGGAATCACTGGGTAAATCTCATCCTACTTTCAGGGAGAGAGGAACAAGGCTCTGGTTGTCCTAGCAGTTCCTCCTTAATTCAATATGTTACATTCTTTAGGAGAGCCAGGAGCCAGGCCCAGGCTGTTTCAGGCAGTTCCTCCCTGCCTCAGGATATGGGCATTCCCACACACTCTACAGTTGTTCTTCAGACTACAAGCAAGAAATGGAGGAGAACTGGGTCAGTGCCTGGCCACTTGGAGAACAGTTCTGCAGAAAGAAGTCACACCTGTGAAAACTGCCTGCCAAGAGGAAACAACTACATTGACATGTATGTGAGCAAGAAATCAATTGCTATTTGGTTAAGCCATTGAAACTTTCTATTTTTCTTTCTTTTTTTTTTTCTTTTTTTTGAGAAAGGGTATCACTGTAGCTCAGGTTGTAGTACAGTGGCATGTTAATGGCTTACTGCAGCCTTGACCTCCCAGATCCAAGCAATCCTTTTGAGTATCTAGAACCACAGGTGCACACTACCATGCCCAGCTAAATTTTAAACTCTCTAAAGAGACAGGGTCTCCCTATGTGGCCCAGGCTTGTCTCAAACTTTTAGGCTCAGGTGATCCTTCCACCTCTCGACATCCCATAGTGCTGGGATTACAGGAGTGAGCCGTCTTCCCTGGCCTGAAACTTTTACATATATTTGTTACAGCAGTTGACACTACTCTAAGCAGGATATATACCTTGCATGTTCAATAAAGAATATATAGAAATAGCAACAGTTTTCAGGGGAACATTGTCTTTGAGGATGAAACTCTGACTTTTTTTCTTATCTTGGCCAAACTCCTCCCTAAGGGACCTTGGGAGTCACCCCTACAAACCATAAAGTTTCATCAGAGGGGTTTTATTTAACCCTATGTGACGTGGTTTGCTTTCCAACCTGGCTCTGGCATGACCTCACATAATAAATAAGGAAAGAAATGAAAATATTTTAGCCCCAAATATATTTCCTTGTCTTGAAATGACCCTGCAAAGTTGTCTCTCTCTTGTGGGAATAAAATCTACATCTTTTTTTTTTTTTTTTTTTTTTTTTTTGAGGCGAAGTTTCGCTGTTGTTGCCCGGGCTGGAGTGCAATGGCGTGATCTCGGCTCACTGCAACCTCTGCCTCCCAGGTTCAAGCGATTCTCCTATCTCAGCCTCCCGAGTAGCTGGGATTACAGGCACATGCCACCACACCTGGCTAATTTTTTTGGTATTTTTAGTAGAGACGGAGTTTCATCATATTGTTCAGGCAGGTCTTGAACTCCTGACCTCAGGTGATCCACCCACCTCAGCCTCTTAAAGTGATGGGATTACAGGCGTGAGCCAACGTGCCCAGCCCGTTCTTTTCCTTTTTTTTTTTTTTTTTTTTTTTTTGAGATAGAGTCTTGCTTTTTTTCCCAGGCTGCACTGCAGTAGCGTGATCTTGGCTCACTACAACTTCTGTCTCCAGGTTCAAGTGATCCTCCTGCCTCAGCTTCCAGAGTAGCTGGCGTGCACCTCCACACGCAGCTAATTTTTCTATCTTTATTTATTTATTTATTCTGAGACGAAGTTTGGTTCTTGTTGCCCAGGCTGCAGTGCAGTAGTGTGGTCTCAGCTCACTGCAAACTCTACCTCCTGAGTTCATGTGATTCTCCTGCCTTAGCCTCCTGAGTAGTTGGGGTTACAGGCATGAGCCACCATACCTAGCTAATTTTTGTGTATTTTTAGTAGAGATGGGGTTTCACCATGTTGGCCAGGCTGGTCTCGAACTCCTGACCTCAGGTTATCCACTCGCCTTGACCTCCCAAAGCACTTGGATTACAGGAATGAGCAACCGCAGCTGGCCAACTTTTGTATTTTTAGTAGAAATGGGGTTTCACCATGTTGGCCAGGCTGGTCTTGAACTCCTGACCTCAAATAATCAGTCTGTCTTGGCCTCCCAAAGTGCTGGGATTACAGACATGAGCCATCTCGCCCGGCCAAAACTTTTTTTTTTTTTTTTTTTGAGACAAAGTCTCACTCTGTCACCCAGGCTAGAGTGTAATGGTATGATTATGGCTCACTGCAGCCTTGAACTCCCAGGCTCCGCTTCCCAAGTAGCTGGGACTACAGGTGCATGCCACCACGCCTGGCTAATTTTTGTATTTTTGTAGAGATTGGGTTTTGCCATGTTGCCTAGGCTGGTGTTGAAATCCTGGGCTCAAGTGATCCACTGTGCTTGGCTTTTTTTTTCTTTTTTTTTTTTGAGACCGAGTCTCGCTCTGTCACCCAGATTGGAGTGCAGTGACTCGATCTTGGCTCACTGCAACCTCCGCTCGGCTGGGTGCGGTGGCTCACGCCTGTAATCTCAGCACTTCAGGAGGCCGAGGCGGGCGGATCACCAGAGGTCAGGAGCTCAAGACCAGCCTGGGCAACATGGTGAAACCCCGTCTCTACAGGAAATACAAAAATTAGCCAAGAGTGGTGGCGGGCGCCTGTAATCCCAGCTACTCAGGAGGCTGAGGCAGGAGAATCATTGGAACTTGGGAGGCGGAGGTTGCAGTGAACTGAGATTGCACCCATGCACTCCATCCTGGGCGACAGAGATAGACTCCCTTTCAAAGAAAATAATAATAATAATAATAATGTTTTCATGATGCTTTGTTGATATCTCCTTCATCTTAACATATCCAGAGGCTGCTGGCCATAGTCACGTGTGAATCTTGGGAATAAAGTAATAGAACCATGGGAAGCACTCGCTATGTCTATTGACTTATGTGCTCACAACTACACAGATAATAATTGGGGGCATATTTAATCCACATCTCTCAACTGAATGACAGTTGTCAGAGGCCAGTGATCTGCTATTGCTGTTCATCGTGCCTTCCAGCTGCCTCCACATTCTAAGGCAACTACAACATGTGAGAAGAAATCGATAGGTCACCAAAGTGTGGTATCATATGTTCTATATTATAGAGCACATATGATTTAATAACAACAAAAAGCTTTCTAGGCCAAATGCAGTGGCTCACACCTGTAATCCCAGCACTTTGGGAGGCCTAGGCAGGAGGATCACTTGAGCCCAGGACCTCGAGACCAGCCTAGGCAACATAGTGAGACTCTGTCTCTATTAAAAAAAAAAAAAAAAAAAAAAAAAAAAAGCTTTCTAAGCACATCCGAGAACTGTAGAAATCACTGTGGTCTAACCACCTCATTTATAAATGAAACCATTGATATTCAGAGAGGAAGTGATTTGCCTATGGCTACCCAGGTTTTGTCCTGGGATGACGATTTAATCCTTAAAATAGTAATCTGTTTATGAGTTTTCTGATTTTAAAAGTAATTTGTTTTTATTCTGGAAAATGAGAAAAATAAGGAACTTTTTTGGAGGTTCTAACAAGGGGGTGAGTGCAGCTACTCATATATCCTTAAATGATCCGGCTGGGCGTGGTGGCTTATGCTTGTAATCCTAGCACTTTGGGAGCCCAAGGTGGGCGGATCACTTGATGTCAGGAGTTCAAGACCAGCCTGGCCAATGTGACGAAACCTCACATTGTGAGGGGGCCTGGGGCTAAGCAATAGAAAAAATTTGCTGCTGAGCATTAGGAAGTTTCTCCCTCTCAAAACTGTGTGCTCAAAGAGGATGACCTTTCCCAATAGAGGAGGCTCATTCTTATTTTTTAATTAATTAATTAATTTATTATTATTATTATTTTGAGATAGAGTCTCACTCTGTCACCCAGGCTGGAGTACACCCAGGCTCACTGCAACCTCCGCCTCCCAGGTTCAAGCAATTCTCCTGCCTCAGCCTCCCAAGTAGCTGGGACTACAGACATGTACCACCACACCCAGCTAATTTTAGTATATTTAGTAGAGACGGGGTTTCACCACATGGGTCAGGCTGGTCTCGAACTCCTGACCTCGTGATCCACCCGCCTTGGCCTCCCAAAGTGCTGGGATTACAGGCATGAGCCACCACGCCCAGCCTCTTTCTTCTTTTATTGCAGACCTCTGGGATTCAGTTTACCATGGCCCTTCTCTCAACAGCAGCCACCAGCAAACCACTTAACCCCTTGGGCTCCTGCTTCCCTTCAACCAAGAGCAACAATCATCCTTTTCTTTTCTTTTTTCTTTTTTGAGACAAGGTCTCACCCTGTCACCTAGGCTAGAGTGTAGTGGCATGATCTCAGCTCACTGCAGCCTCTGCCTACGGGGTTAAAGCGATTCTCCCACCTCAGCCTCCCGAGTAGCTGGGACTACAGGCATGTGCCCCCACGGCCAGTTAATTTTTGTATTTTTTGGTAGAAATGGGGTTTCACCATGTTGGCCAGGCTGGCCTCGAACTCTTGACCTCAAGTGATCCGCCTGCCTCGGCCTCTCGAAGTGCTGGGATTACAGAAATGAGCCACCACGCCTGGACAGAAATGTTAAAATTTTAAAAAATTATTTTAATGCCAATTTAAATCTAAAAATTGTAACCTAAGCAGACTCTATATCATCTGGTTCACATCTTTATAATCAACTGTTGTGGAGTGGTTCCAGTTTCCAAGGAAACTACTGTTTATCATATCAGTGACCAATGACTTCCCTAATAACAAATTTTAACTTTTAATGCTGCATTTTTTAACTAGTTCCCATCTCTTTCAGTAGTTAGAAGACATATTTTCAGATGTATTATAAAAATTAGTTTTTGTCTAAACAAGTTTTTTACATAACTCTGCTGAAGAAACTCTGGCCTGAAAGATGAAGTCCAGCTTTCTTGGACTTTTTTTTTTCTTTTTCTTTTTCTTTTTCTTTTTTTTTTTTCGAAACGGAGTCTCGCTCACTCTGTAGCCCAGGCTGGAGTGCAGTGGTGCGACCTCAGCTCACTGCAACCTCTCCCTCCTGGGTTCAAGCAATTCTCCTGCCTCAGCCTCCCGAGTAGCTGGAGCTACAGGCACCCACCACCACACCTGGCTAATTTTTGTATTTTTAGTAGAGACGGGGTTTCACCATATTGGCCAGGCTGGTCTCGAACTCCTGACCTTGTGATCCGCCCACCTTGGCCTCCCAAAGTGCTCGGATTGCAGGCGTGGGCCACCGCGCCCGGCCTCCTTGGACTTTTTATCTGCATTGCAGGCACTCAGTGGTCCAGGCCACCTACTTCTGCTCTACCTTTGGACATCCTGGCAATGTGCTGCTCCTCAGCCTGACCACAACACCTGCAGTGTCCCAAACATATCATGCAGTTTCATGCCTCTGCACCCATTTCCTCTCCCTGGTCAACACACCTGGGTGACCCCTATTCTACTCACTCAGACAAACCAGGACAGGATCCTTGACCTTTCTGCAACTCTATTTTTCTCACCTAGAAATAGAATTAATGACATCTACTTCTTTAGCAGATGTTTAGGAATGAGATACGGTGTGGAGAGCACCTGGTGCGAACACAGCGCGTATCTGTGATAGTGACCGTTAGCCGTTATCCTCATCACCACATCCTTTCCCCACATCTCAGATGGTGCCACAGTCTACCACCTCAGAGAGAAAATAGAAAAGGGAGGTCCCAAACTTCCTGCTCCACCACCTATACCTGTCCCTCATGATCTGTTTCCTCTGATTTCAACAAGCAGGTGTTCTTTCTCCTGTCTCAGGCTAATTCTGCACCCACATCGGGGAGCCCCCACCCCAGCTTCCCTCAGGCTTCTCTATTTGGTCAATTCATTAATTCATTCATTTGACAAGGATCCATGAACGCTAACTATGTGCCAGTCACTATTCTAGGTGGTGGAGTCACAGAAGTGAACAAAACAGAAAGTTCTCATTCAAAAACAACATAACTTGTGGTAGGAGGCAGACAGGAAATGAAATAATTAGTAATATATATGGTGTGCTGGATGATGATAAGTGCTCAGGAGAGAAATAAACCTGGAATAGCAGAACTTGCATTTCTTTTTGAAGGGGTCTTGCTCTGTTGTTCAGGCTAGAGTACATTGGAGTGATCATAGCTCACTGCAGCCTAATTTTTTTTTTTTTTGAAAGACAGAGATCTTGCTATGCATACTGCCCAGGTTCTTGAACTCCTGGCCTCATGCAATTCTCCTCCCTCGATCTTTCAAGGTCCTGTGATTACACCTGTAAGCCCTCGTTCCCGGTTGGAAGTTACAGTTTAAAATAGGGTGGTTATGAGCAAGGGGAGCGAGGCACAGAATACTTGGGAGAAAAGCATTCCGAGTTGAGAGAACAGCAGTGCCAGAGCACAGAGGCAGAAGCACTGTGGTTTGTGTGAAGAAAAGCAATGAGGCTGGGGTGCGCAGAGCACACAGGGTGATCAGGAGAAGAGGAGGTGACAAGGCCAGAGGGGGTTGAGGGCCAGATCATGTATGGCCTTGAAAGTCATCATGCTGACCTGGGCTTTACCTCTGAGAGGGGAGCCACTGGAAGGTTAGAGCAGAAAAAGGACTGGACTGACTTATGTTTTAAGAAGTTACTTCACATGCTAGACCAAGATGGGCTGTGGGTAGGGGTGGTGGATGGAGGCCTGAAGACCCAGCTGGGAGCTACTGCAGTGATCCAGGGGAAAGATGCAGATGACTTGTACCAGGGAGGAGCCATGAAAATGTTATGATGCTGGATTTATTTTCAAGATAGAATAAAAAGGCTTTGCTGATAAACTTACAGGTGGGGTGTGAAAAAGGAGGGCATCAAGGGTGACCACAAGGTTTTGGTCCTAAGAAACGGTACAGATGGAGTTGCCACTTACTGAGATGGGGAAAATGAGGGAGAAACCGCTTGTGGAGGCCAGAGGAGGAGCCAGCACAGAATCCAAAGGTCAGTTTTGAATATGTTGGGTTTGAGGAGCTTACTAGAGATTCCCGTGGAGATGTAGAGTAGGCAGGTCAATAATAAGCTTGCAGTCCAGGCAACGGGTCAGGGCTGGAAACACAAGTTATTCTCTTTGTCTTCTTTATATTCATGTTTGTTGCCACTGTGTGTTTCACTTACCTAATGCATTCGTGATTTATTGCTGCATAACAAATTACCACAAACTTAGTGGTTTAAAACAGTACACTTTTCCAGCCTGGGCAACATGATGAAACCCCATCTCTACTGAAAACGCAAAAAATAAAAGATAAAAAATTAGCCCAGCGTGGTGGCACACACCTATAATCCCCGCTACTTGGTAGGCTGAGGCACAAGAATTGCTAGAACCCAGGAAGTGGAGGTTGCAGTGAGCCAAGATTGTGCCACTGCACTCCAGCCTGGGCAACACAGCGAGACTCTGCCTCAAAAATAAATAAATAAATAACAGTACACTTTTATCACTTCAGTTTCTGTGGGTCAGAAGTCCAGGCAGAGCTTAGTGGGCTTCTCTGCTCAGAACTTCACAAAGCAAAAGTATTATTCATGCATGTAAACCTCTAAGCACAATACCAACATCACGGTAGGTTCTATGTGAGTATAAGCTATTATTAAGAATAATAATCAATCCTCTTCCCTCTCCTCCATCCCTAAGGCCTCATCATTTCTTGCCTGGAGTGTCACAGTAGCTTTCTTCCTGGTCTCCTTGTCTTCTACCATCTGATTCTCTAATGAGGACTGGCTATATTGTGTAATCATAGCGTCATCATTCCACAGAATACAATGTAAATGGCACTCTTACTTCCCATCTTCCCTGGCACCTTTCACACTATTGTTTCCAATGTACACATTTTCTCATGCCATTTTTAAAAAAGATTTTCTCTTCACCTTCAAACTAAAACTCCAACTCCACAACAGGCACCAGCTGATACCGAACCTTTCATAATGGAAAATAATGACATTCATAAAGAGTTAATATGTGCAGGTGCTGTGCTAGGTTCTCCCCAAACAACTTAAGAAGCAGGTCACATCCCTACCCATAGCTGAAGAAACAAAGACATTGAGTGAGAAATGAACTTAGGGGTCTCATAGTTTGGAAACTACAAAGTTCAGAGATATGAAGAGTTGGGCTCAGAAACTCCTAATCTGAAGCTTAGCACATTGGCTGCTTCTTTGTGTCAAAGTGACTTGGACCCTCCAGGCAAAGGTGGGATGTTCATTCTTACTAATACGATCTCAAGCAGCACAGCTTCTGATAGAGTCTGAATTTAAAAATAAACAAATGAACAAATAAACAAATATTGATGGATGAATAGGGGTGAACAGCAGGATGGATTTATAATAAAGTAAGAAACTAAAATATTAATTATACAATCTACATGGTAGATATATTGGAATTTACTGAAATTCTTTCACCTTTGCTATATGTTTTAGAAGTTTTATAATAAACTGTTGGGGAGGGGGAAGGGGGAGGGAAAAATTGTGTTTTTCTGTTGATAACAGAGACCAGAAGTACCACTGGCTTAAATAAAACAAGGATTTGTTTTCCTTTCATGAAAAACAAACTTATTTGGAAATTTACCCTGAGTACTAATATATAATAAAATATTTTAAAAGAAAAAATTTTTTAAATAAATTTAGATGGTGACAGTCCAGGGCTGATCTGGCACCTCAGATATGTCATTCATGCCCCAGCCTGCTTCTGACTTCATTCTCTGCTGTCCCAGTGTGTGGCTTCCAACCTCAAGGCTGCCTCATGGTCCCAGGGTGGGCTACTGCACCTCCGGGTCCAAAGTCCATGTTCTAGGCAAGAGGAAGAAGGAAGAAGGGAGAGTGTACCCTCACACTCCCAGCTATTTTGGCCTCCCTTTGAAGGATTTCTGGGAGAAGTACAAGCCCACAACTTTCACCTACAAACCGCTGGCTCCAACTTAGTCCCTTGGCCTGCCCTATCTTCAAGGGGGAAGAGCAGGATGCAGTACCCCAGAAAATTAGGCCTTGTCACTAAGAAGAAGGGGGCATGCACGCTGCAGAAGCAACCAGCCATCTCAAGCAGATACCACACAGCCTAAATTCAAACTGTTGCAATATAATCAAATCCCATCAGCTCCAGTCACATATTAGCTCTAGGAGATTTCTGGCTTGCAGCCCAAAAAAGTGTGTTTTGAGGTCGTAAGCCACAGGGAGAACAAGATTGTCCCATAAACTCCTTACAGAGATGGTGTACAGGAAACGAGCCTTACAGAGACCACAGCCTATGGAGTGTCTAGCTTCAGAGAATATGTACTCCACTGGCAGCGTGAGAAACAAATACCCAAGAAAATACAATATAGCACAAACCAGGAGCTGAGGGTGAATGAAGATGCTCAGAAAGATCTGCAGTAAGAATTTCCTGGGAAAGGTAAAACAATGTCAAGCAGCACTGCCTCTGGAAATCAGAAAAATTATATTATTTGATACCATATCCTAAGCCTAAATGCCAGAAGTTCTTAAAGAGGTGCAGTTTGTCTCATTTTCTTTCCATTCATACCTTTATTAGGCTCTGTAAAAAAGATCCTCCTCTTCTACGTACCTATCTACATGCAAGCAAACTGCCACAGAAGCATCTTAATTAGTGCACATCTTCCTCTCTTTGCACATTAAATTTTTTTACTTTCCTACTCCATTCTGCTAATATTTCTATTACCATGTAAAAGACACGAGACAGGTGAATATAAAGAAATACTTATATACATCCACGCACAAGAATGATTCAAATAGATAAACACAGAAACACAAACACTAAGGGAGGTAGGGCTGGAGTTTTTCCTCAACGTGTACAATTCAATGTACTTTCAGTTTTCATTTCAACGTTCCTCAGTGGTTTCTGCCCAGCAACTGATGAGAAACATCACCTCTGAGCCAATCAAAAAACTAATTCTTCCAAAGAGCGACTCTTACTGTTTCTCATGGTGAGAAGACAATATTTGCTTTCTCTTTTTCCTTTCTTCCGGATGAGAGGCTAAGCCATAATAGAAAGAATGGAGAATTATTGATTGACCGTCTTTATTCTGTGGGCTCTGATTCTCCAATGGGAATACCAAGGGGTAAGTGCAGGAAATTGATTAGAGCCTGGGCTACAACGCATGGGAGGAGCGGGGCTGAATCGCTGAGAGTGGTGAGTGGGCATGCAGGGAGAGTACTCTCCCAGAGAAAGGGGTGCAGTGCCTGTGTGTGTGTGTGTGTGTGTGTGTGTGTGTGTGTGTGTGTGTACATGTGTACATGTGCACACTCGCACATGCACATATGGGCACGTGGGAAGACGGGAGAAGTACTGCAAAGTATAAGGAACTGCAGAGGTTGGGATTTAGTGGAAGGAAAGGGAGACAACATGAATGAAGAAATATTCCAACTGCATGTTCTTAACGTATTGTGGTCAGAAAAGGGCAAACAAACAAACAAACAAAAAACCCTTAAAATCTGTTCTGGCCAACTCAAGGCATCTATTCTGAGAAATTCTGAAGAAGAAGAAGAAAAAAGAGATGTGCCTCATAGATTTATATGTAAATGTGTTTATTACAGAAGTATTTATAATATAGTAAAATCTGAACCAACATACATATTCAACAGGTGGGGAATAGACAAACAATGCATGGTTCAGTCATAAAACATGTTCCATGTAACCATTAGGAATCATAATTTTAATTAAGTGAAATTCTTTATAATTTTAATAACACTGGATCCTTATATTAAACCATTTTTGGTATCTTTTAGGGATAGTACTTGGTTTTCTTTCCATTCATCATTTCCCCAAAACCTAAAGCATGATTTCCCATGGTTACAAGCTACTACATTGTATGAATATATAATTATTGGGAGTCTCTGTGAGCCTACTCTGACTCAGAAAGCCGCTCCTAAAGAAGAAAAAAGAACAAACAAACAAATAAAAAACCCGAATTATTTTTAAAACTCTTTATTTTGGATTTTTCAGTTTCTACATTTTGTTACTGTAGATTTTACTAGATTGAACAGCCTTATCCATAAATATTTGCATCAATCTCTAAATTTTTTTCTTCAACACTAACTTTTATAGTTGGAATTTTGGGGGCAAATAATACAACATTTTAAAGGCACTTGCCATGTGTACATGGCCAAATGCTTCCAGAAACATTTCCACTTCCATTAGCAAAGTATATAACTACAGAGTATTTAAGGTTTTATTCCTTTATATTTTTTTCTTTGGCAAAATTGTCTATAGTAGAAAGAATGAATAATAAATAACCTAAAAAATAAAAGTTCTCCCTCTGAGGACAGCAGAGAAATTTTTAGCTTAGCTTAATAATACCTCCTTCTCCTTAGGAGAATAAAGAGCAGTTTCGAGGAGCAGAAGATGTGGTGAAATATAATGTTTAGTCTGATGGTGGATGCAAGATCCAGGCAGGGGTGGAGCATGACCAGCTGCACAGACCTCTGTTCCCTTGCTTCCTCTACATCTCTCCCCACCTCCATCTGCAGACCTTGTTCTCAGAGGCCATTCCCAGACCCACAGCAGCTGGTATGATGGCTGCAGGCCTCATGCTCCTTTGTTTTGGGAGAAACTGTTGAGGAGTTAGTATTTACTGAGCAGCTAATATGTTCCAGTCACTATTATTCCTCATAATAATTAGTTATTAACTAATACATGAAAATTTTAAACTTAAAGCATTCCAATAATTTTAAAAGTAAAGGAAGCAAAAGGCCAAAGCGTCCTTTCACTCACTTAACCTCCAATTTTCAGTTTAGCATCCATCATTTTAGACTTTTTCAGGCATTTACATATATAGTTATGCAGAAATGTATAGCTTTGCTTTTGTTTTTCAATTGAATCATTAGTATAGTTCTGCAAGGTGCTTTTTAATCACTTAGTATATCTCCATTATCCAGGCTAGTGACATTAAATCACTCTTTTTAACTGCTGCATTGAATTTCCTCCTAGGGATGAGCCATCATTCCTCTAACCAGTCTCTTGTGAGTGGCTGGTTCAGTTGGTAACCACTTTTATACTTTAAAAATAGTGCTGCAGTGTCATTCCCACAGAGGCTTCTCTCTGCACCCATGCGAGTACTTCGCTGAAGTAACCATCAGGAAGTGGAATTGCTGGGCCAATTGTGAACATTCTAAGTCTCATACTCGATATTTTTGAGTAACTAAAGTTGAAATGGTTTTGTCCCATGACTGAGATCATCAAGCTTGTGACTTGTAGAGCCTTTACCTATTGTCTACCCTCTTTGTGTTCCTAACTCTACCATAGTGGGTCCAGCCCATTGTGGGTGCTCAGTAAATATTTGTTGAATAACTTTATGAAGGGAAGAAAGAAAAGATGAGTAAAGCCTGGTCTTATTCAAAGCTCTCCTAATCAATATCTTTGTGATTAAACGTGGTGGGTTCAGCCCCTGACTGACTTCAGAGCCTCTGCCAGGCAGTCTGCCTGGATCCCACCAGGAGCCACCAGGCCATAAGTTGACTGTAGTAATGGCCAAGAGTTTGACGCTTGAGGAGTCCATAGTGTTGGACACCCACAGAGCTGAACAAGGGTGGGACCAGGGAATCCAGTGAAGAGGGTCCTTCATGAATCAGAGGGGGATGATGGAAGCTTGGACCTGGCAAGGGAAGTGTGGGGAAGTGATAGGATTATGAATATTTTAATATTTTAATGCAGTAGAGTCAGAGATGTCCTGATCAGATAACAGATATTATTTTTACAGATGGTTTTCCATACTGGAACCCAAAGGTAAAGACACTCAAGGACAGACATTTTTGGCAGAGGTAAGATCTTCTTCGGTCACCATATTTGAGTTAGCCCTGGGGAAGTGGACATTTCCATGCAGAATCCTAAAGCTTCTTCCAGGCCATAGTGTCTGTCCCACACCTTCTGGTATCTCTTGATATGCAGCATAGATGAAAATGGCAAGTTCCCTGGCTTTCCTTCTGCTCAACTTTCATGTCTCCCTCCTCTTGGTCCAGCTGCTCACTCCTTGCTCAGGTAGGGAATGATTCCATGATTCCACATTTATGTTTCTGAAGCAGACAATTATCTCAATTACCTAATTAAGCAGACAATTACCTAAATGCCCTCTTAGAACCTTTAACTCATTCCCATACCTGGAAGTCCATCCCAACCTGAAGGATCACCTGTCACAAAGAGACAAATGGTCCTTCTGTTAGGATTGTGTTCCCCTCTAGGTTCTCTGTATCTCGCCTTCCCTGTCTGAGAAGGACCCTTCCTCTCATGACCCCAACTCCAAAACCCTCTGATGGAGCTTCCCCCTTGTGCTGACAGCTCAGTTTTCTGTGCTTGGACCCTCTGGGCCCATCCTGGCCATGGTGGGTGAAGACGCTGATCTGCCCTGTCACCTGTTCCCGACCATGAGTGCAGAGACCATGGAGCTGAAGTGGGTAAGTTCCAGCCTAAGGCAGGTGGTGAACGTGTATGCAGATGGAAAGGAAGTGGAAGACAGGCAGAGTGCACCGTATCGAGGGAGAACTTCGATTCTGCGGGATGGCATCACTGCAGGGAAGGCTGCTCTCCGAATACACAACGTCACAGCCTCTGACAGTGGAAAGTACTTGTGTTATTTCCAAGATGGTGACTTCTATGAAAAAGCCCTGGTGGAGCTGAAGGTTGCAGGTGAGCCTCCAGGTTTTGTTCTGAGAACATTTCTCTGTAGGATCTAGAGCAGATGCAGAGTCCCTCTTGCAAAAGCACTGCAGACACTCCTGGCTGCTCACTAGCAATTGCCTGCACTGCCTCCCAACTTAGCTTCTCTGAGGCCCTTGAGTAAGACACAGGTTTTCCTTTAGGAAGAATTCCTGCTGTACCCTACATGCTCAAGTAAAGAACTCCTTTCCTCTGGCCACCAGAGATATAAGCGAAGTGAAGGACGAGGGATAGGAAGCATAAGAAACCATCTCTTCAGTGACTGGTACACAGTCATTTTGGTTTAGTTGTGTAACAGATGGCTTCTGTTGTGTCTCCAAGTGCACACTACCATGGGTCCTGGGAGGTGGAATAGTGACTGTATCTGCTGCCAGTGTTCTCCAACTAGCCATCCCCAGGAATACTCCTGTAGTAGAACTAGCTGTATTTCTTACGTGTTGCAGTGAGGAAGAACACACATCATGGGGAGCTGTGGCGGGGTCTCAGTAAGAAGGTGTTAGAGCAGACTTGGTATACAATTTGGGCTTGTGTTAGGGGATTGGGGCCGGGGGAGTTCATAGACTTAGCCCTCTGCTCTGGATGAGATTCCATCAGGAAGGTGTGGGCAGGTTAATTCTGAGTGAGAGCCTTAATCAATCTTATGTAGGAAGAAGGAGACCAGGGTGAGACAAAAGCTGTAATTGATGAAGGGGCAGCAATCCCTCATTGCTGAGGGGGGATGTTTGGTCACTGCTGTGGTTTGGACAATGTTCATGTTTTTCTCTATGCTCACATATGATGTGGGGTGGTATTGTTTTTCCCATGATCCATCATAGTCACAAAGTGCCATTGTCTGTGTTCTGTGAAATTGCTTATGTTCAACAGGATGACACAGAGACCCGGTGTCAGTTTCCATATGTTGGGACAGCTTTTCTCTTTCTCAGTGCAATCCCTTGCCCTGTGGCTGCTGGTTAGGTTTGGTTTAAGGGGATCTCTAGCAGACAATCATAGGAGGAAGAGAAAAGGAAGAAGTCTGGGTGCTTATTCACTGGCTTCCTTACTGCAAGTTACCCTCAGGCTGGCTGCATTGCCTTGCTGAAGGTAACAGCTCCTCTAAAGGAAGTCCTCAATGCATGAATCTCTTCTTTTTTGTGTTCAAAACAGCTTCCTCTCCTCCTCCCTCTGGTAATTGGGGTGGGTGGGAATAGCCCCACTGTTTCTGACCCTGGGATACTGCACTAGCAAATTTAGTTTTCCCCTCATCATGACCACACTTTTGTAAACAGCTCCTGAATGAAATATCTCTTGAATTATCAAATCTGAGCCTGACATTGATTCCCATTGAGACCCTCCCTAATACAGGAGCTATCCAGAATTTAGGCCAAATTATCCTTCCACAGCACTGGGTTCTAATCTTCACGTCGAAGTGAAGGGTTATGAGGATGGAGGGATCCATCTGGAGTGCAGGTCCACCGGCTGGTACCCCCAACCCCAAATACAGTGGAGCAACGCCAAGGGAGAGAACATCCCAGCTGTGGAAGCACCTGTGGTTGCAGATGGAGTGGGCCTATATGAAGTAGCAGCATCTGTGATCATGAGAGGCGGCTCCGGGGAGGGTGTATCCTGCATCATCAGAAATTCCCTCCTCGGCCTGGAAAAGACAGCCAGCATTTCCATCGCAGGTCAGTACCTGCTTGGCCTCAGGTTTTCTGAGCTGAGCTGTGGCAGTTGAATGAAGGGGGATGTGTTAATATCTGTGGTCGACCTGGGTCTCTGCACTGAATATAAGGCCCAAAGCACAGACCTGGAGGCTCCTCTTTGTGCCAGGGGAGCTTCTTTCCTCCATAAAGGTGTTCGTAACACAAACATTTTCTGAACATTTCCTATCTGCCAGAAAGTATGACAGGCAATGGGAATTGGAGGAAAAACATTAAGATAAGCTCCTTATATAATGTGAAATGACAAAATGGTTATATATATATATTTACAAACTCATATCATAGAGAAAGAGCTGATCTCCTTGAATCAGAAGGAGATTCTAAAAACCTAGTAAAAAGTTTTGGCCAGGCATGGTGGCTCACGCCTGTAATCCCAGCACTTTGGGAGGCCGAGGCAGGCAGATCATTGAGGCCAGGAGTTTGAGACCTGCCTGGCCATGGTGAAACTCCATCTCTTCTAAAAATTCAAAAAATTAGCCAGGTGTGGTGGAGTGCACCTCTAATCCCAGCTACTCAGGAGGCTGAGGCACGAGAATCACTTGAACCCAGGAGGCAGACGTTGCAGTGAGTGAGAGCAGACCACTGCACTCCAGCCAGGATTACAGAGCGAGACTCTGTCTCAAAAAATAAATAAAATAAAATAAAATAGAAACCAAGTAAAAAAAATGTTAACAAAGCCCATGAATTATCAATTCACAGAAAAGGAAATAACTCACAAAAGGGTGCTCATTCTCACTCACTGGGTAAACATATGAAATAATTTTTCACTTATGATATTTGCAAAAATCAAAACTGCTTTGGCTTATAATACATGATTCTCATAGGAATGTAGGAAGGCAGTGACTCTCAGTCATTTGCTCATGTAACTTCCTGTATTTTTGATGTGCATTAGGTCAACCTCTGTTGGGGGCTCTATAGCAATATCTATCCAAACTACACACTTATCGATCCAAACTTCCACTTCTAGGAATTTATCTGATAGATAAGCTTGCATTTGTATGAGATGATCCATGTGAAAGGTTTCTGTTTTTCGTTGTGTGTGTGTCTTTTTTTTTTTTAGACAAAGTCTCACTCTATTGCCCAGGCTTGAGTGCAGTGGTGCAATCTCAGCTCGCTGCAGCCTCTGCCTCCCAGGTTCAAGTGATCCTCCTGCCTCAATCTCCCAAGTAGCTGAGATTACAAGCATGTGCCACCACACCCAGCTAATTTTTGTATTTTTAGTAGAGACAAGGTTTTACCATGTTGGCCAGGCTGGTCTCAAACTCCTGACCTCAAGTGATCCACCCGCCTCAGCCTCCTAAAGTGCTGGGATTACAGGCGTGAGCCACTGCAACCGGCCTGTAAAAGGTTTCTTATAGCACTGATTACTATTGCACAAGGTTAGAAACTGTGCAGATGTTCACTGCCAGGGAACTTCCATACAAGGGAATACTGCACAGTTTGTAAAAGGAAAAAGAAGCAATTCTCTCTATACTAATATGGAAAGATCTCCAAGATACACTTTACACAGAAAAAGCAAGATGCAGAGGGACGTGTATAGAATGCTATTTTTAGTTTAAACAAGAGGAAAAATAAGAATATATTTTAATTTACTTTTTTTTAGTTCTCAATTGGGTTAGTTTACATTTTTAAACTTCAACAAGCAATTTTGTAACACTTACTGTACATCAGGCACTTTATAAGTATTAATTCAATTCTTCTAACCTCAGGAAATAGGTATTATCATTACCCTCATTTTACATTAGTAGATTAGGCCACTACAAACAGAGAGGTTATGTAAGTAGTCCAACATCACACTGCTAGTCACATGGGGGAGCCAGCATTGAAACCCATACCCTCTGACTCCACAGGTTATGTTCCTAAGCATCATATTAAGTGGACTAAGAAGTTAATACATGGAGGGAGGGAGGACAGGGTGAATGAGAGAGTTGCGTGACTTTATGTGTATGTAGTTTTGAACGATGTAAATGTGTTACCTATTGAAAAAATATTTAGAAAAAATGTGTATGACTTTGCTCAAGTTACTTTCCATGTGAGAGGCAGACATCTCAAGATAAGTAATAGTAGTAGCTTGTAGTGAGGGTTTACCAAAGTCTTATCTATAGTCCTCTGAGACTTTAGGGAGAGAATCCTTATTTAACCTCATGAGATAGATTCCCCACCCCCGACCTGAGCTGAGCAGCTAAAGCTTGGGGTGCTGCAGGCTGGGGAGGCTGAGCGCACCAGCGCCCATGACCTACAGCTCTCCCCTTCGCAGACCCCTTCTTCAGGAGCGCCCAGCCCTGGATCGCAGCCCTGGCAGGGACCCTGCCTATCTTGCTGCTGCTTCTCGCCGGAGCCAGTTACTTCTTGTGGAGACAACAGAAGGAAATAACTGCTCTGTCCAGTGAGATAGAAAGTGAGCAAGAGATGAAAGAAATGGGATATGCTGCAACAGAGCGGGAAATAAGCCTAAGAGGTATCCAACGCAAGCAGAGAATCTAAGCTCTTGGCTTGCATGCCCCAGCCTGAAAACCTCACCTCTCTCCCCTACCCTGGCACTGCATCATGTTTAAGGTTTATTTCCCGAAACACCAACCTCACCCATAACAGTTCATCTTTTTTTTTTTTTTTTTTTTTTTTTGGTTATTTTCCAGAGAGCCTCCAGGAGGAACTCAGTAAGTTACCATTCCCCCAGAGATCCAGACATGTCTTCCTATCCTCGCTTTGAGCACCTTGATGACTCTTCCCTGTTCATTCCATTGCAGAGAGGAAAAAAATCCAGTACTTGACTCGTGAGTGGCTTTGACATTTTCTCTGAATTCAAATCTGTTACTCTCTCTCTGCTTCATTATTTTCCAGCCCATAAGTCATAGCCCAGGGTTGAAAAGTGGTCTTGGATCCCTTTACCCAGAAAAAGAAAACAAGTGTGGCTCTTTGGAGAAACCACCCAGTGCTTTTTCTCTCTAGAAAAAAAAAAAAAAAAAAAAGAGGTCTTCAATCTCTTTGTACTAGGGGCTACAGACCCTTAAGCTCTAAAAAGCACTGAGGAATATCCAGGGGTACACTTCAAAAGGAAGAGGGAAGAGAAGGATGAGGTGCATTTTCTATGGCAGGAAACTTACTTGTTGTTTCCCATAATCTAGAGGCTGTTGAAAGGAAAACAAGAATGGAAGATTTAAGAAATAAGAAAATCAGAAAAGAGAGAGGGAGGGAGAAAAGTGTGTCTAATAAAGAGGAGTAGCTACAGTGGCTCAGTTGGTACAGATAGATCATAACTGCTTTCAAAAACTAGTCCCTGAAATTGCTCATTAAATTTCCCAAATTCTTTTTAGAGCAAGGTACGAAATGATACAGATTGAGAAGGATGAATCTTGTACTCCTAGGCATACACATATAGACATGGTGACACCTATGCCCAGGTACACATTCAAAACAGATGAGCTGGACCCCATTGGGAAGGAACTCTCACAGTGCCTGCCCTGCCACTAGCGTTCAACCGATGTTCCCAGACTTGATATTAAGAAGAGGTGAAGAAAGAATTGTACCTGAAGATGGAGACCATGGGGAAGGGTGGGATGGTAAAAAAAAAAAAAAAAAAAAAAAAAAAAAAAAAAAAAAAGACTAGATGGATGCAAAAAGAAGGGGAAGGGGCCAACACAGAAAAGGCAGAGTTCTGGTGACACCTCTACCTTTCTTTCATTGTAGGTGGAGAGGAGTCTTCGTCCGATACCAATAAGTCAGCCTGATGCTCTGTAAGTTTGCTGGGTCACATGCCCTGAATATTTCAACTTTTTCTCCACTGTGACCCGTGGATGTTCTCAGCTGGATTAATTAGATCTAATCTAAAGACTCAATTTCTGTGTGGTGGGGGTTCACCTCCGCTTTTCTGGAGCCTCTGAGAAACTCCTGATCCTGCACACCCCCTTGTAAAGCCTGGCCATGCATCCTGCACCCCCCATGACACAGGGAGCCAAGCCTGACATTTTTGAGAAGGTGCCACCTCTGATCCATCAGAGCTGTAGAGGAGGGAAGCTGGACCCTGGAAGAGACTCTAAAGAAAAGGAGAGAAAACATGTAGTGAGAGGAGAATGGAGTGGGAAAAGTACAAAAATACTGACCTTTTTCTTATCTGTGTCTCCTTCCTTTCAGAATGGAAAAATGGCCCTCTTCAAGCCTGGTGAGTAAATCACTGCATGTTCCCTGGACCAACAACCTGAGGGACTATATTCCTTTTTCCTTTTTTCTTCTCCAACTCTTGTGATTTGGAGCAGAAAAGTTCCCTTGACTTCCTTCGTGGGTAGGAAGACGCATAAAGGGTGGAGGTGAAGGGAAGGAGACACACACTGAGTAATACTGCAGGGAGAGTGAGGATGGAAATGCCAAGGAGAGGAGGTGATGCCTGCCCAAAGAACTTTGTCCTTCCCAGGCTTCTCATGCCACCTACTGCCTGTATCTCCTCAAAGGATTTAATGCTTCCAAGCTTTGGCCTCCACATTTTTAGATGATGATTGCAATCTGTTTTTCATGGGGGTTGAGGTGAAGACTGAAGGAATAATGAACATGCTTGGCAGAAACCTAGCAAGAAATAGATGGTGAGCTCAAACTGGGTAGTTGGACAAGGTTTCCAGAAAGAAGGGTTAAGGGAAAGCAACAAGGAAAAGTGCAGTGCCCCCATGGTTCCCAACAGTGGGGAGCTGTCTCCACCCCTAGCCTGGGAGGGCTAAAAAGGGGAGGCAATTACTGGAACCCAGAGAAAGAGGTAGCTTAACGAGGGAGCTTCCTGAGAAGAGTCCTCGGGCCTTGTTAGAGCACCACCAGCTGCTGCTGGCAGGGAGGAAGCAGGAAATTAAACGGTGTGTATCTCCTTTCTTTCTCCTTCTAATCTTCTATCAGGGCCTCCCATTGGCCAAACACAGCAGCAAACCAGAGGACAAGGGAGCCCAGTGGCACTGTCCATAGAGGACAGATTCCTGGGGTCCAGAAGAGGGTGGAGAAAGCTGAAGGCTGGAGAGTGAATCTAGGGCATATAAGGCCCCACACAGAGCCCAGCACAGAGACGGCCTTGCAGCTATCAGGAAGATGAGGAGCTTCCTTCATGGCCTGCTGTGGGCTGAGTAAATAATATGATTGCCTTCTACAGCGCTAGAGATTCATATGTTTATCCCCATTTTTCAGGTGAGGAAATGCTTCAGATGAGGCTCCACCTTGTTAAATAAATTGGATGTATGGAAAAATAGACTGCAGAAAAGGGGAACTCATTTAGCTCACGAGTGGTCGAGTGAAGATTGAAAATTAACCTCTGAGGGCCAGCACAGCAGCTCATGCCTGTAATCCTAGCACTTTGGAAGGCTGAGGAGGGCGGATCACAAGGTCAGGAGATCAAGACCATCCTGGCTAACACGGTGAAACCCCGTCTCTACTAAAAATACAAAAAATAAAAAATTAGCCGGGCATGGTGACGGGCACCTGTAGTCCCAGCTACTCGGGAGGCTGAGGCAGGAGAATGGCATGAACCCGGAAGGCAGAGCTTGCAGTGAGCCGAGATCACGCCACTGCACTCCAGCCTGGGAGACAGAGCGAGACTCTGTCTCAAGAAAAAAAAAAAAAAAAAAAAAGAAAAGAAAATTAACCTCTGAGTATAAAGCATCAGTGGGCAGAATCAATGTGGGGAGGGAAACAACAAAAATGTAGAAAGAGGATCCTTGTTGCTTCTTGGGGCCGCATCAGGGTATTGGGTTAGGCAGATACTGACCTTACTTTCATTTCCCCTCTGGTCACTAGACCCCTGGGGCTTTCACCAATGACATTGATGAGAGAATCACATTCAGGGCAGGCTAGGGACACGGGGTTCTGGAAGGACCTCCTCAGCATGGCCCAAGCCTTGCATGCTGTGGCTCTTAAATCCAGGAAAAATGGCTGACCCCATGGACACCTCCTCAAACTCTCTGCAGCAGATGTAATTCTGTATCCAGACATGGCAAATGCCATCCTCCTTGTTTCTGAGGACCAGAGGAGTGTACAGCGTGCTGAGGAGCCCCATGACCTACCAGACAACCCTGAGAGATTTGAATGGCGTTACTGTGTGCTTGGCTGTGAAAGCTTCATGTCAGAGAGACACTACTGGGAGGTGGAAGTGGGGGACAGAAAAGAGTGGCATATTGGGGTATGTAGTAAGAACGTGGAGAGGAAAAAAGTTTGGGTCAAAATGACACCGGAGAACGGATACTGGACTATGGGCCTGACTGATGGGAATAAGTATCGGGCTCTCACTGAGCCCAGAACCAACCTGAAACTTCCTGAGCCTCCTAGGAAAGTGGGGGTCATCCTGGACTATGAGACTGGACATATCTCGTTCTACAATGCCACGGATGGATCTCATATCTACACATTTCTGCACGCCTCTTCCTCTGAGCCTCTGTATCCTGTATTCAGAATTTTGACCTTGGAGCCCACTGCCCTGACCGTTTGCCCAATACCAAAAGTAGAGAGTTCCCCCGATCCCGACCTAGTGCCTGATCATTCCCTGGAGATACCACTGACCCCAGGCTTAGCTAATGAAAGTGGGGAGCCTCAGGCTGAAGTAACATCTCTGCTTCTCCCTGCCCAGCCTGGAGCTAAGGGTCTCACCCTCCACAACAGCCAGTCAGAACCATAAAGCTACAGGCACACACTGAAGCACTTTACTGATATTCATTCAATTATTCCATAGGACAGTTGTTTGAGTTTGGTGCCACCTTATTGGCCCCTTTATACAGATAAGGAAACTGGGGTGTAGAAAAGTGTATTGACTTTACAAAGCAGACAGGAATAGTGAACAACAGAGCTGGGATCTGAACAACAATGACTAACATTAATGGAGAATTTAAAACGTTCTGAGTGCTGTGTTATGAGCTTTGGTGGGTGTCACTCCTTTAATCCTCACAACACCCTGTCAGGTAGTCTCATTTGGCAAGTATGGAAGCAGAGGCAGGGCAACATTAAGTAGCTTACATAACTCACACGGTAATTTGTGCAGTTGGGAGATGTTCAGCTTCAGTCCCTGGCCAATTGCCCGTTCTTTTCCAGCCTGATTTTTCCTGCATGGGAAGAGCCCACATGTAGCCCTGAGGTTCCCTTCCCAGGACAGCTCCAGGATCGAGATCACTGTGAGTGGTTGTGGAGTTAAGACCCCTATGGACTCCTTCCCAGCTGATTATCAGAGCCTTAGACCCAGCACTCCTTGGATTGGCTCTGCAGAGTGTCTTGGTTGAGAGAATAACGTTGCAGTTCCCACAGGGCATGTGACTTTGAAAGAGACTAGAGGCCACACTCAGTTAATAATGGGGCACAGATGTGTTCCCACCCAACAAATGTGATAAGTGATCGTGCAGCCAGAGCCAGCCTTCCTTCAGTCAAGGTTTCCAGGCAGAGCAAATACCCTAGAGATTCTCTGTAATATTGGTAATTTGGATGAAGGAAGCTAGAAGAATTACAGGGATGTTTTTAATCCCACTATGGACTCAGTCTCCTGGAAAAGGATCTGTCCACTCCTGGTCATTGGTGGATGTTAAACCCATATTCCTTTCAACTGCTGCCTGCTAGGGAAAACTGCTCCTCATTATCATCACTATTATTGCTCACCACTGTATCCCCTCTACTGGGCAAGTGCTTGTCAAGTTCTAGTTGTTCAATAAATTTGTTAATAATGCTGACTCTTCAACTTGGTTTTTTCTAGACTGTGGTGTCTACTCAGCACAGTAGAGTAGTCTACATACCCACTGTACTCCCCACAGTTTCAGTTTGCCTCACTGCAGCATTTTCACAAAACCCTTATTGGATGCCTCTTCTATTGTTGCCATCTGAATTACCAGAAATTCATAGATTTAAAGCAACACAAATCTATTATCTCACTGTTCTGTAGGTGAGAAGTCCCACAGGGATCTCACCAGGCTATAATCAAGGTGTCTGCAGGCTGGATTCCTTTCTGGAGTCTCTAAGGAAGAATCTATTTCCTTGCTTATTCAGATCGTTGGCAGAATCAGTTCCCTTCATTTACAGGAATGAGGTCCCAGTTGTTTCCTGGTTTATAGCCAGGGACTGTACCCACTTCTAGAGGCTGCCACACTCTGACTCTTAGCTCCCTTCCTCCATCTTCAAAGCAGCAACAGTACATTGAGTCTCCTCTCCTAGTTCTTTTTCTCCATTGTATCATTCTGATTCTTTTACCTTCTCCTTTTTTTCCTTCCTTTTATTTATTTATTTATTTATTGTTGACAGGGATTCGCTCTGTCACCCAGGATGAAGTGCAGTGGCGTGATCTCGGCTCACTGCAAACTGTCCCCTGGGCTCAAGCAATCCACCCACTTCCGCTTCCCAAGTAGCTGAGACCACAGGCCCACATCACCATGCCCCGGTATTTTTTTTGTAGAGACAGGGTCTTGCCATGTTGCCCAGGCTGGTCTCAAACTCCTGAGCTCAAGAAATCTGTCCACCTTGGTCTCCCAAAGTGCTGGGATTATAGGCATGAGCCACGGCACTCAGTCTGCCTTTTACTTTTAAAGACTCCTGTGATTTGACTGAGTCCAACAGACAGTTTAGAATAATCTCTCTAATTTAAGGTCCATAATTTTAATTTTGTGTAACATCCATTTCGCCATGTTATACATTCTATTCATAAGTTTCTTAGTGGATATAACTCAAAGGGTGGGCGGGGGGGGGCACTACTCAGCTCACCACACTGATTTGGGAAGTGATCCCAGGAAACACAAGTGCAGAAATAAATTGAGAAATGAAAGAAAGCCAATTACATGAGAAATGAGATAAAGAGTTCATTCATGAGTCAGTTATCATGTGGAAAACTTGGCTTAATCCCTTTTACGACTCTCTAAGAAACCATATGAAATGTGTGATATAGCTCAGAATCTTCCTAAGGACTACAGGGCCTGCGACTTTATCTCCACTTCCCATCCTCCTTTGCTTGAATTGTTTGAAGATTGGCCTGGGAGTGTTAATTCTAATGTACTTTAAGATTGGGCTATGTAACTGCAGAAAAGCAACTATCATGGGTGTGATAAAGCTCACAGGCAAAGGAGAAGGGAGATACTCACTGGAGGTGGGAAGGTTGTCATCTTTGCAGAAAACTGTGCCTCAGCTATTGGCAAACTGTGATAGGCCAAGAGAATAAGGGATGGGGCATCAACAGCATCAGTTATAAGGGCTCACCTCTGAGAATATAGTGAATGCCTTTCAAGGTCTCTCTGCCCTCCCTGCACCACATTTATTTAGCATTAGTGACCTCTTGTCTTCCAATACATGCCCATATCACATGGCCCTGCAGCCTCACCACATGGACTGGGTCTAGGATGGACACTGACCCAGGCTAGGCCAGAGGACTAAGTGACATGTGGCTAGTTACTCCTGTAACAGATGTGCATGGGAGCTGTGGGAAGAAATGTTCCATTCATGCTGTGGACTAAAGGATGGTGGACTGCAGAGAAGACCAAAGCAGATGAGCAGAGAGAAGGCTCCAAATGGAGAGCTTAGGCAATTTTATCATGTTTGTTTCTTTTAGAAGCCCAATATCATTTCTTCTCTTTGAAAAAATTTGTTGTGTTGAGACAAGGTAAATGTACTAGTTAATATTGCGGCAGTTGTAAAATTTGGAAGCTTACATAAGCATTATAATATGCTCATTGATTCTGTGAGTCAGGAAACTAAAATTTGAACAGGACAAAGTAGAAATGGATTTTCTGTGTGCCAAGATGCCTGTGGATCCCCTCGGAGTACTCCATAGCTGGAGATGACACACCCATATTACTTTCAAAGATTGGAGTTTATTGCACAGCAACAGTGAATCATTGCTCACTCCGGGTCCCGGTTCTTCCAGGATTGGCAGGTACACCATGTCCATAAAGAATCTTTCTGAAGTGACCCTTCCTGTCTCTTTTTCCATCCCAGGACACAGTATGATTGGGTTAGATCATTACTATCTAACCTGGCACACCCCAGTAGAACCTGGTTTCTTGCTAAGCTACCCCATGGCCAAATGATCCTCTTCCTTCTCAGAACACACATGTTTCCCTCCTGCTCAGATGAACTTTGGCAGAGGTTGAGGCCTGGCTTAGCTGGATGCTTCTTGCACAAGCTGCTTCAAAGCCCTGGGTCTTATTTCTTCAAATAAAAATATAAAGTCAGGTCTCATCCTGGGTGGCCATGCTCTTAGACACTTGCATCCTTCTCTTCTGTCCTTTCCCAACAGCTGCCCAGTCCTGGTTGGAATATTCTAATACTGACATAATTACCCTCATTAGCCACTCAACCCAGGATCCAATTTTAATTATAATCCAGAAATATCAGGTGATGAGTGAGGCTTCTGTATGAGAATGGGACAGTTCAAGTGTCAATTCAATAGTAAAAACACTTCTTAGGCCTTTCTTTATCTTATTCTCATCAAAGAGCTTTCTCTGCAGAAGGGACCTACTGGTTCATCCTTCCTGGTCCTTGATCTTCTGATCTAGAGTGGCTTAATAGTGCTGCCACCTCTCTCTCGAACTCTGGTGCCGAATGATTCCAGGAACTGGGCCATCCTGTGGTGGGAATGACCTTACCCTGAGCATGTCACTCATGCATTGAACAACAGCTGAGAGCAGAGCTTAGAGTTGGGCCTTGTAAGGAGAGAAGAATCACATCCTGCAGAAGTCTGTCCTGAGGAACAGGTACTCCAGTCACAGCAAAGACACAGTTGATACCTGGATAACAATAATAGAAGACAGGACATGGGAACAGCAAAAGATATGGGTGTTAGAAGAGGCCGAGAGCACTTCAGGCAGGAGCATTCAGAGTTGTTCTTGGAGGAAGTAGGCACGAAGGCTGGGCAGGATTTCAAGGGGCAAAGATGGAGCAAGCAATTCAAGTGAAAGGCATGGCATGGGAAAGGGAGCGCTGGCCACAGGGAGTGCAACGTTGTGATGCAAGGCCACTGTGGAGCCATTGCTAGTGTATTAACTGCAAAGTTTTGAATTGAATCAGAAGGGAATTGGAGGCCTCTAGACTAAGCATTTATTTGTGTATATTTTATTATTTATTTATTTATTTTGAGGCAGGGTCTCACTTTGTCACCCAGGCTGGAGTGCAGTGGCATGATCTCAGCTCACCCTAACCTCCACCTCCCAGGTTCAAGCCATTCTCCTGCCTCAGCCTCCTGAGTAGCTGGGATTACAGGCATGTGCCACCACACCCAGCTAATTTTTTTTTTTTTTTTTTTTTTGGTAGAGACGGGGTTTCATCATGTTGGCCATGCTGGTCTTGAACTCCTGACTTCAAGTGATCTGCCTGCCTCCTCCTCCCAAAGTGTTGGGATTACAGGTGTGAGCCACTGCACCAGTTCCAGACTAAGTATTTAGACATTTGAGGGGATTATTGACAACTGGGCCTTGGGAAGATTATTCTGGAAGATATCTATACAATGACAAGATTGGATTCTGTGGGGGAGGGATTATGTTCATGGGGAGGAGGTTATGTGTGCTGGTGTGTGTGTGTGGTCCTTGGACTTAACCCCACCACCTACTGGCAGAAGGTCAAGGTCAACTGAAAGTCTTTGCTCACTTCCATCTTCTGCCTCCACCAGAATACCACCTCCCCGTGGGAAAGGGTTTTTAATCCTCACTCAGTATTCTCAGCACGTCTTATCCAATAGCTTTGGAGTGAACAACAAGACCTTCATAACAGCCACTGCAACTGCTGTCACCTTTCCTTTGCTACCCCTCCCACTCCAGCCATGCCTGCTTCCCCCAAGGCCTCCCGCGCACCAGGCCCAACCTTCAAAGCCAGCAACATGAACAAGAGTCCTCTGGCTTTGGAAAGACGGCGGCTTATGTTTTCCTCCTCATGTTTCCTCCCCAGCAAAATCACTCTACATAGAGAGCCCTCTCCTCGTCTACACCAGCAAAGCCACTGACACCTTGGGGATCTCAAGGCTTTGTAAAAGAACGGAAGGAAAGAAAGAAAGAGAGAGAGAGAGAAGGAAAGAAAGAAAGAAAGAAAGAAAGAAAGAAAGAAAGAAAGAAAGAAAGAAAGAAAGAAAGAAAGAGAAAGAAAGAAAGGAAGGAGAAGAGAAGGAAGAGAAAGAGAGAAAGGAAGAGAGAGGAAGGAAGGAAGGAAGAAAAAAGAAAGAAAGCGAGAAAGAAAGAAAGAATAAAGTGAGAGAGAGACATATGAAAGAAAGAAAGAAAGAAAAAGAGAATGAGAAAGGAAAGAAGGAAGCAAGGAAGGAAGGAAGAAAGGAAGGAAGAAAGGAAAATAAAGGAAAAAAGTCTTGCTTCCAAAGACAGAAAAAGGAAATAGAAATACCTAATAATCCCAAAAGGTTATTTGCTGCTTGAGATTTTTGGGGGGTTTTTGTGTGTGTATTCTACCTAGTAACAGCTGAGAAATAAGGCTCGAGACACCATTGGTTGGTTCAGCCTCACTCGGCCAATCCTGGGCTCTAAACTGCTCAGTGGAAATCTTGGGACTTTTTGGACACCCAGAGAACAGGTCCCAGATACCGAGTCCGCAACTCCAAACATCGCGATTAATAGGAGGTGAACACAGCTTTTCTCTTCTCTTTGGGATGCTTTGTTGTCTGGTGGTGACTGTGCCCATGGGTGAGTTGTATCGGAAAATCGTCATGTGAGGATCAGAGGGGAAAAGAAAACAGAGGTTAGTTCTAGAAGGTAGGAAAGGGAGAGGAGGCGCTACAGCTCCGGGGTGGGGGCGGTAGCTGGGGGCGGTAGGTGCGGGGAGCGGGATCTGCTCTGGAGAGGAGAGGGGGACCTGGGAGACAGGAAGCCTACTGGTGGGGAGGCGCAGCCTCGCCTGGCTTTACCTCGAGTGTCCCGACCTGGGTCTCGGGGAGGGGGAAGTGGAGGGACGAGGGTGTGAAAGAATCCAGGGACAACTGAAGAAACCGGACTGTGGCCCGAGAAGTGGGAAGAGGAAGGAGGAAAACGGCCCCCTTGATCTCTGCATTGATGGCTTACTTATGGAATGTTTACGGAATCCCTCTTTCGGAGATACCTGAGCCTTGAGATGCAAGCGACTCCCAGAAGTTGGGGCACCGATGAGACCTACTTGAGTGACAGGAGAGGTTGGGCCCGACCAGCACTGAGGTGCCAAGACTCCTAGGCTGATTCTCCTCCTCTGTAACCCTAGGCCTCTGGTCTCTGCCTGCCCTGGGTGCTCATGGAACCAGCTGCTGCTCTGCACTTCTCCCTGCCAGCCTCCCTCCTCCTCCTCCTGCTCCTCCTCCTTCTCAGCCTGTGTGCACTGGTCTCAGGTAGGGATGTGTGTCACTTGCTGCTGTCACCTCTCAGAAAGGAACATCAACCCTGTAGTCTGCAAAGGGAAAGAAGGAAGAACTGTGGGGTTGTTGACTTATCCTTTCATTCTGAACATGTTCACTGAATTTATACCAGCACTGTCCAAAAGAAACACAGTGAAGCACAAAGGTCAAGTGCATATACAAGTGCAAATCTTCAAAAAGATTTTTTTAACTTTTTATTTATTTGTTTATTTATTTAAGAGAGAGTATATTGCTCTGTTGCCAGGCCGGAATGAAGCAGATGGAGAATGAGATCATAACTCACTGTAACCTGAAACTCCTGGGCTCAAGGGATCCTCCCATCTCAGCCTCCCAAGTAGCTGAGAGTACAAGCAAGGGCCACCACACTCGACTAAGTTTTATTTTTTGTAGAGACAGGGTCTCACTATTTTGCCCAGGCTGGTCTCAAACTCCTAGCTGTTAAGGATCCTCCCACTTTGGCCTCCCAAATATCTGCAATTACAGGCGCAAGACCCTGTGCCTATTCTACTTTTTATTTTAAAAGGTAAAAACATACTTGAAATAAATTTTAATAATGTATTTTGTTTCATATAAATAATCACATATCAATATTTAAATGCTTAGTTAATAGAACTATTACCAATGAGATATTTGACATTTTGAAATTTTAAATCTTTATAATCTGTGTGTGTTTTACACTTAGAGTTCATTTTTATTGGAACTGTTAAATAGCTAGTGGATAGATACCCTAATGGACAGTTCAAGTTTACACTACACTCAGGCACAGTGCTAGATTGCAAAATGGAGGAAAATCTCAGGGGCACAGGGTGCCCAGGGCGGGCTCCCCAATGTTTCCTTCGTGAAGCAGGAGCAGCCTCAATAGTTACTGCTCCCAGGGGTTGGTGCTGCCGACCAGCCACAGCTACTGGTCCCCAGAAGGGTTCTCAGCCCAAGAACCCCTGTAGCCTTGGAATATCTGCTTCCTTTCATCCCTGGAGTTTTTTTTGTTTGTTTGTTTTTGTTTTTTGTTTTTTGTTTTGCCTTAGAGTTGTGATAACTGGCATCCTTGTCTGATTCTGCCCTTGTTGAACAGCCCAGTTTACTGTCGTGGGGCCAGCTAATCCCATCCTGGCCATGGTGGGAGAAAACACTACATTACGCTGCCATCTGTCACCCGAGAAAAATGCTGAGGACATGGAGGTGCGGTGGTTCCGGTCTCAGTTCTCCCCCGCAGTGTTTGTGTATAAGGGTGGGAGAGAGAGAACAGAGGAGCAGATGGAGGAGTACCGGGGAAGAATCACCTTTGTGAGCAAAGACATCAACAGGGGCAGCGTGGCCCTGGTCATACATAACGTCACAGCCCAGGAGAATGGGATCTACCGCTGTTACTTCCAAGAAGGCAGGTCCTACGATGAGGCCATCCTACGCCTCGTGGTGGCAGGTGCATCACTTCATTTTGCTTTATTACTTTTGCACAGTGTGACTTTTGGGGAAAGTTTCTCCCTTAACCTCAGGCCCATTGCAGACCAACGGATTTCTATCTGGCGTCCCCTTTCCACAGAGAAAGTGGCTTCCTCTTGCACAAAGGCCACATGAGTGGGTTTGCCCTGCTAAGCTATAGGTTTCACTTCTTTTTTTTTTTTTTTCAAGACAGAGTCTTGCTATGTTGCCCAGGCTGGAGTGCAGTGGTGCGATCTTGGCTCACTGCAACCTCTGCCTCCTGGGTTCAAGCTATTCTCCTGCCTCAGCCTCCTGAGTAGCTGAGATTACAGGCATACACCACCATGCCCGGCTAATTTTTGCATTTTTTTAGTAGAGACGGGGTTTCACCATGTTGGCAGGCTGGTCTCAAACTCCTGACCTTGTGATCCACCTGCCTCAGTCTCCCAAAGTGCTAGGATTACAGGCGTGCGCCACCACGCCCAGCCTGGGCTTCACTTCTTCAGAAGCACACGCATTCCTCAGCTGAGGCCATGAGCAGGGGAAAATAGTTAATCCCGGAAAAGAAAGTCTTATGCCTGCCTTGGCACTGAACTGTGCACGTCTGAGAGTGAAAGGAGACACTGTCAAAAATTGTCCCGGGGCAATCAGAATCAATAAGAACTGCCCAGAGAACTATGACATGAAATCTTATTTTTCGATAAATATTAATCTTGACATTTTCTTCTTTCCTGAAATACTGATTGCAGAGAGAGTGACTTTTATATAAATAGATGATTTTTATTAAAGCACAACTAAATACAGAAACAAAGTTATCTATAATTCCTGCTAACTCCACAGAGAAAGACTAAGAATTTAGCTGGGAAGAAATTGGCAAGGCTTCAGCATAGAAATGCACTTAAACTGGGATTTCTAATAGTTTGTTAAAAGTGACACTAAGTGATTACCTCAGTGTTGCAGTTAGTGTATTTTGCTTTAAAAGGTATATTTCAGGACTGAAAAAAGCCTTTAAGTTGCAGAATAATTCGTGGTGACATTTCAGTCCATCAGACCAGTGGAGGCAAGGACTAGGAAATTGGGTTCTTCCCAGGGGGCCCCAAATCATAACAGGTAGGAGACCCTATCTTTGCTACTCACAAAGGCAACCTTACATCTGATTAAAACAGAATATCGTGGATGGAGGGCTTCTTGACCCATTGTCATGACTGTGTTCACAGCAGCACTGCAATGTTGCCCAGTAATGAATGGTTGTATGTGGCAGGGACCCACTACTCTTTCTCTGTAAAACCAACCCTGTCCTGGCCTTCCCTAGTCTGAATTGGGTTGCTGTAGGACTTTTTGTTTGCTTGCTTATTGTACTCTGTTTGTTGGATTGGTTGGTGGCTGATTTTTCCCTTAAATCTATTGTGTCATGCTTACCCGTATTGAACCCATGGAATGTTTTGTAGGACTTTGTTTTCCAATTTGCTGAGGTATTTTAATTTCTTTTCTAATTCAGGATTTCTGTGTGAGCCTTCAAATGCACAACTAGCTTTTTTCTCCTGACAAAAATTAAACAGAGCAGAAAGCACTAGGCTTAAGTGATTGCTTTAATTTTCTTTCTTTAACATAATTTGTTGGGAGACTTTACAAAGGAATTATTCAGGAGAAGTTTGGATGATCACGCATGGCTGAAGGGTCTCCCAGGACCATGCTTTTGCAGCTCTCTCACTCTGGGTATTCTCTTTCATTGAAGGTTCTAGTAAAGATAGAATATATTTAGGATGAGCCTGAATTATTAGGATTTTTGGTGATGATCTCTGACATTGAGGAGGCAATATGGTTATCTTAAGGATCCCAGGGGCATCCAGATATTTCTAATACATTGATGTTCTTAAAGGACTGTAAGAAAATTCTCTATTGGATGGAACCTCTGGGAGGTAAACAACTGTGAATTAGAATAAGAATTGGCTTTGCCAGCTAGTTCTGTCTATTCTCCTAAAAACCATCACCTCCTATGGAGGTAGATAGCCATGGTGATGTGAGGCCCTGAACTAGACAGAAGTGTCAGTGACTTTGGTTCAAAAAGTTTCTTAAGATTTAGCCAAGGCTGAGCATAGTGGCCCATGCCTGTAATCCCAGCACTTTGGGAGGTCAAGACAGGTGAATTGCCTTAGCTCAGGAGTTTGAGACCAGCCTGGGCAACATGGCAAAACCCCATCTCTACAAAAAAAAAAAAAAAAGAAAGAAAGGAAAAAAAGCTTCTGCCAACCTGATAGGTTTCTGTCATTAGTGTATTATTTTAGAGCTTCAGGAAATTGAGGTCTGCAGAGAAGTCATCCCAGGAGCAGAAAGTGAAATTCTCAACCTGCCTGTTGAGAATTTGGACACACCCTCCTGGAAGTGAGAAAATTAGTCTTTGCCAGAATAAATTGCACAGCAAGCATTTATAGCAGACAGATAGATGCTTGGTGCTGTGATGGGGCCTTCAGGTGGAGCATAAAGAAAAGTGTGCAATGTGATCCTTTCTCTTTGAGATCTCACAATTTATTTTGCATATTGGTTTCCTGATGTTCTCCAAAACCAAGGGTCTTTCTAGCAACCATCCATCAAGGTGCAGTAGGGGCTAAGATACCACTGCCTTTTGGCTGAGCCCTGGTCTCCCTTTCCAGGCCTTGGGTCTAAGCCCCTCATTGAAATCAAGGCCCAAGAGGATGGGAGCATCTGGCTGGAGTGCATATCTGGAGGGTGGTACCCAGAGCCCCTCACAGTGTGGAGGGACCCCTACGGTGAGGTTGTGCCCGCCCTGAAGGAGGTTTCCATCGCTGATGCTGACGGCCTCTTCATGGTCACCACAGCTGTGATCATCAGAGACAAGTATGTGAGGAATGTGTCCTGCTCTGTCAACAACACCCTGCTCGGCCAGGAGAAGGAAACTGTCATTTTTATTCCAGGTTAGTTCTCTGCCCTCTGAGACCTATCAAGTGTATGCAGGATCCTCAGCACCCAGATGGAGCCCAGAGCGGGAATGGGGGCAGCAGTGTGGGTGGAATGGTCCTGGGCCCTGAGGAGCTGGAGGCTGCAGCTGAGTTGAGACGTCTCCCCTCCTCACAAAGGGAGATTCAAAGAGTCCCAAAACACAAGAGTAGGAGCCTCTTCTCTGAGGGTAAACCTGGTCTTTTTTTTCTTGATTAGGTCTTTATGCTGCAACAGTTGTAAAATATTAAGGACAACCATCAAACCTGGAGAGTAGTGTGGGTGGGTGACTGTCTATGCTTGGCATTCCTGTATGTTGCAGCCATCCCTTCCTGTCTATGGGACTTCCCAAAGGACAGAGCTGGGGAAATTCCCTATCAAGAGACATTCATAAATGTATTCAACAAATGTTCAACAAGCATTTCTTATGTTTAAGACTGTACAGGAAACCAAGGGTCAATAATTGAACAAAATATATCAAAATTTCTCTCCTCAAGGAGTTCATATTCTAGAGAGAGACAGCGGCCGGGCACGGTGGCTCACACCTGCAATCCCAGCACTTTGGGAGGCCAAGGTGGTTGGATCATGAGTTCGGGAGTTCAGGACCAGCCTGGCCAAGATGGTGAAACACCATCTCTACCAAAACTACAAAAATTAGCCGAGTGCGGTAGCAGGCGCCTGTAATCCCCGCTGCTTGGGAGGCTGAGGCAGGAGAATTGCTTGAACCCAGGCGGCAGAGCTTGCGTCAAGATCGTGCCACTGCACTCCAGCCTGGGCAACAGAGTGAGACTCTGTCTTAAAAAAGAAAAAGAAAAAAAGGGAGCGCGAGAGAGAGACAGCAATATATGAAATAATTGAAACAAGTGATTAAATAAATAATAATCTATATATTCTATCACATGGTGACGAGCATGTAGGAAAAATTAAGCAAAGAGAAAATAGAGAGTTCCAGGGGTGTGAGGCATCAGAATTATTAACAAGGTGGTCAGGGAAGACTTCACTGTAAAGATGGAAATTGAGCAATCAAGACAAGGAACCATCAGATGCTTAAGGACTGAGCAGCCAAGGTACAGGAAGAGCATATGCAAAAGGCCTGAGGAAGGAGCTTGTCTGGCAGTTTCCAGGACTCCCAGGAGGTGATGCTGGTGTGGCTGAAATGGAGTGAGTTCAGGAAGTAGGGGGAGATGAATTCACAGAGTGATGCAACTACGTTATATATGGCAGCACAGGCCACAAACAGGCTTTGGCTTTTAGAGTGAGTGAGTGGGAAGCATTGGAAGGTTTTGAGCAAATAATTAACATGATCTCACTTGGGCTGCTCTGCTGAGAGTAGATTACAGAATAGAGCAGAACAAGAAGGAGGGCACTCTAGTATTCCAGGCGTGAGTGATGGTGGTTTGAGGCAGGGTGATGGCTGTGCTGACTCAGCATGGCTGGTTAGTTTTATGCACTCTGGTCCTTTCCATGGTGACTCCAGATGTTTCTGCTTTGCCCCCTTCTGGGCCCGGCCCTGGCAGTCACTGAGGTGTCAGCCAGTGTTGAGCCAGCATCGCTTTCTCCATCTAAGGTTTCTGAGGGAGAAGCCAACAGAACAGGTGGCTGAGGAGCTCTTCAGATGTGCTCTTAGGGGCACTCTCATCCAGATGTTCTATTTCAAACTAAATGGACTTTTCTGGCTGCCTTTTCAGAATCCTTTATGCCCAGCGCATCTCCCTGGATGGTGGCCCTAGCTGTCATCCTGACCGCATCTCCCTGGATGGTGTCCATGACTGTCATCCTGGCTGTTTTCATCATCTTCATGGCTGTCAGCATCTGTTGCATCAAGAAACTTCAAAGGGAAAAAAAGATTCTGTCAGGGGAAAAGAAAGTTGAACAAGAGGAAAAAGAAATTGCACGTAAGGAATTTGTAAAGAAAGTGTGGAAAAATAGAAAGAAATTCAAAAAGAAAAGTTAAATGAGTAGGAGGACAATTGACTGTCATAGAAAGGCCACAGCTCTCACAGGTACCGGCTTAGGGAAGAGAGAGAGGAAATGCACAGCAGCAGCCACAAGGGCTTGGAACTCTCATGTCATAAGAAGTAATCATTCAGAGCTTTCTTTCTTCCATGCTGCACACATTACATTCATTCACCTGGCTATATGCAGCACTACATGGCTGAACGAAAGTTCAGACAAAAGTCTAACAATGTACTGATACTACCCAGCCATCTGATCATACATCATTGCTGGTTTCTGACTGTTCCTTAGGCATAAACGAAGGGTGATGTTGGTGTTCATAGAAAGGATGGTTCCTACGTTGTTTAATACAAGCTCAATTTCTCTTAGTTCTTCTGTTGAAGACATGATTTTGTTTCTGTATTTTGTTTTCAGAGCAACTTCAAGAAGAATTGCGTAAGTTTAGCCTTTCCTGAACTACTCCGTGTACAATTTGTGTTCTGCTTACTTAGCAGTGTCTCGTGACATTCACCTCTGTCTGTCCCTTGCAGGATGGAGAAGAACATTCTTACATGCTGGTGAGTGCCTCTGATGTTCTCTCAGATCTCAGCTTTCTCCCCACTAGCCAGCTAACAGGACTCCTTAGAGGAGATGAGCAAGGGGCCCAGGGCTACACAGGGACCATAGGGAACTGGGGTCAGTTCATCAACGGTGTCCCAGCAATGATGCATCATGGCTCTTCTGTCAGGGAACCCCAGCAGCTCTTAATGAACCCTGCAGTTTACATCCCCAGGACCCTTTCTCTTTTGGAATAATTTAATGCATGATTATCAAAGGTTTCCCATGCATAGTAGCCTCCTAAGAGTTACATTTCAGAAGTCATTGCTCTTTGATTCTGGATCAATTTGAAATAAGATAATGCTGTCTTAGCAATTCATATCCTGGGAATGGTATAGACTGTGCACAGTTGAAGACCTATGTGAGGAAAAGGCCATAAGGGTCCCCAGTAAGCCTGATGCAATGGTGTACAAATAGGTGGCCAGAAATACCTTTCTGCCTCTAAGAGAGCACTGATATTCTGCATGTAGTCTGCCAGGGGAAGGGGTTTGGGTGAGTGGGAGGGTGAGTGGGAGAGCACAGAGAAACCAATCGCCCACTTCCAGTGAGTTCTCATCTTGTGATTCGGCACCTCTGCCTGTCAGCACCAAAGAATCCAAACTTTACCAGATACCAGGGCCCATGGACCTTTCCTCTTTGGCGAGTTTCAAAATTGCCACTGTCATTTTGGGACACAATCACAACTTGTCACAATCAGACATATCAACTTGTGGAAAAGAGAAAATCATTTTAATGCAATAGAAAGGTAGACTGAATAAGTAAGAATACATGCAGAAGGTAGAGGTTTGCAGAATGCTCAGCTCCTGGGGCTTTTCCTGTATGGGAGAAGTAATCCTGGTAGATGTCAGACTCATATTGTTAAAGCAAAACTGGATTGAAGTATTTCTTCCCTAACTTTGCCCACACATCCCTCAGGCACCAGGTTTTCTTTTGCACACATTTATTCTCCTTCTTTATCCTTTGAAGTGTGCCCTTGTCAGCCACTTAAATCAGTTGTCACCTATTAAAACAACCTATAGGACCAACGAAGAGGTCCTTCACCACCTAGGACAGTGTGTAATGATAGACTCACTTAATTGATCCATTGAGAGGTATGTGGGGGAACAATAGGAGATAAAGCTTCTGTGATGGTTTAAGCCAAGTTGGAAAGTTTCTAACTAAAGAAAGTCCCAGAGATCATATATCTTGAATAGAAAAGGGATCAGATCTTAGAATGCTGAGAAAAACTGGGAACCATTAATTTTGGCTCATTTCCTAAACTCTCTGGATTTCATAGAGCCACAATTCTTCTCAACCTGGGGGCACTGCTTCTGTCTCTGGAGAGATAGAAGTGCAGCTTCCGTAATTCTCAGGGTATGAGCTGCCTGGGATCAGGGGACCTTCATGGAAACGGCCACTACATGGGGAACCCCCTTCAGCTTTCTGAGACTTCTCTGGGGACCAGGAACCACACAATCCCCAGGGTTCCTGAGACCCCAGGCATAAACCTGAGACTTCCTCTGCAGCTGATGTGGTCCTGGATCCAGACACCGCTCATCCCGAGCTCTTCCTGTCAGAGGACCGGAGAAGTGTGAGGCGGGGCCCCTACAGGCAGAGAGTGCCTGACAACCCAGAGAGATTCGACAGTCAGCCTTGTGTCCTGGGATGGGAGAGCTTCGCCTCAGGGAAACATTACTGGGAGGTGGAGGTGGAAAACGTGATGGTGTGGACTGTGGGGGTCTGCAGACACAGTGTTGAGAGGAAAGGGGAGGTCCTGCTGATTCCTCAGAATGGCTTCTGGACCCTGGAGATGTTTGGAAACCAATACCGGGCCCTGTCCTCCCCTGAGAGGATTCTCCCTTTGAAGGAGTCCCTTTGCCGGGTGGGCGTCTTCCTGGACTATGAAGCTGGAGATGTCTCCTTCTACAACATGAGGGACAGATCGCACATCTACACATGTCCCCGTTCAGCCTTTACTGTGCCTGTGAGGCCCTTCTTCAGGTTAGGGTCTGATGACAGCCCCATCTTCATCTGCCCTGCACTCACAGGAGCCAGTGGGGTCATGGTGCCTGAAGAGGGCCTGAAACTTCACAGAGTGGGGACCCACCAGAGCCTATAGAATCAATTCCTTGGACTCACAGCCATGCAGATAAGCCCTGGCCATCTCAGCAGCCACCGCACAACCCCCCTAATGAAAGACACGCCCTCCTCCCCTCTGGTCACGTAAGAGAACATCTTCCAGCTGCCTTTTTCACACCCACTCCAGCCCTCTGCCCCAGTTTTCTCCTCCTCACTAGTCTGTGGCTTTAGTAGTTCCTTTGCTTGTAATTATGGGATGGGATCCAGGCATAGGGAACTAGTTGTTTCATAGCTCCCAGTCAAAAAGAAAGTGAGAGAAGCTGTTGGGCAGCGAACCTACTGTTTAAAATCAGGATAACCACATTAAGCCCAATATGCCAGTTGGCACCAGATGCTGTGGACTTGGAATGAGGCCAACAGGGTTCACCAGGATGAGAGAGGAGAGAGGAATCCACAGGACCACCAGAAGGGAGAGGGAACCAGATATGCAGATCAGAGATAGAGGAAGTGGAACCAGAGAGCTGGGAGGGACCAAGGTTGTAAGGATGGCTAAGTCCCACCATAAGAGCTAAAGGGTCCTGGGAGATGATGGCTCATTTCCACCCAACCCCAGGATTTCCACAGCACACACCCACAGGCCTGGACCTGGGATGAAGATGAATGAAGAACATGGACTCATGTGGATGTGGTTTGGCTCAGATGTCCCTGCAATAAACAAGGGGTCAGTACTTAGTCCCTGAGTGTGGTTGAGGTTTGAGGTCCTGGTCGAGCAGGGCAGTACTGGACCAGGTCTACGTCAGCATTCAGGTTCAATGGGGACACCAGTGGCTTCAAACTTCCTGATCTAATTATGTTTTTAGACACTTAGAAGTTATTGAGGACTTTAAAGAGCTTTTGTTTATTTGGGTTAATATTTATGACATTTGACATTGAAACAAAAATTTAAAATGTTATCTTTTAATTTATGTTAAAATAGCATTAATAAATCAGTTATAGGTTAATGTAGATAGGATGTTTTGTGAAAAAGCAATCTATTGTGTCCAAATAAAAAAACAAAAAGTGTGACACTGGTTAACTTTTTCCAGATCTCATGTCTGGCTTAATAAGAGATATTTGTATTATCATATCTGCCTTTGTATTAAACCTATTGGTATATCATAGGTCATGTTAGCTCAAAAAAACTTTACTGCACACTACTGAGAGAATGAGATGAAAAACGATTAATGTTTCATTATTATTATTGTGAAAATATTATTAACACTGGGGACTCCTTAAGAGTACATCAGAGTTCTCTCTAGGAATCCCAAAACCACATTTTGAAACTAGAATAGTGGATCCTGGAAGTTAATCCATGTGCTGGTTAATTTTAGATGTCAACCTGACTGGATTAAGGAATACCTAGACAGCTGGTACAACATTATTTCTGGGTGTGTCTGTGAGTGTGTTTCCAGAAGAGATTGGCAAGTGAGTCAGTGGGAAATTCTCTCCTTCTGTTGGCTGGGTGCCCAATACAACAAAAAGGCAGAGGAAAGGCAAATTCTTCTCTCCTCTGGAGCTGAGACACTCTTCTTCTTCTGCCCTTGGACATCAGAACTCCTGGCTCTCCGGCCTTTGAACTTCAGGACTTGTACCAGGAGGCCCTGGGTTCTCAGGCCTTTGGCTTTGGACTGAGAGTTACACAATCAGCTTCCCTGGTTCTGAGGCTTTCAGACTTAAACTGAGCCATGCTACCAGCATCCCAGGGTCTCCAGCCTACAGATGAGCTGTTGTGCGATTTCTTAGCCTCCATAATCACATGAGCCAATCTCCTTAATAAATGCCTGCTCATAGATCTGTATCTACATCTATATCTGTATGTGCATCTATATCTATGCCTATATCTATATCTATATCATATTGATTTTGTCTCTCTGGAGAACCCTGACTAATAAAATGAGGCATCTAAAATTCTAGCTTGAATGGTAGTATTTTAGGTTTTAGACAATTCAGTAATCCAGTTGGACTGAAAAAATTTAAGTAATCAAAAATTTTATTACTGCAGTTACAAATAGACACAATATTGAAAGAATCAGGAGTGATTTTTTCAATACCTGATTTGTAAAGATGGAAAGCAAGGTTGTTTGTGTTAATGTGTATGTCTTAGTCTATGTGGGCAGCTATAACAAAAATATCACCAAGACTGAATGGTTTGTAAACAACAGAAATTTATTTCTTGCAATTCTGCAGGCTGGGAAATCTAAGATCAACACCCCAGCATAATGGTGTGTGGTGAGGGCCCATAGACTTGTTCACATGCCAAAGGATAAAGATAGATCTGTAGGGTCTCTTTTGGAAGGACACTAATGACATTCATTAGGGCTCCCTCAACCTCAGAGAGAAAATAGAAGGAGGAGATTCCAAACTTCCTGCTGCTGCCCTGACCTGCTCCTGCCCCTCCTCATCTATTTTCTCTGATTTAAGAAGCAGGTATCCTTTCCCCTGTGTCAGGCTAATTCTCCATCCACACCCTGGACTCTCACTCTCCAGTTTCCCTTAGGACTTCTGTGTTCAGTTCATTCATTCATTCAACAAAAATCAATGAGTACTAACTACATGCCAATCAGTGTTCTTGGTACTGGGGGCAGAGAAGTGCACAAAGTGTAAAGTCCCATTCCTTATCATTGTAGAAGACAGAAAACAAAATAAGTAGTAACAGATATGGTGTGTTGGATGATGATAACTGCTCAGGAGATAAATAAATCAGGGGAAGGAATATAGGAAATCACAATTTCTAAAAGAGTGGTAATGAGCAATGGGAGTGAGGCACAGAATACCTGGGAGAAAAGCATTCTAAGTTGAGAGAACAGCAGTGCCAGAGCACAGAGGCAGAAGCACTGTGGTTTGTGTGAAGAACAGCAATGAGGCTGGGGTGGGCAGAGCACACAGGGTGATCAGGAGATTAGGAGGTGACAAGGCCAGAGGGGGTTGAGGGCCAGATCATATATGGCCTTGAAAGTCATCATGCTGACCTGGGCTTTACCTCTCAGAGGGGAGCCACAGGAAGGTTAAAGCAGAAAAAGGACTGGACTTACTTACATTTTAAGAAGTTACTTCACATGCTAGACTGAGATGGGCTGTGGGTAGGGGTGGTGGATGGAGGCCTGAAGACCCAGCTGGGAGCTACTGCAGTGATCCAGGGGAAAGATGCAGATGACTTGTACCAGGGAGGAGCCATGAAAATGTTATGATGCTGGATTTATTTTCAAGACAGAGTAAAAAGGCTTTGCTGATAAACTTACAGGTGGGGTATGAAAAAGGAGGGCATCAAGGGTGACCACAAGGTTTTGGTCCTAAGAAATGGTACAAATGGAGTTGCCACTTACTGAGATGAGGAAACTGAGGGAGAAGCAGGTTTTGGAGGCCAGGGGAGGAGCCAGCATAGAATCCAAGGTCAGTTTTGGATACGTTCAGGTTGAGGAGCTTACTAGAGATCCCCGTGGAGATGCAGAGTAGGCAGGTCAGTAATAAATGTGTAGTCCAGGCAACGGGTCAGGGCTGGAAACACAAGTTTTTCTCTTTATCTTCTTTATCTGCATGTTTGTTGTCATGCCTGTTTCACTTTAATGCATTAGTGATCTATTGCTGCATAACAAATTACCACAAACTTAGTGGTTTAAAACAGCACACATTTATCATTTCAGTTTCTGTGGGTCAGAAGTCCAGGCAGAACTTAGTGAGCTCCTCTGCTCAGAACTTCACAGAGCAAAAGTCAAGGTGTTGGCCAGGCTGTAGCCTCATCTAGAGTCTCGACTGTGGGAGAGTCCTCTTTTCAGATCACTCAGGTTGTTAACAGAGTTCATTTCTTTACAGTTGTAGGACTGAGGGCCCCAACTCCTTGCAGGCTGAAGCTGGAGGTTGCTCTCAGCTCCTACAGGCCTCCTCAGCTCCCTGCTGTGTGGATCCCCATGATGACTACTTTCCTCTTCATAGCCAACTAGGAAGACAGAGCCTCTAGAGTGGGTCAGCTAGCAAGAGAGAGTCTTACACTACATAGTGTAGTCATGGAAGGGACATCCCATCAGTTTTACCATATTTTATTGGTTAGCAGCAAGCCACAGGTTCAGCTCACACTCAGGGAAAGTACAGGCTGCAAACTGCAAGAGGAGTAATCATAAGGGGTCCACTCCAGACTCTATCGGCTACATCATATAAGAAGCTCAATGTTCTCCCATTGTAACTGCCCTGCTTCCTCTTTCCCTGGGCAATACAAACATGCTAACCTCTCTCTAGGTCTCTACTTTCATACAAGCAAAGTCTCAGAAAGAGAACACATACATGGCCATCAGGGACTGTCTGCCATCATGATGGCCACTGCTGTACCACACCATAAACATTGTTTGTTTTTTTCTTTCTTTCTTTCTTTCTTTTTTTTTTGAGATAGACTCTTGCTCTGTTGTCCAGGCTGGAGTGCAGCAGCATGATGTCGGCTCACTGCAACTTCTGCCTCCTAGATTCAAGCAATTCCCCTGACTCAGCCTCCCAAGTAGCTGGGATTACAGGCCTGTGCCACCATGCCCAGCTAATTTTTGTACTTTTAGTAAAGCGGGGTTTCACCACGTTGGCCTGACTGGTCTCTAACTCCTGACCTTAGGTGAACTGCCCGCCTCAGCCTCCTAAAGTGCTACATTACAGGCAAGAGCCACTACTCTCAGCCCATAAGCATTGTTTCTATCAGTTACTAATGGTTTCCCAACCATTAAATCCGTTACACATTTCTATTTTCCCCTCCCACCCCCGTGCTTTCCTTTTTAGAGAGACAGGATCTTGCTCTGTCACACAGGCTAGAGTTCAGTGGTGTGATCATCGCTGACTGCTGCCTTGATCTCCTGGGCTCAAGCGATCCTCCTGCCTTAGCCTCCCACAGTGCTGGGATTATAGCTGTGAGACACTGGGCCTCGCTTGTCATTATACACTTCTGTCCTTCCTTTATGGACAACACTGAGTTCTTCATAGACCTGCCTGAGTAGGTGTTCCTGCCTATGTGGCGTCTGCCTCATCAATCCCCAGGGCCCTCTTCTTGGCCTTTCCCTGCTCCTAGGGAGATCTTTCTCAGAATTCTTGCTTCACTTGCTCCAGAACTGCTGATATTCCTTAGGCTTTCGTCTTGGCCTCTCTTTTCACACCACATATGCTCTTGTGGGGTCCAATCCGTTTTCAAAGCTCTATCCCATAAGCAGACTCCCACCAGCACTTGCATTTCTGTCTCCAGCCCCACGCATTCCCTGAATGCCCACTAGACATCTCACAATGAGTGTGTCCAAAACTAAATTCCCATCAACCCTGCCTACCCATCATTAACTGAATGAGTGACACCACCTAAGAGTCATTTCAGCCTTCTCATGCTCTCTTTTACCTACCACTTCTGACTGATAGCCAGGCCCTGCTATTTATACTTCCTTTCAATAGTCTAGCTCAGTGGTTTCATCACAGACTCTGGAGTGAGACAGCCTGGACTCAAAGCCCAGCTTAGAAAGAAACTACTCATGTGGCCTTGGGGAGTTATTTAACCTCTCTGGACCTCAGATTTTATATCTATTAAATGTGCGAAATAAGGTTTCTACCTCTTAGGGTTGTCATGAGTCGTATTAATACATGTAAATCTCTTAGCACAATACCAGCATGGTAGCAGGTTCTATGTAAGTATTTCCTAGTATTAAAGTTAGTAATCAATAAAGTCTCCTATCCCCCATTGCCAAGCCACCATAATTTCTTGCCTAGACTGTCACAGTAGCTTCCTTCCTGGTCTCCCTATCTCCTAACATCTGGCCCACCGGATGAGGATGGGATATATTGTGCAACCCCAGCAGACATCATCCCATAGAATACAATGTAAATGGCACCTCCTTCCTCCCATCTTCCCTGCACCTACCTCACTTCTATTTTAAACATACACATTTCCTCATGTCAAACTTTTCAGATATTTTCCCTTCACCTTCCCACTAAAACTCCAACTCCACAGCAGACATCTGTTGATGTTGTCTCCAGGGGAAGTGGATTTAGGACTCATCAATGCAGGGATCAGAATTGAGCCTTTCAGAATGGAAGACAATGAAATTCATTGAGGGTTACTACTTGCAGGGCCTGTGCTAACTGCTCCTTAAATAACTTATGGAACAGATCTCATTTCTGCCCTACAGATGAATAAACAGAGACCTTGAGTAATTAGTTAACCGGCTTTGGGTTCCAGGGCTAATGAGTTGTGAATGAGAACAGATGAACATAGAAAAAAAAAATCTCGAGACAGTAGATAGTAAGGCAGTGTGCCTTGGATGTGCTGACAGATATCTAGATACAGCATAAAGAAAATGTGTGTTCATGAGAGTTCTTAATGGCAACAAGAGGTAGCATGATATCCATGAGAAATGGACATTTGTTGATGAGACTAACTAAACAAAGGAGACGGATTTCTGGGCATTTTTCAACACCTATTGCATGCAGGACACTGCACTAGGTCTTGTAAAAGACAAAGAGAAGATAGCATCAAGGGCCTAGGTCTTGAAGGAGGGCTGAGTACACTTTCACTAAGTGTACATTCTTGTGACATTTTTTTTTGATACACTGTTGTAAGCAAACTGCATGCATTATCTCATTCCATCCTCACAACAGCAACCCAAGAAGTCAAGTACTATCACTGTCCTTATTTTACAGATAGGGAAACTGGGCACAGAGATGTTAGGTAACTGGCTCAAGGTCACGCAGGCCACCTAGCTTGAGAATTAGTGCTCTTATCCACTCCATTATGCAACTTCTACTCACTAATTTTGAACTTCAGTGCCTGAGAACTACTAGATGATAGGTTCTCAATAAAAATTTGTTGAATCACTGAATTCATTTCTGCCCCATTTCACATCCATTTCTTTCCCAAGATTTCTTTCCCAGAGTTCTGTGTGAAGGACTGCATGAGAAATGGAGCAAGGGGCCTGATACTTTGGAAACTACAAACTTGAGAGATATGAATTATTGGGCCCAGAAACTCCTAATCTGAAGCTTAGCACCTCAGCTGCTTCTTTGTGTCAAAGTGATTTGGATCCTTCAGGCAAGGGTGGGTGATCACTCTTACTGATATAATTTCAAGCAACACAGCTTCTGATAGACTATGAATTTAAAAATAAGCAAATGAGGTGCAGTAGCTCACGCCTGAAATCCCAGCACTTTGGGAGGCCGACGTGGGCAGATCACCTGAGGTCAGGAGTTTGAGACTAGCCTGGGCAACATGGCAAAACCCCATCTACTAAAAATACAAAAATTAGCTGGGTGTGGTGGCAGGTGCCTGTGATCCCGGCTACTCGGGAGGCTGAGGTAGGAGAATTGCTTGAAACTGTGAGGTGGAGGTTGCAGTGAGCCGACAGCATGCCACTGCACTCTAGTCTGGGAGACACAGCGAGACTCCATCTCAAAAAAAAAAAAAAGAGAAAGAAAAGAAGCAAATGAACAAATAAATAAGGATGATGGATGGATAGGGAATGAATAGTGATATGGATTATAATAAAGTAAGAAAGTTTAGTAAAATATTAACTCTATCAATACAATTTACATGGTAGGTAATTGGTATTCACTGAAAATTCTTTCACCTTTGCTTTATGTTTTAGAAGTTTTATGACAAACTGCTGGGGAGGAAAAAGGGAGAGGGAAAAATTTTGTACTTCTGCTGATAACAGAGACCAGAAATACCACTGGCTTAAACAAAACAAGGGTTTTCTTGTTTTTTTTGTTTTGTTTTGTTTTGTTTTCATGTAAAATCAATTCAGGTGGTTGCAGTCCAGGGCTGATCTGGCACCTCAGAGGTGTCATTCATGCCCCAGACTGCTTCTGACTTCATTCTCTGCTGTCTCTGCATGTGGCTTCCAATGTCAAGGTTGCCTCATGGTCCCAGGAGGGCCGCTGCACCTCCAGGTCAAAAGCCTACATCGCAGGCAAGAGGAAGAGGAAGTACAGAGAGTGTACCCTCACACTCCCAGCTCTTTTGGCCCCTCCTTTGAAGGATCTCTTGGAGAAGCATAAGCCCACAGCTGTCACCTACAAAACACTGGTTCCAACTTTGTCCCTTGGTCTCTGCTATCTACCAGATGGAAAAGAACGTTGTAGTACCTAAGAAAATTAGGCCTTATCACCAAGAAGAAAGGGGGAATGCATGATGCAGAAGGGACCAGCCATCTCAATCAGATACTACACAGTCTAAATTCAAACATTTACAATATAATTAAATTGCATCAGCCCCAGTCACATCTTAGCCTTAGGAACTTCGATCATTGACTTGCAATCCCAGAAAGTCTGTTTTGAGGTCCTAGGCCACAGGAAGAACCAATTTGTTTTATAGACATCTTACAGAGACAGCATTCACAGTTTATCTAGAGTCTGGCCTCAGAGAATATGTACTCCACTGGCAGCAGGAGAAACAAATACACAGGAAAATACAGTGTAGCACAGAACAGGAGCTGAGGGTGAATGGAGATGCTCAGAAACACCTGCACTAAAAATTTGCTGAAAAAGGTAAAACGTGTCAAGCAGCACTGCCTCTGGAAGCCAGAAAAATTACATTTTTTGATAACAGATCCTAAGCCTGGATGCTGGAGGTGCTTAAAAATGTGCATTGTGGGCCGGGTGCAGTGGCTTAAGCCTGTAATCCTAGCACTTTGGGATCTGAGGAGGGAGGATCACTTGAGCTCAGGAGTTTGAGACCAGCCTGGCCAATATGGCAAAACCCTGTCTCTACTAAAAATACAAAAAGTAGCCGGGCATGGGGCGAGCACCTGTAATCCCAGTTATTCAGGAGCTGAGGCAGGAAAATCACTTGAACCTGGGAGGCGAAGGTTGCAGTGAGCCAAGATCCTGCAACTGCACTCCAACCTGGGTGACAGAGTGAAACTCCGTTTCAAAAAAAAAGTGCATTGTGTCTGGTTTTCTTTCCATTCATACGTTTATTTGACTCTGTAGTAAAATCTCCTCCTCCTCCATGTACCCATATTCATGCAAGCAAATGTTAGCAAACTGCCACAGTAGCATTTTAATTAGTGCTCATCTTTCTCTCTTCACCACATTAAAATCTTTTCCCATTGTGTTCTGCTGATATTTCTATTATGATAAAAGACTTAAGACAAGTGACTATATAGAAATACGTATATACACACAAGAATGAAAGAGATAAACAGTAAGGGAGGTAGGGCAGGAATTTTTCTTCAACGTGTACAATTCAATGTACTTTCAGTTTTCATTTCAGCCTTCCTCAGTGGTTTCTGCCCAGCAACTGATGAGAAACATCACCTCTGAGCCAATCAAAAAACTTATTCTTCCAAAGAGAGATTGTTATTATTCCTCACGATGACCCGACAGTCTCTGCTTTCTTTTTCCTTTCTTCCAGAAGGAGATTTAACCATAGTAGAAAGAATGGAGAACTATTAACTGCCTTTCTTCTGTGGGCTGTGATTTTCAGAGGGGAATGCTAAGAGGTGAGTGGGGGAAGTCGATTAGAGCCTGGTTCACAATGCCTGGGAGGACAGGGGCTGAATCGCTGAGAGTGGTGAGTGGGCATGCAGGGAGAGTACTCACCCAGAGAAAGGGGTGTGTGCCTGAGGGGGTGCGCACGCACACATGTGGACACATGGAAAGGGGAGAAGTAGTGCAAAGAATAAAGACCTGCAGAGTTTGGGATTTGGTGAAGAAATAGTCTAATTGCATGTTCTTAAGAACGTATTGTAGTCAGAAAAGGGCAAACAATCTTTAAAATCTGTTCTGGACAACTCAAGGCATCTATTCTAAGAGATTCTAAAAAGAGGTGTCCTTTATAGATTCATATGTAAATTTGTTCATTACAGAAGTATTAAAAATGTAGAAAAACCTGAACCAGCATACATATACAACAGGCGGGGGATAGACAAACAATGCATGGTTCAATCATAAAAGAGATTTCCATGCAGCCTTTAGGAATCGTGTTTTTAATGAAGGGCAATTATTTATAATTTTAGCAATGTTAGATCCATACATTAAACCTTGTTTTAAAATCTTTTAGGAACAGTATGTGTTTTTCCTTTTATTCATCATTTCCCCCAAACCTAACGAATGCTATCCAATGGATACAATCTATTTCATTGTATGAATATACAATTTTTTTGTTTGTTTTGAGATGCAGTCTTGCTCTATCACCCAGGCTGGAGTGCAGTGGCATGTTCTCGGCTTACTGCAGCCTCTGCTTCCTGGGTTCCAGTGATTCTCCTGCCTCAGTCTCCTGGGTAGCTGAGATTACAGGTGCACGCCACCACACCCAGCTAGTTTTTGTATTTTTAGTAGATTCGGAGTTTCGCCATATTGTCTAGGCTGGTCTCAAACTCCTGACCTCAGGTGATCTGCCCACCTCAGCCTCCCAAAGAGCTGGGATTACAGGCGTGAGCCACCACACCCAGCCTTTAAAATTATTTTTAAACACTTCCCTAGTTTGGACTATTTCTCTTTTCTGCATTTGGCTATTGTAGATTTTACTGTATTGAGCAGCCTAAAACATAAATTTTTGTCTTAGTTCCTGATTTTCTTTTTTCTGCAACACTAATTCCTACAAGTGGAACATTTGGGTCAAAGCACACACCTTTTTTTTTTCTTTTAATAGCCATTCCTTAGCAAAGCATATAACTTTTTTTAAGGCCCTTTATATATATATGGTCAAAATACTTCCAGAAATATTTACCTTTTCACTACCAAAGTATATGACTACTACTATAGATATTTTATTTTATTTATTGATTGATTTGTAGAGATGGGGTTTCATTATGTTGACCAGGCTGGTCTTGAATTCCTGGGCTCCAGGGATCCTCCCATCTCAACTTCCCAAATTGCAAGGATTACAGGCATGAACCACTACTTAAACTTGTATTCCTTTATGCTTTTTTTCATTTGCAATATTGACTATAATCAGGAAAAAAAATATATCCTTTATGAAGAAGAAAAACTTATGTCTCATTCTAAGGACAGCAGAGAAATTGTTAACTCAGGGAAAATGATAATAAAAATGATACCCCCTCTATAGCAACATAAAGAGCAGTTTCGAGGAGCAAAAGATGTGGTGAAATGCATTGTTTACTCTGGGTGGGTGCAAGATCCAGGCAGGGGTGAAGCATGGCCGGCTGCACAGATCTCTGTTCTCTTGTTTCCTTTACATCCCTCCCCACCTCCCTCTGCAGATCTTGTTCTCAGAGGCCATTCCCAGACCCACAGCAAGAGGGATTATGGCTGCAGGCCTCATGCTCCTTTGTTTTGGAAGAAACTGTTGAGGAGTTAGTATTTACTGAGCAGCTAATATGTTCCCGTCACTATTGTAACTCATAATAATTATTGTTAAGTAATACACGAAAAGTTTTAAATTTAAAGCATTCCAATATTTTAAAAGTAAAGGGAACAAAAGGCCAAGTGTCCCTTCACTCACTAACCTCTGATCTTCAGATTAGCATGCGTCTTTTTTGAGTTTTTCAGGCATTTACATAAATAGTTATGCAGAAATGGATAGCTTTGCTTCTGTTCTTCAATTGAATCTTTAGTATAGTTGTGCAAGGTGTTTTTTGATCACTTAGTGTGTCTCCGTTATCTAGGTTCATGACAACAAATCAACTCTTTTTACCTGCTGCATTGAATTCCCTCCGAGGGATGAGCCGTCATTCCTCTAAGCAGTCTCCTGATGGGTGGCTGGTTCAGTTGGTTACCATTTTTATACTTTAAAAATAGTGCTGCAGTGTCATTCTCACAGAGGCTTCTGTCTGCACCCATGCAAGTACTTTGCTCGACTTGACATCAGGAAGTGGAACTGCTGGGCCAACTGTGCAATTCTAAATTTCACACTTCATGATATTGTATAAGTAAATAAAGTTGCAATGGTTTTGTCCCATGTCTGAGACCAAAGAGCTTGTGAATCTTAGAGCCTTTACTTATTGCTTACCCTCTTTGTGTCCCTAACCCTTATATCATGGGCCTGGCCCCTTGTGGGTGCTTGGTAAATATTTGTTGAATGACTTTATGAAGGGAAGAAAGAAAAGGTAAGTAAGGCCTGGTCTTATTTGCAGCTCTGTGATCACTAGCCTTGGATTAAATGTGGTGGGTTCAGCCCCTGACTGACTTCAGGTCCCCCACCAAGCAGTCTTCCTTAATCCTACCAGGAGTCCACTAGGCCATGAGTTGACCATGGTGATGGCCAAGAGTTGGGGCTTTGAGGAGTCCACAGTGTGGGACACCCACAGCGGTCGACCCCGGTGGAACCAGGGAGCCCAGTGAAGAGTGTCCTGCATGAATCAGAGGGGGATTGTGGTGGGTTGGACTTGGCAGGGGAAGTTTGGGGAAGTCATAGGATTCTGAATATTGTTAAACAGTACAGTGAGGATTTTCTGATCGAATAACAGATGTGCATTTCACATAGACATGTTTTTACAGGTGATTTTCAATGTTGGGACTCAAAGGTGAAGACACTGAAGGACAGAATTTTTGGCAGAGGAAAGATCTTCTTCGGTCACCATACTTGAGTTAGCTCTAGGGAAGTGGAGGTTTCCATTTGGAATTCTATAGCTTCTTCCAGGTCATAGTGTCTGCCCCCCACCTTCCAGTATCTCCTGATATGCAGCATGAATGAAAATGGCAAGTTTCCTGGCCTTCCTTCTGCTCAACTTTCGTGTCTGCCTCCTTTTGCTTCAGCTGCTCATGCCTCACTCAGGTAGGGAACAATTCCACGCTTGTTTCTGAAGCAGACAATTACCTAATTATGTCCTCATAGGACTTTTGACTCCTTCCCAAACCTGAAGTCCATCCCGATCTGAAGGTTCACCCGTCACTAAGAGACAAATGGTGCTTCTGTTAAGATCAGTTTCCCCCACCAGTTTCTTTGTATCTCGCCTTCCCTGTCTGAGAAGCACCCTTCCTCTCATGACCCCAACTCCAAAACCCTCTGACAGATCCTCCCCCTTGTGCCTACAGCTCAGTTTTCTGTGCTTGGACCCTCTGGGCCCATCCTGGCCATGGTGGGTGAAGACGCTGATCTGCCCTGTCACCTGTTCCCGACCATGAGTGCAGAGACCATGGAGCTGAAGTGGGTGAGTTCCAGCCTAAGGCAGGTGGTGAACGTGTATGCAGATGGAAAGGAAGTGGAAGACAGGCAGAGTGCACCGTATCGAGGGAGAACTTCGATTCTGCGGGATGGCATCACTGCAGGGAAGGCTGCTCTCCGAATACACAACGTCACAGCCTCTGACAGTGGAAAGTACTTGTGTTATTTCCAAGATGGTGACTTCTATGAAAAAGCCCTGGTGGAGCTGAAGGTTGCAGGTGAGCCTCCAGGTTTTGTTCTGAGAACATTTCTCTGTAGGATCTAGAGCAGATGCAGAGTCCCTCTTGCAAAAGCACTGCAGACACTCCTGGCTGCTCACTAGCAATTGCCTGCACTGCCTCCCAACTTAGCTTCTCTGAGGCCCTTGAGTAAGACACAGGTTTTCCTTTAGGAAGAATTCCTGCTGTACCCTACATGCTCAAGTAAAGAACTCCTTTCCTCTGGCCACCAGAGATATAAGGGAAGTGAAGGACAAGGGATAGAAAGCATAAGAAATCATCTCTTCAGTGACTAGTACACAGTCATTCGTGTTTAGTTCTGTACTGGATGGCTTCTGTGGCTCCACTAGGTACATGCTATTGTGGGCCCTAGAAGACTGGGCTATCTGGACTGTATCTGCTGCCAATGTTCTTGAGCCAATGACCCTAGAATACACCTGTAGTCATGGGAGCTGTGTTTCTTACTTGTTGCAGTGAGGAAGAACACATATCATGGGGAGCTGTGGTGGAGTCTCAGTAAGAAGCTGTTAGAGCAGACTTAGTATATAATTTGGGCTTGTGTTAGGGGATTTGGGAGGAGGGTTTATAGACTTTGGCCTCTGCTCTGGATGAGACACTGCTAGGAAGGTGTGGGCAGGTTAATTCTATGAGTGAGAACCTTAATCAATCTTATCTAGGAAGAAAGAGACCAGGGTGAGACTAAAGCTGTAATTGATGAAGGGACAGCAATCCCTCATTGCTGATGGGGGTTGTTTGGTCACTGCTGTGGTTTGGACAATGTTCATGTTTTTCTCTGTGCTCACACATGATGTGGGGTGGTCTTGTTTTTCCCATGATCCATCATAGTCACAAAGTGCCATCATCTGATGCTGGTGTTCTGTGAAATTGCTTTTGTTCAACAGGAGGACACTGAGTCCTGTTGCTGCTTCCAGATAAAGGGACTGCTCTTTTCTTTCTTAGTGCAATGCTTTTCCCTGTGGCTTCTGTTTAAGGGTTTGGTCAGCAGGGATCTGTAGCAGACGATGAAGGGAGGGAGAGAAAAGAGAGATCTGGGTGCTTAGTCCCTGGCTTCCTTCCTGCAAGTTACCCTCAGGCTGGCTGCATTGCCTTGCTGAAGGTCATTGCCCCTCTCAAGAAAGTCCTTAATGCATAAATCTCTTCTTTTGTGTCTTCAAAACAGCTCCCTCTCCTCCTCCCTCTGGTAACTGTGGTGGGTGGGAATAGCCCCACTGTTACTGACCCTGGGATACTGCACTCATTCATGTAGCTTTCTCCTCACTAGGACCACACTTTTGTAAGCAGCTCTAAAATGAAATTGTTCTTGAATTATGGAATGTGAGTGTGCCATGATTCCTTTTGAGACCCTCTCTGATACAGGCCTCTCAAGAATTTAGGCTAATTCATCCTTCCACAGCACTGGGTTCTGATCTTCACGTTGATGTGAAGGGTTACAAGGATGGAGGGATCCATCTGGAGTGCAGGTCCACTGGCTGGTACCCCCAACCCCAAATACAGTGGAGCAACAACAAGGGAGAGAACATCCCGACTGTGGAAGCACCTGTGGTTGCAGACGGAGTGGGCCTGTATGCAGTAGCAGCATCTGTGATCATGAGAGGCAGCTCTGGGGAGGGTGTATCCTGTACCATCAGAAGTTCCCTCCTCGGCCTGGAAAAGACAGCCAGCATTTCCATCGCAGGTCAGTACCTGCTTGGCCTCAGGTTTTCTGAGCTGGGCTGTGGCAGTTGAATGAAGGGGGAGGTGTTAGTGTCTGCAGTCAACCTGGGTCTCTGCACTGAATATAAGGCCCAAAGCACAGACCTGGAGGCTCCTCCTTGCACCGGGGGAGCTTCTCTTCTCCATAAAGCTGTTCATGACGCAAACATTTACTGAACATTTCCTGTCTGCCAGAAGTATAACAGTAATTGGAATTAGGGGATAATTGTTAAGATAAGCTGCGTATGTAAAGTCAAATGACAAAAGGGGAAAGCATATATATATATATACAAACTCATAGAGAAAGAGCCAATCTCCTTGAGACAGAAGATTTTAAAAACTGAGTAAAAAATTTTAACAAAGGTCATAAATTATTTAATTTACAGAAAAGGAAATAACTCACAAAAGAGTGTTCGTTCTCATTCATTAGAGAAACATACTGAATCATTTTTCACTTATGGTATTGGCAAAAATCAAAACAAACATCTGTTGGTTGATAACACATGGTTATGGCAGGAATGTAGGAAGGCTGTGACTCCTAGGCATCTGCTGGGATGACTTGTATTTTTGGTGTGCATTAGCACAACCTCTGTTGGGGGCTATATAACAATATCTATCCAAACTACATCTTTAGTGATCCAAAATTCCGCTTCTGGGAATTTATTTGGTAGATAAGCTTGCATTTGTATGAGATGATCCATGTAAAAAGTTATTTTTTATAGCACTGATTATGACTGCACAAGGTTGGAAACTATGCAGATGTTCACTGCTGGAGAACTTTCATGCAATGGATACCACTCAACTGTGAAAGAAAAAAGAGATAATTCTCTCTATAGTGAAGTGGAAAAACCTCCAAGATTAACTTTGCACAGAAAGAGCAAAATGCAGAGTGGTGTGTATGGAATGCTATCTTTAGTGCAAATAAGAGGAAAAACAAGAATATATTTTTATTTACATTTTTTTAAGTTAACAAGTAATGTCATAACACTCACTAGGTGTCAGGCACTTTATAAGTATTAATTTAATCCTTCTAACTTCAGGAGAAGGGCAGTAGGAACAGAGAGGTTAAGTAATTAGTCTAAAGTCACACTGCAAGTCACCTAAAGGAGCCAGCATTGACACCCAGGGCCTCCAGCTCCAAAGTTCCTGTTCTTAAGCATCATATTAAGCAGACTAATTTGAAGTTAAGAAAGGGAGGGTGGGAGGGAGGACTGGGTGGATGGGAGACTTACGTGACTTTTTATACATGTATTTTAGAACCATGTACATGTGTTACCTATTAAAAAGTTGAATTAGAAAAAAATATGTTTGATATCCTCAAGTCACTCACTTTCCACATGAGAGGCAGACGTCTCAAGAGAAGTAATAGTAGCAGCCTCTAGTGGGGGTTTATCAAAGTCTTACCCACTGTCCTCTGAGATTTTAGCATGAGAAAGATTATTTAACCTCATGAGATAGATTCCGTGCCCTGTGACCTGGGGTGAGCAGCTAACACTTGGGGCGCTGCAGTCTGGGGAGGCTGAGTGCACCGGCCCCCATGACCCACAGCCGTTGCCTTCACAGACCCCTTCTTCAGGAGCGCCCAGAGGTGGATCGCCGCCCTGGCAGGGACCCTGCCTGTCTTGCTGCTGCTTCTTGGGGGAGCCGGTTACTTCCTGTGGCAACAGCAGGAGGAAAAAAAGACTCAGTTCAGAAAGAAAAAGAGAGAGCAAGAGTTGAGAGAAATGGCATGGAGCACAATGAAGCAAGAACAAAGCACAAGAGGTAGCTGACCTTGGGAGTTTATCTGAGCCCCTGGCTTACGGGCCAAAGCCCAAAGACCTCACGCCCATCCCCACCGCAGAGCTCAGTTGCTTTTAAGGTTAATTTTTTAGAAAACCCCCTCACCTGTAACAGTTCATTATTATTTCTGCTTATTTTCCAGTGAAGCTCCTGGAGGAACTCAGTAAGTTCCCATTCCCCCAGAGACCCAGGCATGTCTTCCTGTCCCTGCTTTATGCGCCTTGATGCATCTTCCCCTGTTCCTTCCGTTGCAGGATGGAGAAGTATCCAGTATGCATCTCGTAAGTGCCTCTGACATTTTCTCTGAATTTGAATCTATAACTGTCTGTGCTTGAATAGTTTCCACTCTTAACTCTTTCCCCAAGGTTGGGAAGTGGTCTTAGATCCCTTTGACTAAGGAAAGAAAATAGATGTGCCAATTCCTAGTCATTGCCAAAAAGAAAAAAAAAAAAAGGAAAGAGAAGAAAGGAAAAAAGAAAGAGTGTGGCTGATTGGAGTAACACCCAGGAGGAGTGTTTCTTTCTCCCTCTCTTTCTCTTTCTCAGCTGGTCTCGAAGAAAAGATGCCTTCAATTTATCTCTACCAGGGGCCACAGACTCTATAGCCCTGCAAAGCACTGAGGAATATCCAGGGGCACATTTGTAAAGGAAGGGGGAAGAGGTAGATGAAGTGCATTCTCTATGGCAGGAACTTCACTAGTCATTTTACATAATCTATAGGCTCCAGAGAAGAAAAAGAATAAAAGATAATAAAGAACAAGAAAATCTGAAAAGAGAGAGGGAGAAAAGTGTGTCTAATAAACAAAAGTGGCCTGAACAGTCGCTCAGTTGGTACCAATTTATTCTAACTGACTTCAAACACTAGTCCCTGAAATTGCTCATTAAATTTCCCAAATTCTTTTCAGAGTAAGGTACGAAATTAGATTGATATAGAAGGATCTTGCAAACACACACACACACATACACACATTTAAATATATATATACACATATATACATATATACACATATATATGTGCATATATATGTATATATATATGTGTATATATATATGTGCATATAGACATGGAGACACCTATGCCCAGGTACAGGTATATAGATACATTCCAAATAGATCAGCTGAACACCATCAGGAAGGAACTCTCGCAATGTCTGCCATGTCACTAGCATTCGACTGATGTTCCTGGATTTGATACTAAGAACAACACAATAGAAAGAATTGAACCTGCAGAGGAGGAAGATACAGGTGGTAAAAAAAAAAAAAAAAAAAAAAAGATTAGATGGATGTAAAGTTAAGGGAATGGGGCCAAATCAAAAATGGCAAGTTCAGGTGACATCTCTATCTTTTTTTCATTGTAGGGGGAGAGAGACATTCAGCCTATAATGGTGAGTGAACCTGATGCTCTCTGAGTTTGCTGGGACACGTGCCATGAACATTTCAACCTTTTCTCTGCTGTGACCCATTGATGTTCTCATTTGCATGAATCAGATTTAACCCAAAGACTCAATTTGTGTGTTGTGGGGGGTTGATTTCTGCTTTTCTGGAGAATCAGAGAGACTCCTGACCCTGCACACCCCCTTGCAAAGCCTGGCCTTGCAGCCTGTACCCTTCATTGCAGAGGGAACAGAGCTCACCATTTTTGAGAAGGTACCACCCCTGATCCATCAGAGCTGTAGAAGAGGGAGGCTGGACCCTGGAAGAGACTCTGAAGAAAAGGAGAGAAAACATGTAGTGAGGGGAGAGTGCAGTGGGGAAAAGTACAAGAATACTGACCTTTTCCTTATCTGTGTCTCCTTCCTTTCAGAATGGAAAAAGGCCCTCTTCAAGCCTGGTGAGTAAATCACTGTGTGTTCCCTGGACCAACAACCTGAGGGACTATATTCCTTTTTCCTTTTTACTTCTCCAACTGTTGTGATTTGGGGAAGAAAAGCTCCCATGACTAGGAGAATTTGGGGTAGGCAACATTAAATTCCAATCTGAAAAGTGGGCCCATCTCCAAGACCCTTTCTGCTGAGAGCCCAGGGAACCAGGGCGAATAGATCTCTTGCACTTCCTCAGACCTTCCTGGGAAGGAAGACATATAAAGGGTGGATCTGAGGGGAAGGAGACACACACTGAGTAATACTGCAGGGAGAGTGAGGATGGAAATGCCAAGGAAAGGAGGCGATGCCTGCCCAAAGAACTTAGTCCTTCCCAGACTTCTCATGCCACCTACTGTCAGTGCCTTCTCAAAAAAACTTAATGCTTCTGAGCTTTGGCCTCCACATATTTAGGTGATGATTTCAATCTGTGTTTGTGGGGGTTGAGGTGAAGACTGAAGGAATAATAAATATCCATTGGTCAAAAACCTTAAGAAGGAGATGATGAGTTCAAACTGCGTGGTTGAAGGTTTGCAGAAAGGAGGGTTAAGGGAAAGCAACAAGGAAAAGTGCAGTGCCCCCATGGTTCCCAACAGTGGGGAGCTGTCTCCACTCCTACACTGGGACGGCTAGGGAGGGGAGGCAGTTACTGGAACCCAGAATAAGAAGTAGCTCAAAGAGAGGGCTCCCTGAGAAGAGTCTTCAGGCCTTGTTAGAGCAGCAGCAGCTGCTGCTGGCAGGGAGGAAGCAGGAAATTAAACGGTGTGTCTCTCCTTTCTTTCTCCTTCCAATCTCCTATCAGGGCCTCCCATTGGCCAAACCCAACAGCAAACCAGAGGACAAGGGAGCCCAGTGGCACTGTCTCAGGAATCTGCCCAGAGGACAGATTCCTGGGGCCCAGAAGAGGGTGGAGAAAGCTGAAGGGTGGAGAGTGAATCTAGGGCATATAAGGCACCACATAGAGCCCAGCACAGAGACGGCCTTGCAGCTATCAGGAAGATGAGGAGCTTCCTTCATGGCCTGCTGTGGGCTGAGTAAATAACATGATTGCCTTCTACAGCGCTAGAGATTCATTTGTTTATCCCCATTTTTCAGGTGAGGAAATGCTTCAGATGAGGCTCCACTTTGTTAAATAAATTGGATGTATGGAAAAATAGACTGCAGAAAAGGGGAACTCATTTAGCTCATGAGTGGTCGAATGAAGGTTGAAAATTAACCTCTGAGTATAAAGCATTAGTGGGCAGAGTGAATATGGGGAGGGAAACAAGAAAAACGTAGAAAGGATCCTTGCTGCTTCCTGAGGCCGCGTCAGGGTATTGGGTTAGGCAGAGATGCTGAGGCAACCCTCATTTCACCCTCCTCTTCCCCTCTGGACACAAGATACCTGATACCTGGGGCTTTCTCTCCTGACATCGATGAGAGAGTCACATTTAGGGCAGACTAGGGACACCAGGCTTTGGACTCAGACCTCCTCAGCATGGCCCAGGCCTTGCATGCTGAGGCTCTGAAATCCAGGAAAAATGGTTGACCTCATGGACACTTCCTCAAACTCTCTGCAGCGGATGTGATTCTGGATCCAAAAACAGCAAACCCCATCCTCCTTGTTTCTGAGGACCAGAGGAGTGTGCAGCGTGCCAAGGAGCCCCAGGATCTGCCAGACAACCCTGAGAGATTTAATTGGCATTATTGTGTTCTCGGCTGTGAGAGCTTCATATCAGGGAGACATTACTGGGAGGTGGAGGTAGGGGACAGGAAAGAGTGGCATATAGGGGTGTGCAGTAAGAATGTGCAGAGAAAAGGCTGGGTCAAAATGACACCTGAGAATGGATTCTGGACTATGGGGCTGACTGATGGGAATAAGTATCGGACTCTAACTGAGCCCAGAACCAACCTGAAACTTCCTAAGCCCCCTAAGAAAGTGGGGGTCTTCCTGGACTATGAGACTGGAGATATCTCATTCTACAATGCTGTGGATGGATCGCATATTCATACTTTCCTGGACGTCTCCTTCTCTGAGGCTCTATATCCTGTTTTCAGAATTTTGACCTTGGAGCCCACGGCCCTGACTATTTGTCCAGCGTGAAAAGAAGAAGAGAGTTCCTCCAATTCTGACCGAGTGCTGATCATTCCCTAGAGACACCAGTAACCCCGGGCTTAGCTAACGAAAGTGGGGAGCCTCAGGCTGAAGTAACTTTTCTCTGCTTCTCCCTGCCCAGCTCAGAGCTGAGGGCCTCCCCCTCCACAGCAACCAATCACAACCATAAAGCTACAAGCACGCACTGAAGCACTTTACTGATACTCATTCAATTATTCATATGACAGTTGTTTGAGTTTGGTACCATCTTATTTTCCCCTTATACAGATAAGGAAACTGGGGTGCAGAAAAGTGAATTGACTACAAAGTAGACATGACTAGTTAACAACACAGCTGGGATCTAAACAGCAATAACTAACATTAATGGAGAACTTAAAATGCTCTGAGTGCTGTGTTATGAGCTTTGGTGGATGTCACTCCTTTAATCCTCGCAACACCCTGTCGGGTAGTCTCATTTAGCAAGTATGGAAGTTGAGGCAGGGCAACATTAAGCAACTTACATAACTCATGCAGTAATTTCTGCAGTTGGGAGATGTTCAGCTTCAGTCCCCGGCCCTATGGCCGTTCTTTTCCACCCTGTTTCTTCCCCCATAGGAAGAACCCACCTGTAGCCCTGAGGTTCTTTTCCCAGGATGGCTCCAGGATAAGGATCACTGTAGGTGGTTGTGGAGTTGACACCCCTGTTGACTCCTTCCCAGCTGATTGTCAGAGCCTTAGACCCAGCACGCCTTGGATTAGCTCTGCAGAGTGTCTTGGTTGAGAGAATAACCTCACCGTACCCACATGACACGTGATTTGGAAAGAGACTAGAGGCCACACTTGATAAATCATGGGGAACAGATGTGTTCCACCCAACAAATGTGATAAGTGATCATGCAGCCAGAGCCAGCCTTCCTTCAATCAAGGTTTCCAGGCAGAGCAAATACCCTAGAGATTCTCTGTGATATAGGAAATTTGGATGAAGGGAGCTAGAAGAAATACAGGGATTTTTTTTTTTTTTTAAGATGGAGTCTTACTCTGTTGCTAGGCTGGAGTGCAGTGGTGCGATCTCAGCTCCCTGCAACCTCCACCTCCTGGGTTCAAACAATTCTCCTGCCTCAGCCTCCCGAGTACTGGGAATATAGGTGCACGCCACCACACCCAACAAATTTTTGTACTTTTAGTACAGATGAGGGTTCACTATGTTGGCCAGGATGGTCTCGATCTCTTGACCTCATGATCCACCCACCTCGGTCTCCCAAAGTGCTGGGATTACAGGCTTGAGCCACCGGGTGACCGGCTTACAGGGATATTTTTAATCCCGTTATGGACTCTGTCTCCAGGAGAGGGGTCTATCCACCCCTGCTCATTGGTGGATGTTAAACCAATATTCCTTTCAACTGCTGCCTGCTAGGGAAAAACTACTCCTCATTATCATCATTATTATTGCTCTCCACTGTATCCCCTCTACCTGGCATGTGCTTGTCAAGTTCTAGTTGTTCAATAAATTTGTTAATAATGCTGACTCTTCAACTTGGCTTTTTCTAGACTCTAATAAGTCTACTCGGCACAGTAGAATAGTCCACACACCCACTGTACTCCCCACAGTTTCAGTTTACCTCATTGCAGTGTTTTCACAAAACCTTTATTGTATGTGTTTTCTACTGCTGCTATGATGAATTAGCACAAATTCTTAGACTTAAAGCAACACAAGTTTTTGGTTCAAAGTTCTATAGGTCAGAAGTCCAACAGGGATCTCACCAGACTAAGATCAATGTGTCTGCATGCTGGATTCTTTTCTGGAGGCTCTAGAGAGCAATATGTTTTCTTGTTTATTCAGATTGCTGGCAGAATTCAATTTTTGCAATTACAAGACAGAGGTCCCAGTTGCTTACTGATTTACAGCTGAAGGCTGTTCCCATCCCTAGAGGCTGCTGTTTTTTGGCTCGCAGCTCCCTTCTTCAGTCTTCAAAGCAGCAATTATGCATTGAGGACTTGTCAATCTTTGAAGTTTTTCTGGTTCTTTTTCCATTGCACCTCTCTGATTCTTCTGCCTTCTACTTTTGAGAACTCCTGTGATTCGATTAAGTCCACCCAGATAATTTAGAATAATCACTAAATTTTAAGGTCCATAACCTTAATTCTATAAGGTCCATTTTGCCATGTTATATATCATTGTCACATGTTTCACAGTAAACATCACTAGGTGTGTATGGAGGGAAGAGCACTATTGAAGCTACCACTTATTTGGGAAATCATCCCAGGAAACACAAGTGCAGAAATAGTGAATCACAGAAGGGGGAAAGCCAGTTGTGTGAGGAATGGCACAAAGAGGTCATTAATGAGTCACCATATGGACAACTCGGCTTGTCCCACCCAGGACACTGTAAGAAACTATATGAAATTGTGGAATATATGTCAGAATCTTCCTAAGGGCTGGGGACCCTTGTACATTTATCAACACCTCCCATCCTCTTTTGCTTAAATCGGTTGAAGGTTGCCCCTGGGAATGTTAGTTCTGCTGTACTTCAAGGTTGGGTTGTGCATCTGCAGAAAAAAAAGCAAATATCACTGGTGTTAGAGAAAGCGGAGGAGGAGAGACACAAATAACTGAGGTCAGACATTGTTATCCTTGAAGGAAACTGTGTTCCTCCACTATTGGCAAATTGTAATAGGCCAAGAGAATATGGAATGGGGCATCAACCGCATCTGTTCTAAGGGCTCTGCTTCTGAGAATATAATCAATGCCTTTCAAGGTCCCTCTGCCCTCCCTGCACCACATTCATTTAGCATTAGTGACCTCTTGTGTTCCAATACATGTCTGTATAGCATGGCCCTGCAGCCTCACCACATGGACTGGGTCTGGGATGGACACCTGACCCAGGCTAGGGCAGAGGACCTTCAAGTGACATGTGACTAGCTACACCTGTAGCAGGTGTGCATGGGAGTTGTGGGAAGAACTCTTCCACTCACATTATGGTCCAAAAGAGGAGAAGAAGTTGAACTGCAGAAACAGAACACCAAAGAACATGTGCAGAGAGGAAACTTGAAGATGGAAGCAGTTTGGGCAATTTTCTCATCTTTTTTTCCCTTGAGGTCCCAGTATCATTCTAGCATGTTCTGGGCAATTTGTTCTCTTGAGACAAGGTAAATATATTGACTAATATTGTTGAAGTATGGAAAATTAGCAACTTGCACAACCATTGCACTATGCTCATTGATTCTGTGAGTCGGAATCTGGAATATGTAAGGGGCAAAGTAGGAATGGTTTTTCTCTTCAACAAAAAGTCTGGGCCTCCCCTGGAAGGACTCCATAGCTAGAGGTGACTCAAAAAAAGAGACATGCCCAAATTGCCGTCAAAAATTGAAACTCATTTGCAAAGCAAAAAGGGATCAGTGTTCAGTCTGGGTCCTGGTTTTCCCAGGGGTCCCATGTACACCAGATCCACAGAGAACCTTGCTGAAGTGACGCTTCCTCTGTGCTTATCCCTCCCATGACAGGGAATGATTGTGTCAGGCTGTCACTATCTAATGTGGCACACTCCAGTAGAACCTGGTGTATTAGTCTGTTTTCACACTGCTATGAATGACTGCCGGAGACTGGGTAATTTATAAAGGAAAGAGATATAATTGACTCACAGTTCTGCCTGGCTGGGGAGGCCTTAGGAAACTTACAATAATGGTGACAGGGGAAGCAAACATGTCCTTCTTCACATGATGGCAGGAAGGGTGAGTGCTGAGCAAAAGAGGAAAAAGCCCCTTATAAAACCATCAGATTTTGTGAGAACTCACTATCACAAGAAGAACAAGGAGGTAAACACTGCCAAGATTCCCAGCCCATGACACCTCACACTGGTTCCCTCCCATGACATGTGGGAATTATGGGAACTATCATTCCAGATGAGATTTGGGTGGGGATACAGCCAAACCATATCATTCCGCCCCTGGCCCCTCCCAAGTCTTATGTCCTCACATTTCAAAACACAATCATGCCTTTCCAACAGTCCCCCAAAATCTTAATTCATTCTAGCATTAACCTAAAGTCCAAGTCCAAAGTCTCATCTGAGGTAAGGTAAGTCCCTTTCCCTTATGAACCTGAAAAATCAAAAGCAGATTAGTTACTTCCTAGATACAATGTGGGTGCAGGCATTGGGTGAATACACCCATTCCAAATGGGAGAAACTGGCCAAAACAAAAGGGCTATGGGCCCCATACAAGATCAAAATCCAATAGGACAGTCATTAAACTTTAAATTCCCAAAATAATCTCTTTTGACTCCATGTCTCACATCCAGGTCACACTGAGGTAAGAGGTAGGCTCCCATGGCCTTAGGCAGCTCCACCCCTATGGCTTTGCAGGATACAGCCCCCCTCCCAGCTGCTTTCACAGGCTGGCATTGAGTGTCTGCTGCTTTTCCAGGTGCAAAGTACAAGCTGTCAGTGGATTACCATTCTGGAATCTGGAGGATGATGGCCCTCTTTTCATAGCTCCACTGGGCAGTGCCCCAGTGGGGCCTCTGTGTGGGGGCTCTAACCCCACATTTCTGTTCCAAACTGCCCTCGCAGAGGTTCTCCATGAGGGCTCTGCTCCTGCAGCAAACTTCTGCCTGGACATCCAGCTGTTTCCATACATCCTCTGAAATCTTGGCAGAGGTTCCCAAACCTCAATTCTTGACTTCTGTGTACCTGCAGACCCAACACTATGTGAAAGCCACCAAGGCTTGGCACTCGTACCCTCAGAAGCAACAGTCTGAGCTATACATTGGCCTCTCTTAGCCATAGCTGGAGCTGAATCAGCTGGAACTGAGGGCACCAAATCCCTAGGCTGCACAGAGCACTGGGGGACCCTGGCCCCAGCCTAGGAAACCATTTTTTCTCCCAGACCTCTGGATCTGTGATGGAAGGGTCTACCAGGAAAACCTCTGACAGGCCCTAGGGGCATTTTCCCCATAGTCTTGGTGATTAACATTTGATTCCTTGTTACTTATGCAAATTTCTGCAGCCAGCTTGCCTTTCTCCTCAGAAAATGGATTTTTCTTTTTTATCAAATCATCAGGCTGCAAATTTTTCAAACTTTTATGCTCTGCTTCCTCCATCACTGTGAAGCCATTGCTAGTGTATTACTTGCAAGGTTTTGGATTGAAGTGAAAGGGAATTGTAGGCTTCCAGGCGAAGCATTTAGACATTTGAGGGGAATATTGACAATAGTTGCCACTTAGAAATTTCTTTCGCCAGATACCCCAAATCGTCACTCTGAAGTTCAAAGTTCCACAGAACTCTAGGGCAGGGACAAATGCCACCAGTCTTTTGTGCATAGCAAGAGTGACCTTTACTCCATTTCCCAACAAGTTCCTCATCTCTATCTGAGACTACCTCAGCCTAGACTTCATTGTCCATATCACTATCAGCATTTTGGTTAAAGCCATTCAACAAGTCTCTAGGAAGTTCCAAACTTTCTCACATTTTCCTGTCTTCTTCTGAGCCCTCCAAACTGTTCCAACCTCTGCCTGTTACCCAGTTTCAAAGTCACTTCCACATTTTCGGGTATCCTCATAACAGCACCCCACACTACTGGTACCAATATACTGTATTAGTCTGTTCTCATGCTAGTATGAAGGACTGGGTAATGTATAAAGGAAAGAGGTGTAATTAACTCACAGTACCATGGCTGGAAAGGCCTCAGGAAACTTACAATCATGGCAGAAGTGGAAGCAAACACGTCCTTCTTCACATGATGGCAGGAAGAAGAAGTGCTGAGCAAAAGGGGGGAAAGTCCCTTATAAAATCATCAGATATCCTGAGAACTCACTATTATGAGAACAGCATGGAGGTAACTGCTCCCATGATTGCCCCCATGCCAAACCATATCACCTGGTTTCTTGCTAAGCTACCTGATGAGCAATAAACCCTCTTGTTGCCTAGAACACACATATTTCCGAATGGCTCAGGTCAACTTTGGCAGAGGGTGAAACCTGGCTTAGCTGGATACTTCTGGCACAAGCTGCTTCAGAAGCCCTGGACATTATATCTTCAGATAAAAAAACTGAAGCCAGATCTTAGCCTGAGTTTTGTATACTTACAGTGTCCACTTCTGTTTATTCCAAAGAACAGTCCAGGCTTGGCTGGAATGATCCAATACTTCCTATGATTTTATCCTCATTAGCCACTCAACCTAGAATCCAATTTTAATTATACTCCAGAAGCATCAAGTGGTAGGTGAGGCTGCCGTTTCAGAAAGGGACAGTATAAGGGTCAGTCCAATTGAAAAAGCAGTTCTCAGGACTTGCTTTAGCTCATTCTCATCATAGAGCTTTCTCTGCAGAAGGAACCTACTGGGTCCTCCTTCCTGGTCCTTGAACTTCTGACCTAGAGTGGCTTAATCCTGCTGCCACCTCTCTCTCACACTCTGATGCCGAATGATTCCAGGAACTGGGCCATGCTCTGGTGGGAATGACCTTACCCTGAGCATGTCATTCATGCATTGAACAGCAGCTGAGAGCAGAGCTAAGGCTGATCCCTATAAGGAGAGAAGAATCACATCCTGCAGAAGTCAGTCTAGAAGAGCAGGTACTGTAGCCACAGCAAAGACACAGTTGATACCTGAATAACAATAATACAAGACAGGATATGGGAACAGCAAAAGATTTGGGTGTCAGAAGAGGCTGAGAACACTTCAGGCAGGAACATTCAGAGTTGTTCTTGGAGGAAGTAGGCACGAAGGCTGGGCAGGATTTCACGGGGCAGAGATGGAGCAAACAATTCAAGTGAAAGGCATGGCATGGGAAAGGGAGCGCTGGCCACAGGGAGTGCAACATTGTGATGCAAGGCCACTGTGGAGCCATTGCTAGCGTATTAACTGCAAAGTTTTGAATTGAATCAGAAGGTAATTGGAGGCCTCCAGACTAAGCATTTAGACACTTGAGGGACATATTCACAACTGAGCCTCGGGAAGATTATTCTGCAAGATATCTCTACAATGACAAGATTTAGTCTGTGGAAAAGGGATTTTTTTTTGGAGGGAAGAGGGTATGTGTGCCAGTGTGTATGTGTGTGTGTGTGGTCCTTGGACTCAACCCCACCACCTACTGGCAGAAAGTCAAGGCCAGCTAGAAAGTTTTGTTCACTTCTATCTTCTGTCCCTACCAGAATGCCACCTGCCTGAGGGAAAGGGTTTTTGATCATAACTCAGGATTCTCAGCACCTCTTATCCGATAGCTTTGGAATGAATGACAAGGCCTTCATAACAGCCACTGCAACTGCTGTCTCCTTTCCTTTGCTACCCCTCCCGCTCCAGCCATGCCTGCTTCCCCCAAGACCTTCCGTGCTCCAGGCCCAAACTCCAAAGCCAGCAACTTAGACAAGAGTCCTCTGGCTTTGGAAAGAGGGCGGCTTTTGTTTTCCTCCTCATGTTTCCTCCCCAGCAAAATCTCCCTCTACATAGAGAAGCCTCTCCTTGTGGATAGTAGCAAAGCCACCAACCTTGGGGACCAGCCTTGGGAATCTCAAGGCTTGAGAGAGAGAGAGAGAGGAAAGAAAAAGTATCTTGCTTTCGAACAAACAAAAAGGAAATAAAAAGACCCGATAATCTCAAAAGGTTACTTGCTGCTTGAAATTTTTGATTCGGTGTATTCTACCTAGTAACTGCTGAGAAATAAGGCTCGACACCATTGGCTGGTTCACTCACACCCGGCCAATCCTGGACTCTAAAATACTTAGGGAAATCTTGGGACACTGTGGAAGCCCAGAGAATCTGATCCCGGGTCCCACAACTTCACATATCGCGAGTAAGTGGGAGGCAAAGAAAATTCTTTTTCTCCTCTTTTGGGACAGTTTGTGACTAGTAGTGCCTGTGCCCCTGGAAAGGTTGGAGACTTGGGGGACGACTGGAGAATTGCCATTTGAGGACCAAAGGAGAAAAGAAACTACACGCTAATTCTAGAAGGTAGGAAAGGGAGGGTAGGCGCTACAGCTCCGGGGTGAAGGCGGTCGATGGAAGTAGCGGGATCCGCTGTGGACTTGAGAGGGGGTTCTGGGAGAGGGAAAGCCCACCGGTGGGGCGGCGCCTCCTCGCCTGGCTTTACCTCCGGTGGCCCGGCGTGGATCGCGGGGAGGAGGAAGTGAAGGGAGGAGGGTGTGATAGAATCCAGCGACAACTGAAGAAACCGGACTCTGGCCAGAGAAGTGAGCCGAGGAGGGCGGAAAAAGGCCCCCTTGATCTTGGCATTGATGGCTTACTTCATGGAATGTTTAAGGAATCCCTCTCTCAGGAGATACCTGAGCCTTCGGATGCAGGGGACTCTCTGAAGTTGGGGCACTGATGAGACCTACTTGAGTGACGGGAGAGGTTGGGCCCGACCAGCACTGAGGTGCCAAGACTCCTAGGCTGATTCTCCTCTGTAACCCTAGGCCTCCTGTCCCTGCCTGCTCTGGGTGCTCATGGAACCAGCTGCTGCCCTGCACTTCTCCCGGCCAGCCTCCCTCCTCCTCCTCCTCAGCCTGTGTGCACTGGTCTCAGGTAGGGATGTGTGCCACTTGCTGCTGTCACCTATCAGAAAGGATCATCAACCCTGTAGTCTGCAAAGGCAAAGAAAGAAGGACTGTGGAGTTGTTGACTTATCCTTTCATTCTGAACATGTTCACTGAATTTATACCAGCACTGTCCAAAAGAAACACAGTGAGGCACAAAGGCCAAGTGCATGTACAATTGCAAATTTTCCAAAAAAATTAAATTTTACTTTTTATTTAAGAAAGTAAAAAGAAACATGAAATAAATGTGTGTACTATATTTTGTTTCACCCCAAATAACCAAATATGAATATATAAATGCTTAGTCAACATTTTGAAATTTTAAATCTTCATAATCCTGTGCGTATTTTACACTTACAGTTCATTTCAGTTGGAACTAGCTAGTGGGTAGGTGCCCTATTGCACGGCTCAAGTTTACACTACACTCAGGCACAGCGCTAGATTGGGGAATGGAGGAAATTCTCCTCATGGGGCACAGGGTGGACAGAGGGTGCTCAGGGAGGGCTCCCCAGGGTTTCCTTCATGAACCAGAAGCAGATTTCATAGTTACTGCTCCCAGGGGTGCTGTTGACTAGCCACAGCTACTGGTCCCCAGAATTCTCAGCCCAAGGAGACCCTATGGCCGTGGAAAGAATATGTTTGTCCCTGGAATACCTGCTTCCTTTCCTGCCTTAGAGATGTGATGGCTGGTGTCTTTGTCTGATTCTGCCCCTTTGTTGAACAGCCCAGGTCACTGTCGTGGGGCCCACTGATCCCATCCTGGCCATGGTGGGAGAAAACACTACGTTACGATGCTGTCTGTCACCCGAGGAAAATGCTGAGGACATGGAGGTGCGGTGGTTCCAGTCTCAGTTCTCCCCTGCAGTGTTTGTGTATAAGGGTGGAAGAGAGAGAACAGAGGAGCAGAAGGAGGAGTACCGAGGGAGAACCACCTTTGTGAGCAAAGACAGCAGGGGCAGCGTGGCCCTGATCATACACAATGTCACAGCCGAGGATAACGGCATCTACCAGTGTTACTTCCAAGAAGGCAGGTCCTGCAATGAGGCCATCCTGCACCTTGTGGTGGCAGGTGCGTTGCTTCATTTTGCTTTGTTACTTTGGCACTGTGTGACTTTGGGTAAAGCTTCTCTTCTAAATTCCAGCCCATTGCAGACCAGCACAATCCTCTTTCCTGGATCCCCATTCCGCAGGGACACTCTCCCTATGAAAAGAAGATTCCAGGGAAAAATCCTTCCTCCTGCACAAGGGCCACCATGAGTGAGTTTGCCCTGCTAAGCCGTGGGCTTGACTTCTTGAGAAGCACATGCAGAACTCAGTTGAGGCCATGAGCCGGGGAAAATGGTGAATCTCGGAAGAGAAGTCCTATGCCTGCCTTAGCACTGAGCTGTGCACTTCTGAGAGTGAGAGGAGACACCATCAATAATTGTC